>NT_167249.2:0-300000 GCF_000001405.40 Homo sapiens | reverse complement strand
ACAAGGAAATTTTTTAAAAAAGAAAATTACAGGCTATTATCATTCATGAATGTAGTGAGAAAAATCTTGAGATAGTAACAAACTGAATCCAGGAATATACATTTTTTAAAAGATTACATGTCTTGAACAAGTTAAGATTATTCTAGCATGGAGAAGTTGGATTAGCATTCAAAAATCAATAAAGGTGGTCAGGCGTGGTGGCTCACACCTGTAATCCCAGCACTTGGGGAGTCCCAGGTGGGAGGATCACTTGAGGTCAGGAGTTTGAGACCAGCCTGGCCAACATGGCAAAACGCCCCTCTCTACTAAAAATACAAAAATTAGCCGGACCTAGTGGCCTGCACCTGTAATCCCAGTTGGGAACAATTCTGTGACAGTCCTTCTTTCTAACATACAATTCATATTATTTTCTTTTTATTCTCTTAAATCTGGAACATCATTCAAAATCTACACATAGAAAGCTATCTCCTTTTTAGTAGAGTTTGCCCCATATTAGGGCAATAACTTATCTAATCCTTGTGAACCCCCATGAGAACCCCACTAAACTCTGAGTTCCGTGGGGCAAGGACGTTCTGTGCTGTTCCCTTCCTTATCCTCTCCATACCCTCCCAAACTTTATGAAGCTGGAAAGAGGAAGAGAAGGAGATGAGGGAAGGCTTCCAAGGAGAAACAACTTCCAAGCTGAGGTCTAGAGAATGAGAGACAGACCAGAAGTATGCAGAGAGAACTGCTCCGAGGAGAGATAGGGCTCCCCCGGCAACCACAGAGATATGGGGTACTGAGAAGCCCACAGAGAAGGTACCTGACTGGGTGTGTCTGGCAGTTGTAAGGTAAGGCAAGGCACTGGCACTTTCCCTAGAGTTGTCTCTTCTCTATACCATATAACTATGGTTCCAAGTGTGAAGTGAGCACACTACAGAGAGGCTGGAGGAAGAACAGCAGCTGATTCCAAACATAAATTAATCCTTCAGGCTGCGTGCGGTGGCCCACGCCTGTAATCCCAGCACTGTGGGAGGCCGAGGAGGGAGGATCACTTGAGGCCAGGAGTTCGAGACCAGCCTGACCAACATGGCGAAACCCCGTCTCTACTAAAAATACAAAAATTAGCCAGGGCGTGGTGGCGCGCACCTGTAATCCCAGCCACTCGGGAGACTGAGGCAGGAGAATGGCTTGAACCGGGGAGGCGGAGGTTACAGTGAGCCGAGATCGTGCCACCTCACTAAGTATGTGCCATTAAGGGTTTTTTTGCTTGTGTCACTCATTGCTGTATCTGAGGCGCCTGGAGTACACTGTCCTCTAAATAATGGGGGAACATTGTTCTGGGGACGGTTATCTCTGGCTCCGTGGTAAACAGAAGTCGAAGAGGAGAATGGGATTGATACGTAAGAACCATTCATACTGAACATTTGGAAAGGGATTCTCCTAAAAACAGTCCCTAGTGAGAATGAAAAGTACTTGGCAGCGGTGGGATTTGAACCCACGCCCCCGAAGAGACTGGAGCCTTAATCCAGCGCCTTAGACCGCTCGGCCACGCTACCGTTGATTACAACTGTGTTCTTCCGCATTTTCCCTAGTAGAGAATGTCGCCCTCTACTGCGTTTAAGGTGTGTCTTTTTTCCCATTAGGGAATGTCGCCCCCCGCCCCCCAACCCCGGGGCGTTTAAGGTGTGCCTTCTCCCCATGACCTCTTCTCTGGAGCTCCCTCCAGCGCCATCAGAGAACTTCAGGCAGCTGTTCAGCCGCCACACACCCCGAACCCCCAACACGTTGCTTTCGCACTGATGGGAGCAGTGAGGAAGGAAACCGGCGGATCCTAGACGCCCTTCCCTTGCGTCACCGATGTAAGAGGAAGCGGCCACGCGGACGGAGACCCCCAGGGGACGCTGTGGTTCGCAGGTTCGCCGTGGAAGGTGACGCCTGGCTGGAGCCCCGACGCCGCTGAGCGAGTTTCAAGTGGTTTTGGCCGACGGAACTCTACGAAAAAACGGGGCGCCGTGCGAAAGAGCGCAGTCCTTGCTGTTTATGAAGGTAAAAATTCAGAAGGTGACCCGCGGTCCCCGCAGAAATGCCCGCCGGGCAAAAGGCACAAGACGGTTCAGTTTGAAACCTCAAGATTCGAATCATTTAAAAGTATAGTTGCTGCTATAGTATAATGCAATGCATTGACAAAGTTGTTCGTTGCGTTTCTCTTAGTGCAGGCGACAGCGCGTCGGTCTCCTTGGCCCAAAATTTTGACTGAGTCCTAAAATAAAAACGCATTGTGCAAAAAATTATGACAAATAAGATCATAATAAAGAAAGTTAACTAGCGCTGGAGTTTCTTATTGTTTTGTCATTCATCTTCATTAAAATCACTGCTGACGGAAGTTTTTATCCAATATGCCAGTGGAAACTATGCTGTCTTAGAATTCTTTTTTTTTTTTTTTTTTTTTGGAGATGGAGTTGGCTAGAGTCCAATATCGCGATCTCGACTCACCGCAACCTCCGCCTCCCAGGTTCAAGCAATTCTCCCGCCTCAGCCTCCCGAGTAGCTGGGATCACAGGCATGCGCTACCAAGCCCGGCTAATTTTGTATTTTTAGTAGAGATGGGGGTTTCTCCATGTTGGTCAGGCTGGTCTGGAACTCCCGACCTCAGGTGATCCGCCCGCCTCGGCCTCCCAAAGTGCTGGGATTACAGGCGTGAGCCACCGCGCCTCCCAAAGTGCTGGGATTACAGGCGTGAGCCACCGCGCCTCCCAAAGTGCTGGGATTACAGGCGTGAGCCACCGCGCCCGGCTGTCTTACAAATTCTTATACTTGAGTTGTTCATACGGAATTTACTGCATAGTGCCTGGTGTTAATTTCCTGTGGTTACTGTAACAAATTATCAGAAACTGTCTAAAAACAACAGATATGTATTCTCTTACAACAGATATGTATTTCTGAAGGCCAGAAATCCACAATCAGTATGTGGGCCAAAATCAAGGTGTGGGCTGCGTCCAGCTCCCTCTAGAAACTTTAGAGTAAAATCCTATCCTGGCCTTTTCCAGCTTCTGGTGGTTGCTTGTTGACTTATACTGATTCAGTAAAAGTACCTCGTCAATACTAAAAGTTGCAATACTCTTAGCAATACATTATTTCCTAAGGAAATTACTTTAGGAAAATTACTAAGAAAAAAGATTTCCAAGAAAGCAAAAGCAACACAGTCACTCCCTTTTTTGAGACGAAGTCTCAGTCCGTCGCCCAGGCTAGAGTGCAATGGCGCCATCTCGGCTCACTGCAACCTCTGCCTCCCGGGTTCCGGGTTCAAGCGATTCTCCTGCCTCAGCCTTCCGAGTAGCTGGGACTACAGGCATTCGCCACCACGCCCAGCTAATTTTTGTATTTTTAGTAGAGACAGGGTTTCACCATATTGGCCAGGCTGGTCTCGAACTCCTGACCTTGTGATCCGCCTGCCTTGGCCTCCCAAAGTGCTGGGATTACAGGCGTGAGCCACGGCGCCCGGCCTGCACACCCGCCCCCCTGCTCTTTCTCCTGGTCTCACTTTCCTCTGTTCCTCCGTATTCCCCAAGGTAGGCGCGCCTCTTTTGTCACCTGCTGTGTCAATCTGGGCTCTCTGCCTGGTTCTCTCAGTCCCTCACAACAGCAATAGTTTCCTCTCCACTATCAAGGCTATATTCTCCTACCAGTTCTAGATCTCTGAGAGCAAGATGGCCGAACTTGAGGGAGACCACTTTTTGACAGCTTTAACCTTCAAGGACACAGAGCAAGGGTGCCCTCCTGCTAGGTGCTAATTGGTTCAATGCTTCATCAGCTGCATCTTGGTCCATCAAAGGCATCATTCCAGAGACTGATTTTCTCTCTGGTGTTTGCAATCCTGCACGGTAAACTAGGAGGGTGAAAACAAAACAGAAAAATGGGAGAAATTATTTGAAAGTGACGATATCAACCAGTGAACATCAGGAATCCATTAACCCGTTCAACAAGTATTGACTGAATGCCTACTCTGTGCCTGGGCACTGAGTATTCAGGACGAACGCTGACACCGGCGGTCCTCACCTTCACAGCTAGGAGGAAAGGCCAACTGATTAAGCAATTGCAAGTCATCATCGTGACTGAATTGGTGCTGGGTCACACAGCTCGGGATTGGAACTTAGTGTCGATCTGGAAAGGCCTGCTTGGAGAAATTCACGAATGCACTGAGGAATGGGGTGGGGGTAGGAGGTTGGAGCGAGACAAGACTGGCCAAAAGTCTGAAAAGAAAAAGACAATTTGGGTTTGAACCCGCAACAGAACAAGCCCCACAACCCTTCTCTCTCCGTAGAATCCCTACCTCCCGGAGGGAAGACTGAGAATCCTGAAGGGGTCAGGAATGAGAAGGACAAAGGAGAAAGAAAAGAGTAGGACGGCTTCTCCCACGGATCAATCGCGTAGGTGGTGGTGGTCCCTGACAGCTGCAGCTGCCTGATCACTGCTGGATCTGTGATTCTAAAATTCTGAGCAGTAACGAGCCCAAGCGTGCACCTGAGGAAAGAGTAAGGGCACACAAAGTCAGAACAAAGTATGTATGTATTTGAGCCAGGGCCTCGCTCTGCCACGATCAGAGCTCATTGCGGCCTCGAACTTCTGGGCTCAAGAGATCCTCCCGCCTCAACCTCCGAGCAGCTGGAACTACACGTACACGTGACCGCGCCTAGTTTTTCTTTCTTTTCTTTCTCTTTCTTTTCCTTTCTCTCTCTCTCTCTCTTCCCCCCGCCCACCCCCCCCCCTTTTTGGTAGAAACGGGGGTCTCGCTTTTTTGTCCTGGCTGATCTCGAAATCCGAGGCTTCAAGCGACCCTCCCGCCTCCGCCAGAGGAAGAATGTAAACGGGACAGGAATGTGTCTCTGCTCCCCCGCCCTGGCGAGGGACTTGCTAGTATCCTCTATCCAACTGCTGGCTGAATGTGTTCTCTCTAGGAATCGAGGAGGACTGCCTTTCTCGCTGGTTCTATTTCAGTCCCGATCCCACAGCTTCAGTCCAACCGGTTTGCTTTGTTTGATAGGCTGGGCATGAGAGTGAGATTTGGAGCTATCCTCACAGATTCCTGGAAGTTGAACAGATCTCTGATGAGTCCTCTCTTTAGAACTAAACTGATTCCCCCAGGACCTACCAACTTGAGGAATTTTCTGGGAAGCACTTAGGTACCTGTACGGACTTGTCAACAACTGCCATACGTAAGAGACTCTAATTCCAGCTTTACTGTGCATGACCAGAAAGCTTGAAATTGAAATCTTGATGCCATCCCATAGTTAACCGAGATTTTCCAGGTTTATATATAGTTCAGAATTCAAAGTTCTGAAAATCTAAGAGCTTTCACAACTCTGCGCTTTTGCTTCTCCTGAGACGCTTGTCCTGGAATGCTGGTTTCCATTTTGTTCCCTAATAAAAATCTTGTTCATTCTTCAAAGCCCACTTCAAACAGGGTCTTCCCCACCCCACCTCCAAATCTCCCTCTCTCTCTCACATACACACACCCCATTGTATTTTTCCACACTTCATTTTAGCAGGTAACTCTGTGCCCAATAGAAAATTTACTCACTTGGCGGGGCGCGGTAGCTCACGCCTGTAATCTCAGCACTTTGGGAGGCCGAGGCGGGCGGATCACCAGGTCAGGAGATCGAGACCATCCTGGCTAACACGGTGAAACCCCGTCTCTACTAAAAATACAAAAAATTAGCCGGGCGTGGTGGCGGGCGCCGGTAGGCCCAGCTACCTGGAGGCTGAAACAGGAGAATGGCGTGAACCCAGGATGCAGAGCTTGCAGTGAGCCGAGATGGCGCCACTCCACTCCAGCCTGGGCGACAGAGCGAGACTCTGTCTAAAAAAAAAAAAAAAAAAAAAAAAAAAAGGAAAACTTACTCACAGTATCTGTCTCCTTCATTCCCCAAGTACGGTGAGAAGAATGATGATGATGATAATATTAATAACACGGATTTGGATAATTGGCTGACTGCTTTTGTGTATTATGTTATTGACTCATCGCAACTTTATATAGTAAATACTGTAATACTTTTATTCCCATTTTACAGTTGAGAAAATTGGGATTTGGGGGGTGTTAAGAGGTGAGATTTCTGTCTTGGTCATTTTTCATTTTCCATAGTGACTAGTGTAGTACAAGCCTACTGGCTCTGAATATTTGCAGATTGATTCCTTGACCCTAGCTGTTGACTTTTTTTTTTTTTTTTTTTTTTTTAGTAGTCTTTCACATTCTCTTTCCTCCTCTTGTCTTGATGCATATTTTGGTTTTGTTATATTTTTTCGACGTTTTCTCTGAGCTGACGAGTAAACGGTAGCAAGTCTGGTGAATAAACAGAACCTACCGTGCCAAAATTAGGGAATTTTTTTTCCTATGGACAATGAATAATAGCTCAGATGAGAAGGAAAGAAACTGGTAGCATTCGAAGAAGAGTTCTTTTTCTCTAATCCAATTAGCTTTATGTGGAAAATGAAAGAAAAGAAAAGAAAAGAAAAGAAAAAAAGAGGCATTAATCAAGATAAGTTAAGCCAGACAGTTCCTTTCACAGGGGTCCCAACCAGACTGTTTTCTGAAAGCAGAGGCATAAAAACTAATGAAGCAAGAGATTCTTGCTGCACATAGAGGAGACAACGTGTGATATCACGAAAAGAGGGTGCTTTTCAAGAACTGATCACCAGCAGGCCTAGAGGGTTGAATTCCTATGAAACATTAGATTAAAAGGCTTCCGTATATACAGGAATTTTACAAACCATATTACTTTTATGTCTATGTCAAAATAAGATTTCTTAGTCAAATTGATCTTATGTATGTGTCAAAGTTTATTAATTCAAGGACAGAACTGACAAGATGACAAAAGAGTGTCCCATCTCAAGGAAGTTTTGGAAACTGTGAATATATGGAGCCAGGGAAGAGAAGAGAAAGTGCAATTAATTAGAAAAAGTCCTGCTTCATTTAACTGGATCATAACAACATCACATCCTGGCTGGAAGCGGTGGCTCACGCCTGTAATCCCAGCACTTCGGGAGGCTGAGGCGGGTGGGTCTCTTGAGATCAGGAGTTCGAGACCAGCCTGGCCAACATGGTGAAACCGCGTCTCTACTAAAAATACAAAAATTAACCTGGAGTGGTGGCACGTGCCTTTAATCCCAGCTACTCGGGAGGCCGAGACAGGAGAATTGTTTGAACCCGGGAAACGGAGGTTGCAGTGAGCTGAGATCGGGCCACTGCACTCCAGCCTGGGCGACAAAGAGAGACTCCATTTCAAAAAACAAACAAAAAATCACATATTCCATTTGTTGGTGAAATAAGATCAGGAGCACCACGATCTTTGTTTGGAAACTTGTAGAGAAGTCATACGTGCCCCAAACTCTTATCAGATATAAGAAAGAAATAATAAGCAATAGCTGCTCTTTAGACAGACCAAGAAACAAAGATTCATGCCCCGATATTGTCAGACAGGAACCAGTTAGCACAGGGTCACCAAACCTTGTCAGGAGAGAAACAAAAAGTCTGCTTTTTCTCCAGTAGCTCTCGGTAAATTTACCAAATGTGCATTCAGAGATGGTGCTGAATTCATTGTTTGCCTGTTTCTCAGTTTTGTGACAGCAGGTTTTAATTTCATGTTTATGACCTTCTCCTATCCTCTCTTAGGAAAAAAACATAATTTGTACCTTCATAGGGGAAAAAAGGTTGAAGCGCTGGAGAGATGAAGCAGTCCTGAAACTGCTTTGGCCCAGAATATTAAATTACTGTGTAGGTATTTCTAGGGCTATCCCCTAGCGCCCAGTTGGAGCAGCGTGAAACTTACAGAGAAATCCGAGGAAGATAGAGTAGGTGTCTAAACCACCGAGGCTCTAGCAGCTTCAGAAGCTTGAACACAGCGATCAAATCTCCCAGAAATGACTTCGCCATTTCTTCTCTGTCATCTTCATAACTGTCTTTTCAAAAGGTTATGCTAATCTCAACTAACTCCTAATGGATTGTCTCCGGAATTTCCCGCTTACTGAATCACCCAATTGAGTTAAAAATGTTAAAGCGCTTACTTAGAACAATGCCGGACACTCGGTCTACGCTAGATTAAGTATTCATTAATAAATGTTTTAAAATAATTGAAAATTACATTGCTTGTCATTTTGTACCTGGAATACTAAAACAGGAACAGGGTTTCTATGCAGAAAATGCCTCCTATGAAAATTGAAAGTTAACTTATCCACAATTTGCTGTTTACTCAGAGATTTCGTTCCTGGATGAAAGAATTTGGAGGTTAAAACAGAAAAACCTCATTCCCTGACCGGGAATCGAACCCGGGCCGCGGCGGTGAGAGCGCCGAATCCTAACCACTAGACCACCAGGGAAGCTGAAGTAGGTTTATTAAAACATATTTATGAAGCGAGAACTCAACACATACGCACACAGTTGACTTCTACTTTTCCGACGAGTTAGTGCACGGTCATGCTCTCGTATTCACTGACCTCCTGTTTTGCACCAACCAATAAAATCTGGACGGCAGAGGGCGTGGCAATGCCATAAGAGTAATTTGGGAAGTTCGTAACTGGATGATGGAACGTGCTCTGTTTCGATGTGTGCATTCAACCGAGAATAAATTGTAGCATCAATTTGTAATTGTCTTCTTGCTTTTCTTTGCATAAAGTGGTGAGCCATTTGAAGAACGAAATAATTTTTTAATTTGTCTTTGGTTCCTTCGGAGTACCTGTCATTGTGGGTTTTTTTTTTAATAAATACCTAATAGTAAATAAAAAACATAAGTAATAAATTCATTAAGCCTTATTTTTAAGTGGCGCGGGCGGAGCCGAAATAGCTCAGTTGGGAGAGCGTTAGACTGAAGATCTAAAGGTCCCTGGTTCGATCCCGGGTTTCGGCATGAGAGCGCTCGGTTTTTTGTGCCCACGGCAATACAAATATGGAATTTTCCTTCTACAATACAGAAACACTCCTTAGAACCTAAAATGGGGTCATATTTTTCTCAAATTCATAAAGGAAATCGCAAGAACACTGTGGGATACGTTTATTTCTGTAGCAGAACTCTAGGTATGGGTTTCAACATCTCACTAGATAAAAGAAGAAAAGGCAAACGTGCTGAAAGAAGTTTAATCTTGAGCAATAGTAATTACATTTTATTTGCGACCTCTGTTCCCTCAATAAATATTTATTAAGTGAATTGTTAGTGTTATGCGCGCGTCTAACTGAAGAGACAACCTGAACAGGCTAAGTGTGAGCAACAAGCTGTTTATTCACTCTGGTCCGAGCGGGCTGAGTCCGAAAAGGGAGTCCCACCACCGGAGGGTGGTGGGATTGCAGCTAGTTTTATAGGTTAGGAGTAAGCAGTGGAAAGATACAATAAGGGCCCGTTTATTGCGGGCAAGGGAAGAATGTCACAAGGTACATTATCACAAGGTGGGAGGGGTCACAGAGCACAGTGTCACGAAGTTGATTGATCAGTTAGGGTAGAGCACGTTACAATGGTAGAAGGTCGCAAGGTTGGCTAATCAGCTAAGACAGGAGCTGTTTTTCTTCTTTTGTGGTTTTCCTGTTGTCCCAGACTTTCTGGCTCCAGGAGACCTTCTGGATGTGTACGTGTGGGTCACAGGGGTCACAATGCCTTGATCATAGCACAGCCTGCTCCGAGGAAAAGGATAGAGAGAGGCACGGCCGGTGAACTGAAGGGAAGTTTCCTGGAAAAAGGAGCCGCCTAAGCTGTTGAAAAAGTGGCTACTTGCTAGAGGTGGGGGAGGGGAGGGGTGGCTGCTGCGCTGTGAAAGGGAGACAGCCAGCATATTCCCTCAGCCACCTTTTTCCTAACCTCCTAATTTGCTAGCTCTTGGCATATTCAACCCCTGTCTTCCTACTCGGAGGAATGGTCTCTCATTTCCAAGTCTACTTAATATTCCATCTGAGCTTTTGAACCCTCTACCCATTCCATTTTGCTCTATGTTTGTGTCTTTCATCTCTCTCCTCCTTACGTGCCTCTCTTCAAATTACAGAATGTCTAAACCTCTATCTTTGGACAACAAAAATGGAACACATGACCTTATGCATTATCCTCAGACTCTTTCCTTCCACTCAGCACCAAACCTGTTGAAAGAACAATGTTTACCTCATTATTTGCTCATCAGCGGAGGAGGTCTGCCTTCCAATCCCAGGAAACCATTACCATCAACTTTCCAACTTTCAAATGTCTTGGCTGTTTTTGGTCCTATACTTAATTTTGCACAGTATACCAACCTATAAACAATCCTTCCCTTATGAAGCAGTCCTCCTTTGGACTTTGGGATTTTGAAGCAGCCTCTTGTCTGGGGTGACACCCTAGATTCATCGTCTCACAGCCACAGAGATCAAGGACCTGGACACACAGAGAGGTTAAGAGTGGAAATTTAATAGGCGAAAGAAAGAAAATATCTCTCTGCTACAGAGAGGGGTCCTGGAAAAATGGGTTGCCGAAATTCGGTGAAATGCAGGGGGTTTTACAGATGAGCTAGTGGGGAGATGGTGTCTGATCTACATAAGGCATGAAAAACCCAGATAGGACCAGGTGTGCCAACTGCATAGGGTGTGAATCTCTGGCAACCCTCACCCCAATCTGTTATTATGCAGGTGGGTTCTCTGCCTGAACTTCTCCATGTTGCCCATTTCTTTCTTACTGTACACATGCTAACAAAAAAGGGAAGGTGGAGCCTCATGGTGGACATGCCTCACCCCCAGGTAGACCTTTTCTATCGGTGCAGCTGCCAGCCTTCCCCCATGCAAGTTTCCAGCTTCCTTATCTATGTCTGCAGCTCCATCTTGCAGGCTGCTCTTTGTTAGAAAAGGAATAATTTCTAGGGCTGCTTTTTGTTAGAAGAGAAGTTCTGCCGAGGACTCTTTTGCCCTAACTACCTAAGCAATTTCTTTGTATCTCCTGTATCAACTTGACTCTCCATTATTTTTCTCCATACTCTCTTGCTCTTCCCTTTCAGCTCCCTATCCCTCCAATTTTAATGACTTTGGTCTTTTTTTAAATTAAATGTTTAATTTTTAGGTAGTCGTAGATTCACATGCAGTTATAAGAAATAATATGGAGAGGTCCCATGTCCCCTTTACCTGCTTGCCCCCAATGGTAACATCTTGCAAAACTATAGCACAAAATCACAATCCGGATATTGATATTGATATTGATAAAGTCAAGATGCAAAACATTTCCATCACCACAAGGATTCCTTTTGGCCCTTTTACAGCCACACCCACTTGCCTACTGTTCCTGCCTCAACCTCTGGCAACTAGTAATCTGTTTTTCACTTTTATGATTTCATCATTTCGAGAATGTTATGAAAATGGAATCATACATTATGTAACCTATTAGGATTGGCTTTTTGCACTCAGTGTAATTCTCTAGAGATTCATCTAGGTTGTTCGGCATCAGTAGTTCATTCTTATTTCTCGCTCACTAGCATTCTGTGGTATGAATTTACCAGTTTGAACATTCACCTGCTGAAAGACATTTGAGTCATTTTCAGCTTTTGACTTTTACAAATAAAGCTACCATAAACATTTGCATACTGGTTTTAGTGTTAATATAAATTTTCGTTTAGCCAAGATAAATGTCCAGGAGTGCAGCTGCCGGGTGGTATGGTACTTGCACATTTAGCTTTTTAAGAAACTGCCAACTGTTTTCCAGAACAGCTACATTTCACATTCCCACCTACATGTATACAGCCTCATCAGCATTTGGTTGTTGCCACTATTTTTATTTTAGTCATTCTGATAGATGTATAGTGATATCTCATCTTGGTCGTAATTTGTATTTCCCTAGTGCTAAGGATGTTGAAAACATTTTTATGTGCTCGTTTGCCATCTGTATATCTTCTTCGGTGAAATGTCTCTTTAGGTGTTTTATCCAATCCGATAAGAATAGTTGTGTACAGGTTTTTATGTGGGAAGTTCCTGAAAAAGCTGGAAGTTCAAACCTTTTCCAAATCTCTGTCTTAGATTATGAAGTTCTCATGCCATGCAATTTGTTTTTTAAAAAAATTATTTAGTGATACTTCTGAAAGCAATGTAAGGAAGACTATTCAGGACTATCGGGATAGGCACAAGGGACCATTGCAAGGAGGTTTTGCAGTGAGGGAAAGAGATCGGCCTCAGTTCTGAATATAGCATGGGCAAATGGGAATTTATAGCCAAGGAGCAGTGTGTCCTGGTCAGTGGACAGGAAATTACCAAGAGAAAACCTCAGAGGTAAGGGGAATTCTGGCCAAACAAACCTAACAGGATTCTTGCTGAAGACAGGCCAAGGTAATCAGACATCAATCATCTGGGGGATGGTGGAGAATGAGGAGCCTGATCAGAAATGGAGGTTAAACATAGATGATATGGGGGTTCTTGCTAAACTGACTTGGCAGGGTTCTTTGCTAAAACTGGACGTTACAAGGAAGTGCACAGATGGGCCTAGCAGAAGATTCAGAAGCCTGACTAAAGTTTGGCCAAGCGAATAGTCTTTGTTAAATTCTTATGCAACTGCATTTGCAAAATGCAAAACAGACTACTGTCTTGTTGTTTGGGGAAAGGAAGAGTGCAACATGGAGAAATTTCCAAGATGATAAGTCACTAACGAGTTTCTTCCGGCTCCCACTGACTGAATGAATCATCATTCCCTGAGGGGTAAAAAAAAAAAAAAGGAAGATCGAGCAAAGGGTAGCATATACCAGTCCCACCAGTGAACTCACTTGGTATGCAGAAATAATGCTGTTGATTTTTTAAAAGAAATCCCGAAAAGGGAAGTTAAAAGAGACCGGGTCTCGTCGGATGTCCCGGGTGGAACTGCAGGCGTTGCTCGCAGGCGCGGTCCCACCGTCGCCCAACACGGGGAGTTTGACCTGCTCCGTGTCCGGCCTGGGCCTGGTCCCCCCCTCCTTAGACAACCTGGTACTCCCGGGCTCCCCCGGGAGTACCATGTTGGTGCCAGGCCCGGTGCGGACGCCCGCTCCACACAGCGCCGTAGCTCCGAACCCCCGAGCACCCACGATCCGCCGACCTCAGCCTCCCGGGGAGCTGGGATTACAGGCGCGCGCCACCGCGTCCGGCGCTTGGTTTGGTGGCACCGCGGTCTTGGAGGCTGCAACTGCCGACTGCGTGTGCTGGGAGGCGGGATCCGTGCAGCGGTTTCCTCGCCGCCCAGCCGGCTGCCGCTCCAGATTGCCAGAAGTGCCTGATAGAACTAGCTGAAGAGACCGCAGAAAGCACTGGCAGAGAGATGAATGAGCATCCCTTACTATGTTGTCCTCGGAACCTTTACAAAAAGGTCAATTAAACAAACAGCTGTAAATTTAATAAGGGAAAGAGTGAAGGACTGTGTTGAGTGGGTTTCACAGACTTCAATACGTATATGAAATCACCTGGGGAGCTTGCTAAAATGAAGAGTTCTAACGCTGTAGGTGTAGGATGGGGTGTAGATATTCTGCATTTGTGAGAAACTCCCAGGTTAGGTCAGTGTTGCTGATCAGCAGCCCACGCTGCAAGTGACAAGGTTGTTGATGCTTTTGGACCTGATGGTTCTACAAGTTCTTGTCACATCATTATAATATTAGAACATGAAAAGAAAAGAAAGAAAGAAAGAAAGAGAGAGAAAGAAAGAGAAAGAGAGAGAAAGAAAGAGAGAGAGAAAGAAGAGAGAGAAAGAGAAAGAAAGGAAGAAAGAAAGAAAGGAAAGAAACAGAGAAAGAAAGAAAGGAAAGAAAGAAAACCACAGTTCCAGCCTCACAAGTGACTCTAGACATTTTCTTTCTTGTTTTTTAGCTCTTGTCCTCACGCATACATAATTTTTTCCATGGTGGAAGCCATGACATTTGTACGATTTCATGTTGGGTGCATTTCCACCTTGTGTAAGTGGTAAATATGTACAGATAATTGTTCAATCACTCCTTCTGTCAGCCAACATTAACTGAGACCCTTTTCTGTGCCATATACAGTAGGTCTACCTGGGGAATCTGAGAGTACAAAATGCACTCCTCTAAGGAGCTTATGGCCTGTTAAAGAATAGAAGACGGCCGGGCCTGGTGGCTTACGCCTGTAATCCCAGCACTTTGGGAGGCCGAGGCAGGCAGATCACGAGGTCAGGAGATGGAGACCATCCTGGCTAACATGGTGAAAACCTGTGTCTACTAAAAATACAAAAAATTAGCCGGGCGTGGTGGTGGGCACCTGTAGTCCCAGCTACTCGGGAGGCTGAAGCAGGAGAATGGTGGGAACCCGGGAAGCGGAGCTTCCAGTAAGCCGAGGTCGCGCCACTGCACTCCAGCCTGGGCGACGGAGTGAGGCTCCGTCTCAAAAAAGTAAATAAATAAATAAATAAATAAATAAATAAATTTTAAAAAAGAATAGAGACAAGTAAATCAGTGAGAGTGAAGATTTACTCCTAAGTTCTTCCATAGGTGTAAGGGCAGGGTACTGTGTACAGGATCACCAATACAGGCACCTAATCTGAACAAGAATGGCTTACTGGATGAGGTGCTACCTGAAATATGTCTTAAAGATAAGCTATAATTAGGCACATAAAGAAGGGCATGGAAAAATTTTTACCATCAAGTCCTGACAGAAGCAAAGCTAAAAAGGTATGAATGCCTGGGAAAATTACTAGTTCCTAGTTCAAGTAGACCTGAGCAGAAAATCAAAGGTTCATGGACCAAAGTAAAAAGATGAAGCAGTGGCTGAGGCCTGTAGTCCCAGCACTTTGGGAGGCCAAGGCAGGAGGATTACCTAAGGTCAGGAGTTCAAGACCAGCCTTGGCAACTTGGTGAGACCCCCCGCCACCGACACACACTAAAAATACAAAAATTAGCCAGGTGTGGTGGCACACACCTATAATCCCAGCTACTTGAGAGGCTGAGGCATGAGAATCGCTTGAACCCTGGAGGCAGAGGTTGCAGTGAGCTGAGATTGTGCCACTGCACTCCAGCTTGGGTGACAGAGTGAGACTCCATCTGAAAAAAACAAAAAAAAAGGATAAAGATGAGGCTACAAAGGAAAAAATCGTTACTTTGTGTAGTATACAGTCTCCAAAAACTGACCTCAATGCAGCATATTTTTCGGTCGTTACACCCTTTTGTAGTCCATTCCCACAGTGAATCTTGGCTGACCTAACAAAATTATTTCATTGAGGTGATACTGTGCCAGTTCCAGGGCTAAGCCATGTGAAATCTTGCACCTTCTGACTTGGTTTTCTGGAATGCTAAATCTTGGGATGCTCCCTCTCAGAATCCAGTCACCATGCCATGAGAAACCCAAGCCACATGAAAAGGCCATGGCTAGGCACTGTGGGTCACAGTCTCAACTGACTGAGGTCCTAGCAACATCAACTGCCACTGCCAGTTATGTGAGTGAGCCATCTTGAACATCCCTAGCTCAATCAAGCCTTCAGAGGAATGGAGTCCTTACTGACATCATGTGGAGCAGAATCACCCAGGTAAGCCCAGTCTATTCACAGAATTGTAAGAAATAGTAAAATGGCTGGCATTTCAAGACATGTGTTAGTTTTCTATTGCTGTCATAACACATTACCACAAATGTAGTGGTTATAAAAAACATAAATTTATTATTTAGAGTTTTTTAAGACAGAAGTCTGGTATGGTCTCACTGTGCTAAAATCAAGGTATTGGCAGGCTGCATTCCTTTCTGTTGGCCCCAAGGGAGAATCTGTTTTCTGCTCATTCAGATTATTGGCAAAATTCAGTTGTTTGCAGTTGTTGGATCAAAGTCTCTGTTTTATTGCTGCCTGTAAGCTAATGGCCACTCCCAGCTTCTAAAGGCTGCTGTGTTGCTGGGCTCTTTAAAACCAGCAATGGTGGATGGCGTCCTCAGATCACACCTCCCTGAACTACTCTTCTGCTTCCTCTTTCCACTTTTAAGACTCTAGTGATTAGGATCATCTCTCCATCACAAGTTCCCTAACCTTAATCACATCTCAAAGTCCCTTTGCCATGTAAGTTAACATATTTACAGTTTCCAAGGGTTAGAAGGGGCATATTTTTGGGTGGAAATAGCATTATTCTGTCTATCACTCCATTTGGAATTGTCTCTTGTATATTGGTAGGAAGTAAGAACAAACTGTGAGCCGTATCTTGACAATACTAAATACTTTGAGCTTTCCCTAAAAGGCTATGGAGAGACAGAAAAGTGTTCTGAACAGAGAGGTCAGTATGACGGGTATTTTTGCAAGCTCTTCTTGCCAGTTCTGTGGAAGCAGAGCCACAGCTAGCACACAGAGTGCCTTTGGGCAAATAATGCAACAGTAAGGCTGGGCGCAGTGGCTCAGGCCTCTAATCCCAGCAGTTTGGGAGGCCCAGGTGGGCGGATCACCCGAGGTCGGAAGTTCGAGACCAGCCTGGCCAACATGGTGAAACCCCATCTCTACTAAAAATACATGGTGGCGCATGCCTGTAATCCCAGCTACTCGGGAGGCTGAGGCAGGAGAATGGCTTGAACCCAGGAAGCAGAGACAACGGTGAGCCAAGATCCCACCACTGCACTCCAGCCTGGGAAACACAGTGAGACTCTGTGTCAAAAAAATAATAATAAAATAAAAAAAAAATGCCACAGTAAGCCATTTTGGTGGATGAATTACAGAAAGACAACCCTCAGGGCTGATGAAGCATAGAAAAGGGAAAATGTCAAAAGTCCTCTCTCCAGGACTCTTAGCTCTCAGTGCTCAGGTCATATTTCAGCCCCCATTCACCTTCTCTGGAAATCTTTTTTTGTAGGGCACCAGTGGGACTCCCTGTATAGAGAAACAATGGGAGACAAGCAGGGCTAGAAGCAAATCAACCAAACTGGAGGCTGTTGCAGTAATCCAGGAAAGATACAGAAAGAGGAGAAGGAAGAGGAGGGAAAAAGTCTCATGTAAAACGGTGGTGGTAATCTTGTATTAGAATAAAGGAAACAGACTCAGAAGAACTGAAGACACAGAATTCATAAGATGTGGGAAGTACGGGGCCGGGCGCTGTGCCTCACGCCTGTATGTAATCCCAGCACTTTGGGAGGCCGAGGTGGGCAGATCACAAGGTCGGGAGATTGAGACCATCCTGGCCTACATGCTGAAACCCCGTCCCTGCTAAAAATACAAAAATTAGCTGAGCATGGTGGCCGGCACCTGTAGTCCCGGCTACTCGAGAGACTGAGATAGGAGAATAGCTTGAACCCGGGAGGCGGAGCTTGCAGTGAGCCGAGATCGGGCCACTGCACTCCAGCCTGGGCGACAGAGCGAGAGACTCCATCTCAAAAAAACAAAACAAAACAAAACAAAACCAACCAAACAAACAAAAACAACTCAGAGCTAGACAAAATTACACTCCCTCAGGCTGAGTGCGGTGGCTCAAGCCTGTAATCCCAGCACTTTGGGAGGCCGAGGTGGGCGGATCACGAGGTCAGGAGATGGAGACCATCCTGGCTAATATGGTGAAATGCCGTCTCTACTAAAAATACAAAAAATTAGCCGGGCGTGGTGGCGGGCGCCTGTAGTCCCAGCTACTCGGGAGGCTGAGGCAGGAGAATGGCATGAACCCGGGAAGCGGAGCTTGCAGTGAGCCGAGATCAGGCCACTGCACTCCAGCCTGGGCGACAGAGCGAGAGACACCGCCTCAAAAAAAACAAAACAAACAAACAAAAAAACAACTCAGAACTAGACAAAATTACACTCCCTTAGGGCGGGTATGGTGGCTCACGCCTGTAATCCCAGCACTTTGGGAGGCCGAGGCAGGCAGATCACGAGGTCAGGAGATCGAGACCATCCTGACTAATACGGTGAAACCCCATCTCTACTAAAAATACAAAAAATTAGCCGGGCATGGTGGCGGGCGCCTGTAGTCCCAGCTACTCGGGAGGCTGAGGCAGGAGAATGGCGTGAACCCGGGAAGAGGAGCTTGCAGTGAGCCGAGATCGCGCCACTGCACTCCAGCCTGGGCAACAGAGCGAGAGACTCCGTCTCAAAAAAAAAAAAAAAGGTCATAAGATGTGGGAAGTAAAAGAGAGGAAAAGATTGAAAAGGATGCAGATGTGATGATGCTAGTCGCCTGCCATCAGAAGCAGCAAGTCTTCTCCAAGATGATACTTTTCTTCTGAAGACGTGAGATTTGAAAAAATAAGAAAACAAAAGAATAACGAACTTTGAGTCTGATGCCTTAACACAGTATTTCATTCAGATGAAGAAATGCTATTGCATGCTAGCCGGGTGCGGTGGCTCACGCCTGTAATCCCAGCACTTTGGGAGACCGAGGCGGGCGGATCACGAGGTCAGGAGATCAAGACCATCCTGGCTAACACGGTGAAACCTGGTCTCTACTAAAAGTACAAAAAATTAGCCGGGCGTGGTGGTGGGCGCCTGTAGTCCCAGCTACTTGGGAGGCTGAGGCAGGAGAACGGCGTGAACCCGGGAGGCGGAGCTTGCAGTGAGCCGAGATCGCGCCACTGCACTCCAGCCTGGGCGACAGAGCAAGACTCCATCTCAAAAACAAAACAAAACAAAACAAAACAAAGAAATGCTATTGCATGCTAAAATGTTTTGAAGTTACCAGAGTCAGCAAGACTGAATTTGGAGCCCAGTGAAAAGAAGCCTACAAAGCTGATGGGGGTGCTTGATAGTAATCCTCTCCTTAACATGCTCAAAAAGAATTGACTCTGTATTTAGAAATCTCACAAATTGAGGAGGAAAGAGGAAGGAGAATGAGGAGAAAAGGGAAGATTTAAAAAAGGATAAGAAAATAATAGCACAAATATATATATATGTACACATATGTGTGTGTGTGTGTGTGTGTATATGTATATATATATAATACATATATATATATATATATATATATATATATATATATATATATATATATATATATATTTTTTTTTTTTTTTAGACAGAGTCTTGCTCTGTTGCCCAGGCTGGAGTGCAGTGGGGCGATCTTGGCTCACTTCAACTTCCACCACCTAATTTTTGTATTTTCAGTAGAGACGGAGTCGGGGGTGGGGGGAGGGTCTCACCATTTTGGCCAGGCTGGTCTTGAACGCCTGATCTCAAGTGATCTGCCTGCCTCAGCCTCCCAAAGCGCTGGGATTACAGGTGTCAGCCACTGTGCCCAGCCTAATTTTTTGTGTTTTTAGTAGAGATGGATTTTCACCGCTTTGGCCACTCTGGTCTGGAACTCCTGACGCCGAGTGATCCACCCATCTCAGCCTCCCAAAGTGCTGGGATTACAGGCATGAGCCGTCATGCCCAACCACGAGTATATTTCGACATAAAATCTAAGATAGTCTTTTTGTAGAAAGAAATATGCTCACTTTCCTTAATTTGAGAACTATGATTTCTTCCTGCTTTAAAAATCATGGTTTCAGTAAATGTGCCTGCATTATTCTGTCAAAAGCCAGCTTCTATGACTTCTCACCTTTTCCAGGTATATATGAAACTCGTGAGAAACAAATCTTACTCATGGTGTCTTCCTTCCCTTTCTGTATAGTGGATACACCAAAGAGCTTCCCAAACCTTGTCTAGTAAATGGGTTTCAGGTGTGCAGGGGGACATGCATTCCCTCAGCCATTAGTCTCCCCCAGGTCCTTGACTTTTTCATTTCTAAATATCCCATTCTGTTTTTCAAACTTTTTTAGTGGAACCCATAATAAAAAATATAAGTATAGGTTACAACACAACTCTTATTTATTTGCAATGCACTGGGACATTTTGCATTCCATTCTCTTTCACTAAAATCAAAATTCTACTCATGATCCACTCAATTAACTTCATGTGCCACAAGGGTGTCACAATATACATTTTGAAAAACACACTACCCTTGACCTTGACATTAACCTAAACTGCAGGCACCAAGCCCAAGATGTAAATTTCAATCATCTCTTATACTGATTATCACCTTCTGTTTTTTCAGCTTATTTTCTTTTGCCCAGTGGAAAATTATTTAATGCATCTCCTTTCTCCTTACATCTTTACTTCCCTCTTTACACAACTTAAATTTCATGATTAATTATCAGCATTAGTAGCTTACAAAACCTTTGTCTCACTCACAATCATTGGTCATGTAATCACCAGACAGGTTCTTCCTGCCCCCACCCTGCACAGACAAAATCATTTCACTGAGACTGTGGTATTGCGTTTAAGAGTTTAATTGGTCGTCAGCAAAGCCTGAGTCCTGTCCTCTCGCTCTCCTCCCCGGACAGCAAGAGCTTCACCACTCGCTCCACCTTCTCCACCAACTACCGGTCCCTGGGCTCTGTCCAGGCGCCCAGCTACGGTTCCCAGCCAGTCTGCAGCGCGGCCAGCGTCTATGCAGGCGCCGGGGGCTCTGGTTCCCGGATCTCCGCGTCCCCCTCCACCAGCTTCTGGGGCGGCATGGGGTCTGGAGGCCTGGCGGCAGGGATGGCTGGGGTTCTGGCAGGAATGGGAGGCATCCAGAACGAGAAGGAGACCATGCAAAGCCTGAAGGACCGCCTGGCCTCCTACCTGGACAGAGTGAGAAGCATGGAGACCAAGAACCGGAAGCTGGAGAGCAAAATCCGGGAGCACCTGGAGAAGAAGGGACGCCAGGTCGGAGACTGGACAAATTACTTCAAGACCATGGAGGACCTGGGGGCTCAGATCAAATACTGTGGACAATGCCCGCATCGTTCTGCAGATTGACAATGCCCGACTTGCTGCTGTTGACTTCAGAGTCGAGTGTGAGACAGAGCTGGCCATGCGCTAGTCTGTGGAGAGCGACATCCATGGGTTCCGCAAGGTCATTGATGATACCAATGTCACTCGGCTGCAGCTGGAGACAGAGATCGAGGCTCTCAAGGAGGAGCTGCTCTTCCTGAAGAAGAACCAAGAAGAGGAAGTAAAAGGCCTACAAGCCCAGATTGCCATCTCTGGGTTGACCGTGGAGGTAGATGTCCCCAAATCTCAGGACCTCGCCAAGATCATGGCAGACATCTGGGCCCAATAAGACGAGCTGTCTTGGAAGAACCGAGAGGAGCTAGACAAGCACTGGCCTCAGCAGATTGAGAGTGCACCACAGTGGTCACCATGCAGTCCATCGGTGTTGGAGCTGCTGAGATGACGCTCACGGAGCAGAGATATACAGTCCAGTCCTTGGAGATCGACCTGGACTCCATGAGAAATCTGAAGGCCAGCTTGGAGAACAGCTTGAGGGAGGTGGAGGCCCGCTATGTCCTGCAGATGGAGCAGCTCAGCGGAATCCTGCTGCACCTGGAGTCAGAGCTGACACAGACCGGGGCAGACGGATAGCGCCAGGCCCAGGAGTGCGAGGCCCTGCTGAACATCAAGGTAAAGCTGGAGGCTGAGATCGCCACCTACCGCCGCCTGCTGGAAGATGGCGAGGACTTCAGCCTTCGTGATGCCCTGGACAGCAGCAACTCCATGCAAACCATCCGAAAGACCACCACCCGCCCGATAGTGAGTGGATGGCAAAGTGGTGTCTGAGACCAAGGACACCAAAGTTCTGAGACATCAAGTTGGCAAAAGCAGGGTACCCTCTGGGGCGCAGGAGACCAATAGGAAGTTCGGAGGTAAAAAACAAACAAACAAACAAACAAAAAAACCAGTTTAATTAACACAAGGCCAGCCACGTGGAAGATGGAGTTATTGCTTAAATCAGTCTTCCTGAAGGTTTAGAAGTTAGGGTTTTTCAAGGATAGTTTGGTGGGCAGGGAACAAAGGAATGAGTGCTGCTGATTGGTTGGGGATGCAATCACAGGGGTGTGGAAAACGGTCCTCATGTGCTGAGTTCACCTCTCGTGGGGGGTTGGAGGGAGGTATAGGATCAGTTGAGTTGTGAGTCCCAAATCCAGGTGGGGTCAGCCGGTTGGTAGAATACAAAAGTCTGAAAAGCATCTTTAAGACCAATCTTAGGATCTATATAGTGATGTTATCTATAGGAACAACTGGAGAAGTCACAGATCATGTGACCTCTGACCACATGACTCCTGAGCCGTAAGGGATTATAGAAACTATACCTACATTTTAGCAGAATTCAGGCCCCTTTCAGAATCCTAATTTTATGGTCTTTCATTTGTCTTACAAAGGCAGTTTTAGCACCCCAAACAAGGAGGGATATTATCATCTTTGCTTCCAACTTAAACTATAAACTAAATTCCTCCAATGGTTAGCTTGGCCTACACCTAAGAATGAGTGAGGATGATCAGCCTGTGAAGGTAGAAAGAAGCAAGATGGAGTGAGCCATGTTAGATTTCTCTCACTGTGATAATCTTTGCAAAGGCGTATCTGAATATGAATAGGTGAATGAATAGAGAATACTCCTAACTGCGCTCCTTTCTTTGTCACACTCTAAACCAAGGTTTCCTCCCCTCCATTCCACTGAAACTTCCTTGTCAAATCCCAGCAACCTCCATCTTGCTAGATCCAATGGTTAGTTTTCTTTTTCATAATTAACTAATTTATTTATTTATGAATTTTTCCATAAGTTATTGGGGAACAGGTGGCGTTTGGTTACACAAGTAAGTTCTTTAGTGGTGATTTGTGAGATTTTGGTGCACCCATCACCCGAGAAGTATACACTGCACCCTATTTGTAGTATTTTATTCCTCACTCTCCTCCCACCCTTCCCCCAAAGTCCATTGTATCATTCTTATGCCTTTGCATCCTCATAGCTTATTGGTGAGAACATATCATGTTTCGTTTTCCATTCCTAAATTACTTCACTTAAAATAATAGTCTCCAAGGTCAGGCACGGTGGCCCACACCTGTAATCCCAGCACTTTGGGAGACCGAGGCAGGCAGATCACCTGAGGTCAGCAGTTCAAACCCAGCTTGGCCAACAAGGTGAAACCCTGTATCTACTAAAATACAAAAATTAGCCATTCATAGTGTTAGGCGCCTGTAATTCCAGCTACTTGGGAGGCTGAGGCAGGAGAATCACTTGAACCCAGGAGGCAGAGGTTGCAGCAAGCCGAGATCATGCCACTGCACTTGAGCCTGGGGACAGAGACAGACTCCGTCTCAAAAAAAAAAAAAAAAAAAAAAAAAGAAGAATAGTCTCCAATCCCATTCAGGTCATTGCAAATGCCATTAATTCATTCCTTTTTATTGCTAAGTAGTATTCCATTGTATATATATACCACAGTTTCTTTATCCATTCATTGATTGACAGGCATTTGAGTTGGCTCCACAATTTTGCAATTGTGAATTGTGCTGCTATAAACATGCATGTTCAAGTATCTTTTTTGTTTAATGACTTTTTTTCCTCTAGGTAGATACCCAGTAGTGGGATTACTGGATCAAAGGGTAGCTCTACTTTAGTTCTTTAAGAAATCTCCCCCACTGTTTTCCACAGTGGTTGTACTAGTTTACATTCCCACCAGCAGTGTAGAAGTGTTCCCTGATCACCGCATCCACACCAACATCTACTGTTTTTTGATTTTTTTGATTATGGTCATTATTGCAGGAGTAAGGTGGTATCACATTGTAGTTTTGATGTGCATTTCCCTGATCATTAGTGGTGTTGAGCATTTTTTATATGTTTGCTGGCCATTTGGATATCTTCTTTTGAGAATTGTCTATTCCTGTCCTTAGCCCACTTTTTGATGGGATTGTTTGTTTCTTTTCCCTACTGATTTGTTTGAGTTCATTGTAGATTATGGATATTAGTCTTTTGTCAGATGTATAGATTGTGAAGATTTTCTCCCACTCTGTGAGTTGTCTGTTTACTCTGCTGACTGTCCTTTGGCTGTGAAAAAGCTCTTTAGTTTAATTAAGTCCCAACTATTTATCTTTGTTTTTATTGCATTTGTTTTTGGGTTCTTAGGCATGAAATCCTTGCCTAAGCCAATGTCTAGAAGGGTTTTTCCAATGTTATCTTCCAGAATTTTTATAGTTTCAGGTCTTAGATTTAAGTCCTTAATCCATCTTGAGTTGATTTTTGTATAAGGTGAGAGATGAGGATCCAGTTTCATTCTCCTACATGTGACTAGCCAATTATCCCAGCACATTTGTTGAAAAGAGTGTCCTTTCCCCATATTATGTTTTTGTTTGCTTTGTGGAAGATCAGTTGGCTGTAAGTATTTGGGTTTATTTCTGGGATCTCTACTGTTCCATTGGTCTATGTGCCTATTTTTATACCTGTACCATGCTGTTTTGGTGACTATGGCCTTATAGTATAGTTTGAAATCAGATAATGTGATGCCTCCAGATTTGTTCTTTTTGCTTAGTCTTGCTTTGGCTATGTGGGCTCTTTTTCCATTCCATATGAATTTTAGGATTTTTTTTTCTAATTCTGTGAAGAATGATGGTGATATTTTGATGGGAATTGTATTGAATTTATAGATTGCTTTTGGCAGTTTGATCATTTTCACAATATTGATTCTACCCATGAGCAAGGGTTGTGTTTCCATTTGTTTGTGTTGTCTATGATTTCTTTCAGCAGTGTTTTGTAGTTTTACTTGTAGAGGTCTTTCTCCTCCTTGGTTAGGTATATTTCTAAGTATTTTAATTGTTTTTGCAGCTATTGTAAACGGGGTTGAGTTCTTGATTTGATTCTCCACTTGGTTGCTGTTGCTGTATAGAAGAGCTACTGATTTGCGTACATTAATTTTATATCCAGAAACTACTGAATTCTTTTATCCATTCTAGGAGCTTTCTGGAGGAGTGTTTAGGGTGTTCAAGGTAAACAATCATATCATCAACAAATAGTGACAGTTTGAGTTCCTCTTTACTGATTTGGATGTCCTTCCTTTCTCTTATCTGATTGCTCTGGCTAGGACTTTCAGTACTATGTTGAAGAGGAGTGGTGACAGTGGGTATCCTTGTTTTGTTTCAGTTCTCAGAGGGAATGCTTTCAACTTTTCCCCATTCAGATTATGTTGCATGTAGGTTTGTCATAGATGGCTTTTATTACGTTGAGGTATGTCCCTTGTATCCCGATTTTGCTAAGAATTTTAATCATAAAAGGATGCTTGATATTGTTGAATGCTTTTTCTGCATCTATTGAGATGATTGTGTAATTTTTGTTTTTAACCCTGTTTATGTGGTGTATCACATTTATTGCACACATACTTGTGTATGTTAAACCATCCCTGCATCCTGGTATGAAACCCACTTGATCAATGTGGATTATCTTTTTGATATGTTGTTGGATTCGGTTAGCTAGTATTTTGTTAAGGATTTGAGCATCTATGTTCATCAGGGATATTGGTCTGTAGTTTTCTTTTTTGGTTATGTCCTTTCCTGGTTTTGGTATTAGGGTGATACCGGCTTCATAGAATGAATTAGGGAGGGTTCCCTCATCCTCTATCTTGTGGAATAGCGTCAATAGGATTGGTACCAATTCTTCTTTGAATGTCTGGTAGAATTCTGCTGTGAATCCATCTGGTACTGAACTTCTTTTGTTGATAATGTTTTTTGTTTGTTTGTCTTTTTTAGACGGAGTCTCGCTCGGTCACCCAGGCTGGAGTGCAGTGGCATGATCTCGGCTCACTGCAGCCTCGCCTCCTGGATAATTGGGATTCTTCTGCCTCAGACTCCCAGGTAATTGGGATTACAGGGGCCCGCCACCACCACCGGCTAATTTTGTATTTTTAGTAAAGACAGAGTTTCACCATATTGGCCAGGCTGGTCTCCAACTCCTGACCTCAGGTGATCCACCCGCCTTGGCCTCCCAAAGAGATTGCAGGCATGGGTCACCATGCCTGACCTGGTAATTTTTTTTTTGTTTTTTTTTTTTTGAGACGGAGTCTCACTCTTGTTGCCCAAGCTGGAGTGCAATGGTGTGACCTCGGCTTACTACACCTTTGCCTCCTGGGTTCAAGCGATTATGTTGCCTCAGCCTCCCAAGTAGCTGGGATTACAGGTACCCACCACCACACCCAGCTAATTTTTTGTATTTTTAGTAGAGATGGGGTTTCCCCATGTTAGCCAGGCTGGTCTCGAACTCCTGATGTCAGGTGATCCACTCACCTCAGCCTCTCAAAATTCTGGGATTACAGGCATAAGCCACCATGCCCAGCTTGGCCTGGTAATTTTGTAGTTATCATTTTAATCTCGCTGCTTGTTATTTGTCTGTTCAGTGTATCTGATTCTTCCTGATTTAAGCTAGGAGGGTTGCATCTTTCTAAGAATTTATCCATCTCTTCCAGGTTTTCTAGTTTATGTGTATAGAGGTATTCATAGCAGCCTTGAATGATCTTTTGTATTTCTGTGGTGTCAGCTGTAATATCTCCCATTTCATTTTTTATTGAAGTTATTTGGATTTTCTCTCTTCTTTTCTTGGTTAATCTTGCTAAAGGTCTATCAATTTTATCTTTTCAAAGAACCAGATTTTTGTTTTATTTATCTTTTGTATTTTTTTGTTTGTTTGTTTCAATTTCATTTAGTTCTGCTGTGATCTTGGTCATTTCCTTTCTTCTGCTGTGTTTGGGTTTGGTTTGTTCTTGTTTCTCCAGTTCCTTGAGATGTGACCTTAGGTTGTCAGTTTGTGTTCTTTCAGTCTTCTTGATGTAGGTGTTTAGGGCTATGAACTTTCCTCTTAGCACTGCCTTTGCTGTTTCCCAGAGGTTTTAATAGGTTGTCACTATTGTCGTTCAGTTCAAGGAATTTTTTAATTTCCATCTTGATTTCATTTTTGACCTAATGTTCATTCAGGAGCAGCTTATTTAATTTCTATGTATTTGCATGGTTTTGAAGGTTCCTTTTGGAGTTGATTTCCAGTTTTATTCCACTGTACTCTGAGAGAGTGCTTCATATAATTTGAATTTTCTTAAATTTATTGAGCCTCATTTTGTGGTCTATCATATGGTCTATCTTGGAGAAAGTTTCATGTGCTGTTGAATAGAATGTGTATTCTGCAGTTGTTGAATGGAATGTTTTGTATATATCTGTTAAGTCCATTTGTTCCAAGGTATAGTTTAAATCCATTGTTTCTTTGCTGACTTTCTGTCTTGATGACCTGTCTAGTACTGTCAGTGGAGTATTGAAGTCCCTCGCTATTATTGTGTTGCCATCTATCTCATTTGTTAGGGCTATTAAGTAATTGTTTTATAAATTTGGGAGCTTCAATCATAGGTGCACACATGTTTAGGATTGTGATATTTTCTTGTTAGACAAGGCCTTTTACCATTATATAATGTCTCTCTTTGTCTTTTTTAACTGCTGTTGCTTTAAAGTTTGTTTTGTCTGATATAAGAATAGCTACGCCTGCTCAATTTTATTGTCCGTTTGAATGAAATGCCGTTTTCCTCCGCTTTTTTTTTTTTCTTTTTGAGACGGAGTATTGCACTGTCGCCCAGGCTGGAGTGCAGTGGCGCCATCTCGGCTCACTGCAAGCCCTGCCTCCTGGGTTCACGCCATTCTCCTGCCTCAGCCTCCCGAGTAGCTGGGACTACAGGTGCCCGCCACCACACCTGGCTAATTTTTTGTATTTTTAGTAGAGACGGGGGGTCTCACCGTGTTAGCCAGGATGGTCTCGATCTCCTGACCTGGTGATCCACCCGCCTCGGCCTCCCAAAGTGCTGGGATTACAGGTGTGAGCCACCGCGCCTGGCCAAGATTTAGAGAACCTTTTATCAGTTCTTGTAGTGGTGGCTTGGTAGTGGCAAATTCTCTCAGCATTGGTTTGTCTGAAAAAGACTATCTTTCTTTCATATAAGATGCTTAGTTTTGCAGGATACAAAATTCTTGGCTGATAATTGTTTTGTTTGAGGAGGCTGAATGTTGGGCCCCAATCCCTTCTAGCTTGTAAGGTTTCTGCTGAGAAATCTGTTGTTAATCTGAAGGTTTTCCTTTATAGGTTACCTGGTGGTTTTGTCTCACAACTCTGAAGATTCTTTCCTTTGCCTTAACTTTAGATAACTTGATGACAATGTGCCTAGGCAATGATCTTTTTTGTGATGAATTTTCCAGGTGTTTTTTGTGCTTCTTGTGTTTGGATGTCTAGGCCTCTAGCAAGACCAGGGAAGTTTTCCTCGATTATTCCCCCAAATACGTTTTCAAAACTTTTAGATTTCTCTTTTTACTCCGGAACGCCAATTATTCTTAGGTTTGGTCATTACATAATCCCAGACTTCTTGGAGGCTTTGTTCATATTTTCTTTTTCTTTTTTCTTTGTGTTTGTTGGATTGGTTTAATTCAAAGACCTTGCCTTCAAGCTCTGAATTTCCTTATTCTACTTGTTCAATTCTATTGGTGAGACTTTCCAGAGCATTTTGCATTTCTATATATGTGTCCAATGTTTCCTGAAGTTTTGATTGTTTTTTATTTACGCTATCTGCTTCATTGAATATTTCTCCCTTCACTTTTTTTTTTTTCGAGACGAAGTCTCACTGTGTTGCTCAGGCTGGAGTGCAGTGACATGATCTCAGCTCATTGCAACCTCCGCCTCCCAGGTTCAAGTGATTCTCCTGCCTCAACCTCCCAAGTAGCTGGCATTACAGGTGCACGCCACCACACCCAGGTAATTTTTGTATTTTTAGTAAAGATGGAGTTTCACCATGTTGGCCAGGCTGACCTCAAACTCCTGACCTCAAATGATCTGCCCACCTCAGCCTCCCAGGGATTACAGGTATGAACCACTGCACCTGGTCTCTCCCTTCACTTCTTGTATCATTTTTTGGATTTCTTTGTGTTGGGCTTCACCTTTCTCTGGTGCCTCTCTGATTAGCTTAGTAACTAACCTCCTGAATCCTTTTTCAGGTAAATCAGGGATTTCTTCTTGGTTTGGATCCATTACTAGTGAGCTAGTGTGATTTTTGGGGGTTGTTAAAGAGCCTTGTTTTGTCATATTACCAGAGTTGGTTTTCTGGTTCCTTCTCATTTGGGTAGGCTCTGTCAGAGGGAGGGTCTAAGGCTAAAACTGTTGTTCAGATTCTTTTGTCCCACAGGGTGTTGCCTTGATGTAGTACTCTCCCCATTTTCCTATGGATGTGGCTTCCTGAGAGTCAAGCTGTAATGATTGTTATCTCTCTTCTGGATCTAGCCACCCAGCAAGTCTACCAGGCTGTGAGCTGGTACTGGGGGTTGTCTTCACGGAGTCCTGTGATGTGAACCATCTATGGGTCTCTCAGCCTTGGATACCAGCATCTGTTCCAGTGGAGGTGGCAGGGTGTGAAATGGACTCCGTGACGGTTCTTAGCTTTGGTGGTTTAATGCTCTATTTTTGTGCTGGTTGGCCTCCTGTTGGTAGGTGGCACTTTCCAGAGAACATCAACTGTGGTAGTATGGAGATGAACCAGCGGTAGGCAGGGCCCTAGAACTCCCAAGGGTATATGCCCTTTGTGTTCAGTTATCAGGGTGGGTAAAGAAGGACCATCAGGTGAGGGCAGGGCTAGGCGTGTCTGAGTTCAGACTCTCCTTGGGTGGGTCTTGCTGCGGTTGCTGTGGAGGAGGGGAGGTTCCCAGGTCAATGGAGTTATGTACCTAGAAGGATTTTGGCTGCCTCTGCTGAGTCATGTAGGTTGTCAGGGAAGTGGGGGAGAGCCAGCAGTCACAGGCTTCACCCAGCTCCCATGCAATCTGAAGGGCCAGTCTCACTCCCACTGTGCCTCCCCTAACAGCACCAAATCTGTTTCCAGGCAGTGGGCAAGAAGAGTTGAGAATTTGCCCCAGGCTACCCGCCTCCCAGCTGTGAAAGAAAGTAGGGTTTTAGTTCTTCCCCTACCTGTGGAGTCTGCATGCTGGATTCATGCCCTCCCCCAAGTTCTGGCCATGAGGTTTCTTGACTAGTTCAAATTGTTACAAAGCTCAGCTGGAGGTTTCCTTCTTCCTGTGCCATTTTCCCTGTGCCTCTGGCTGCCCTCCCAAAGGATCCCTGTGATGCCAGCAGGAGTGGCCTACTTGGGGACCCAGCAAGCTCACAGGGCCTGTCCAATTGATTCCTCTACCCCTGTATTTCCCTTGGCTCTCTAAATTGACTCAGCTCCAGATAAATTCAGAATCTTCTCCCGTAAAGTAGACCTTCAGTTTCCCCAGTGGGGGTGTGTGCTCGGGGGCGGAGGATCTCCCTTTCTCACTTCCAC
Organism: Homo sapiens; assembly: GCF_000001405.40. Classification (NCBI taxonomy): domain Eukaryota; kingdom Metazoa; phylum Chordata; class Mammalia; order Primates; family Hominidae; genus Homo; species Homo sapiens. The sequence goes on along the minus strand of NT_167249.2, from coordinate 270,002 downwards.
AGTTTGGGCACTCACAGTATTTGAGGTGTCTCCCAGGTCCTACAGGAGCAATCTGCTTCCTTCAGAGGGTCCGTGGGTCCTCTCGGGTTTCCGGATTTATTCCTGAAGTCGTTCTGGAGTTAAAATTCATGATGAGGGCCTCCACACGCTGCTCCGTCCATTGAAGTAAGAGGTGCAATCTAGTCCTGTCTCCCGTCTGCCATAATGTTCCCAATGCTCTCCCAATGTTCAATTTTCAGGCTTCAATTTGCTCAGCCTCTCAATGTCATTTGGCCCAGTTGATATTCCCCCTTCATGAAAACACATTCCGACCAGGCGCAGTGGCTCACGCCTGTAATCCCAGCTCTTTGGGAGGCCGAAGCAGGTGGATCACGAGGTCAGGAGATCGAGTCCATCCTGGCTAACACGGTGAAACCCCGTCTCTACTAAAAATACAAAAAAATTAGCCAGGTGTGGTGGCGGGCGCCTGTAGTCCCAGCTACTTGGGAGGCTGAGGCAGGAGAATGGCGTGAACCCGGGAGGCGGAGGTTGCAGTGAGCCAAGATGGCTCCACTGCACTCCAGCCTGGGCAACAGAGCAAGACTCCATCTCAAAATAAATAAATAAATAAATAAATAATAAAAATAAATTTAAAAAAAAACACAACATGTTCCTCATTAGACCCCTGAGGGTCTTCTTTCACAAATATTAAATCCTTGAATGTTAATGAAAGACCTCAAGTATACCAGCCTCAAGTTTATGAGATGACCTCTTTTAATCTTTTTTCACAGCAGAAAGGAAATAATAACTTCCTTCAGTGTTGCTAAAATTGTTTTATTATTCAGGCAGAAGCAGTTTCATGACCCAAAGAATAAGTATCTGAAAAGAAGGAAAAGCCATTGGCAATCATCCTGTTACCTCCAATCACCTATAAACCATTATTATCTATCAAACCATCCATTTTTATCTGTTAAGCCAGACGTTGTCCTTGAAGCTCACTGAGACCTCTTAATTCTTTATTCTTTTCATAAATAGTGTTTCCCCAAACTGGTGAACCAGTTGCTGTTGCTGTTCAACTTTTTAGGGAGCCAACTGAGACATAGCCATACCAAACCTTTCCACCCCCACAAAAAAAAAATCCAACAATTATATAATATATGCATGTATTACTTTGACATCAAATTTTAAAAATAGATGTTTGAAATTATATATTATTCTGCAATATTTGTTTCTCCATTGCAAAACTGTTATTACTTAAACAAAACAATAATGGTGTGTCCGGAATTGGTAGGTTCTTGGTCTCACTGACTTCAAGAATGAAGCCACGGACCCTCACGGTGAGCATTACAGCTCTTAAGGTGGTGGGTCTGGAGTCTGCCCCTTCTGATGTTCAGATGTGTTCGGAGTTTCTTTCTTCTGGTGGGTTCGTGGTCTCACTGGCTCAGGAGTGAAGCTGCAGACTTTCATAGTGAGTGTTACATCTCTTAAGGTAGCGCGTCTGGAGTTGTTTGTTTCTCCCAGTAGGCTCGTGGTTTTGCTGGGCTCAGGAATGAAACTGCAGATCTTCACGGTGAGTCTTACAGCTCACAAAAGCAGCATGGACCCAAAGAGTGACCAGTTGCAAGATTTATTGCAAAAAGCGAAAGAACAAAGCTTCCACAATGTGGAAGGGAACCCGAGAGGATTGCCAATGCTGGCTCGGGCAGCCTGCTTTTATTCTCCTATCTGGCCCCATCCACATCCTGCTGATTGGTAGAGCCCAGTGGCCTGTTTTGTCAGGGCGCTGATTGGTGCGTTTACAATCCCTGAGCTAGATACAAAGGTTCTCCACGTCGCCAACAGATTAGTTAGATACAGAGTTTTGACACACAGGTTCTCCAAGGCCCCACCAGAGCAGCCAAAGTGTCGATTGGTGCACTCACAAACCTTGAGCTAAACACAGGGTGCTGATTGGTGTGTTTATAAATCTTGAGCTAGATACAGAGTGCCGATTGGTGTATTTACAATCTCTGAGCTAGACATAAAGGTTCTCCACATCCTCACCAGAGCAGCTAGATACAGAGTGTCGATTGGTGCACTCATAAACCTTGAGCTAAACACAGGGTGCTGATTGGTGTGTTTACAAACCTTGAGCTGGATACAGAGTGCCGATTGGTGTATTTACAATCCCTGAGCTAGACATAAAGGTTCTCCAGGTCCTCACCAGAGCAGCTAGATACAGAGTGTCGATTGGTGCACTCACAAACCTTGAGCTAAACACAGGGTGCTGATTGGTGTATTTACAATCCTGAGCTACATATAAAGACTCTCCACATCCCCACCAGACTCAGGAGCCCAGCTGGGTTCACTTAGAGGATCCTGCACCGGGGCTGTAGGTGGAGCTGGCTAACAGTCCTGCGCCCTGTGCTCGCATTTCTCAGCCCTTGGGTGGTCCATGGGACTGGGCACCATGGAGTAGGGGGTGGTGCTCGTCCGGGAGGCTCGGGCCGCACAGGAGCCCATGGAGTGGATGGGAGGCTCAGGCATGGTGGGCTGCAGGTCCCGAGCCCTGCCCCGCGGGAAGGCAGCTAAGGCCCAGCGAGAAATCGAGCACAGCACTGGTGGGCTGGCACTGCTGGGGACCCAGTACACCCTCCGCAGCCACTGGCCCAGGTGCTAAGTTCCCTATTGCCCGGGGCCAGCAGGGCTGGCTGGCTGCTCCGAGTGCGGGGCCCACCAAGCCCACGCCCACCCGGAACTCCAGCTGGCCGGCAAGCGCCGCACACAGCCCCGGTTCCCGCTCGTGCCTCTCCGTCCACACCTCCCTGCAAGCTGAGGAAGTGGACCCCAGCCTTGGCCAGCCCAGAAAGGGGCTCCCACAGTGCAGTGGGGGGGCTGAAGGGCTCCTCAAATGCCACCAAAGTGGGAGCCCAGGCAGGGGAGGTGCCGAGAGCAAGCGAGGGCTCTGAGGACTGCCAGCATGCTGTCACCTCTCAATAGGAGTAGTTAATAATGGCAATTAGAAGTAATTTATAATAGGACTAATTACATAAATAATATGTTTGGGAAAAATATAACAATATGTTTTTAGTATTTCTATCTGTTCTCTTATGTAGTGATTTATTTTAACTTTTTAAAACTATTGGATATTTAAGTCTCATAGGCTATATTATTTCAACTTTAAGGCGCATTAATAAATGAAAAACATAAATACAAAAACGTAAAATACAACAAGAATGTAAAAGAAGAACATAACTACAATAAAACTACTTAAGCAGATATTACCTATATTTAATAAAAAATAATGACATTTCTTTCTGTCGCATGAAACAATCGAGTATCTTTACCCTTTCTGTTTCTTTTTCCAATATTCTTTCTGTGACCTGTCTGCAACATTTAAGACATCTTTATTTTCTTTTATATAGTGGTAATACTGAATACAGTCAAAGGTAAAATTCACTTTGAATTGCAGCTCTGCTCTTATCAAGCCCATATTACTTAGATTCCTGGTATCATTCTAGTGTGATAAAATCACACTAAATATCCTCTCAACAAAAGCATTTGAGCATTGAATACTCGGTATTTTACTTACTAGCAATAGCAGACTGTTGCAGCGAGCTGAGATCGCACCACAGCACTCCAGCCTGGGCAACAGAGGGAGACTCCATCTCAAAAAAATTAATAAATAAAATGAAATAAATAAATGATAAATTTGGGAAACAAAGCTTGGATTCCAAATAAATTGTATTTTTAGCAAGAGATTGATAAAGTCCTATTTAACTTGCATTCTGAAGCAGTCTTTTTTTTTTAAAAAAAGAATCTTTTCTTAGTGTATGAATCTTTATGTCACAATCTACATAACATAACATTGTTAAAATTAATGGGAGGCTATTGTTTTGGAATGAGCTCCTGCATTAGGCTCCAACAGACCAGACCAAACCAGAAGGGAGCCCTTTGTGCAGGGTGCCAAGTAATCAAACTGAAATTTAAAACAGGCCAGTTTTCCAAAAAACAGGAGATTCACAATAACCAGTAGAAAAGGGTCCAGACTACCTCAGCCAGCATGTTAAGGAAGTATCCTCTGCTTTAACCTTACAAGGACAGTCACTTTGTAATTACCAATCCACCTATTGTTCCTTGTTTGTAGTTTCTTCAGCCTTTTCTACCTATAACCTCATCTCCTCGTCAGAGCACCTTCCTATTTTGTAGATGAGATGCTGCCTGATTCATGAATTGCCAATAAAAGTTGATCTGATCTTTAACCTAAGTGTGTTGAAATTTTGTTCTTCGACAACGTCAAACAAATGAAAGTATAAATTTCTGTTTTACGGTAGTTCTTTTCTCCATTCTCACTCTTAAAATATTGTCAAATTAGAGAATAGCATTCCTCTTGTCCCACATTTTGAAAATATGATTTTACACCAAGTAAACATTTTAACATCTATCCTATGGCCAGCAATAATTATAGTCAACTTTAGACATTTCTAAGGAGGCTACCTCCTTTCGTTTCTATAAAGTGAAAATTCTTATTGTTTCTGCACATTTTGAGGAAACTAAAAAGTGACCATAAATCTCATTAAGCCATGAAAGCCTCAATATCACCAGTAAACAAATCACAATCCTTCTTAGCAGTGTTGTTTGTTTTGTTTTGTTTTGTTTGAGACGGAGTTTCGCTCTTGTTGCCCAAGCTGGAGTGCAATGGTACGATCTCGGCTCACTGCAACCTCTGCCTCTGGGGTTCAAGTGATTCTCCTGCCTCAGCCTCCCGAGTAGCTGGGATTACAGGCATGTGCCACCACACCCCGTTGATTTTTTGTATTTTTAGTAGAAACGGGGTTTCACCATGTTAGCCAGGCTGGTCTCAAACTCCTGACCTCAGGTGATCCACCAGCTTTGGCCTCCTAAAGTGCTGGGATTACAGGCGTGAGCCATCACGCCCGGCCTCTTAGCAGTGTTGTGAACAACATGTGCAGAACACGTCACATGTAAGATCTTTTCATTTTCTTTGGTAGAAAGTTTATAGTCTGAATGGAATTTGCCAAAATTTACATTTGCACTGTCTGCCAAATATGCAGATAGATGAGCAAGATCTAACTTGTAGTTGACCAACATATCAATGATTGTTTATGCTTCAAGTGGTTTCATTAAGTCTTCATGCATACCAGGAAAGATGATTTTCAACATCATGTTTCAAATCAAAGTATGTAAGAGCTAAGGGAAACTTTTTTTTTAATGGTTGAGGTGGATTTGACACATCATTATGTTGTAGAGAGCAAGGTCGTCTGATAGAATCAGCTGTACACTGCAAGAGACCAATATGTGGTATCAGAATTTCCTCTTGTTCACCCACGAGATGCAACCTCTGAATCAGGAAATAGAGTAATTAAGGAAGCCATAAAATAATGCGTGTTCTTTTCTAATATTCTGCCCAATACCATTTTCTTTTATTTAATTTTAACTTTTTTTAAGGTCTCCTTGTAAGCAAGCCCAATGCTATTCTCTACAGAGCGCTGGTGTCACTTTTGGGAGACAAAAACACTTTTGATTGGTTCAGAAGTTCTTGCCTGTCTCATCCCAGACTTGAGAGATGCCGTCTCCCTGTGTACTTTCACATCCAAATCTGTTTTGAATATTGCGTAGTATGCTCCGTTTTGATTATTTATTCTCCAAATCCGGTTGTATGTGTCCTTCTATCTGTCATTGAAGTAACAGTCTATTTAGACTTTTTCAGTGCTATCTGGGTTATGCTGGCGTTCGCATGATAATCGTTCTCGTTTTCGTTATCTAAACTCTAAAAATCTGGCCATAATATTCACAATGTTAAAAATTAAACTAAGGCCGGGCGCGGTGGCTCAGGCCTGTAATCCCAGCACTTTGCGAGGTCGAGGCGGGCGGATCACTTGAGGTCAGCAGTTCCAGAATAGCCTGGCCAACATGGTGAAACCCCGTCTCTACTAAAGATACAAAAAATTAGCCGGGCGTGGTGGTGCAGGCTTGTTATCCCAGCTACTCGGGAGGCTGAGGCAGGAGAATCGCTTGAACCCTGGAGGCAGCTGTTGCAGTGACCCAAGATCACGCCGTTGCCCTCCAGCCTGGGCGACAAGAACGAAACTCCGTCTCAAAAAAAAAAAAAAAAATTAAACTAGCAATACAAACTAGCACTATGTAGACACAACAGTCTACAGTCAAAGACCGAGTGCTACGGTCACGGCTGAAAACGGTAACATCGCGCATTTAAGTCGCCTCACTCAGAGCGATGCACGGTGCAAGGTTGTCACCATCAGCGGACAGGGGAAAAACGGCGACAACTACAAAAGTGGGATAACCTAAACCCTATTATCCATTGGCAATAAAATCAGTGTTGCTTTCGGCCCTGGGGCAGGGGTGGGAACAAGGATGGGGTTGTCACTTTTTGTGTGTATATATTCTCTCCAACCTATCGCCAAAAACCGAAAGCCCGGACTTTTCACATCCCAGGTAGGGTTTTCCTGGGAAGTGGGTCTTTGAGTGCTAAACTCCAGACAATCCCCTGGCAAACAAAGACAGTGGAGAAGACAAGCTTTTCACCCCTTCCTGCTATTACTACCGTTCTCACATCCTAGCAGATGCCCAAGAGTTTGCACCAAGAGCGCCATATTCTTTACCCCATGAAGTTGCATTTGTCCAAATCCCTTTGGACTTCCTCAAGACCGAGACGGAGACGTGATTGGGGAAGACTGCAGTGGGTTGAAAAGCCAGTGGGACTTAGGGAGGTATTTTTTTAAAACAGACGGCCTTACAAGGAGTTTGCTGTACATTAAGACGGCCTTACAAGAAGTTTGCTGTACATTAAGACGGCCTTACAAGACGTTTGAGCACATGAGATAGCGACAGGTGGAGACGCCTGTCAAAGGACATTGTTTTGTTGTTTAAGATAGTAAACGCTTCAATGCTTCCGGATGGGAAACACCGGATCACTTTTCCTGCGGGAAAGAACCGGTATGGAGGGAGAGAGAAAAACAGGCCGTTTTCCTGATCTCTCCAGACAAAATGGATGGACGCCCGTGCAGGTTAATTGTCAGGTTTCTGGACAGGACGTTTTGGAAATTTTCCACCTAAGGTGAGAAGTGGGGGGTCATCAGTTCAGAATAAGAGGGGCAAAAGCAGCGGGATCAGCAGCGACTTTCTTCATCTGATTCAGGTTTTGGAAGCTGGTGAGCTTTGAGAAGTTTCATAAGAATATTTTATTTTAGAAATTTAAAATAAAGGTAATGTAGACAAAAATGTTTAAATAAGGTAAAAATCAGTGTTGAAAACACCTGCTGAGGAGCACTAGTTGTCTGCCTCCTTAGCGCAGTAGGCAGCGCGTCAGTCTCATAATCTGAAGGTCCTGAGTTCGAACCTCAGAGGGGGCAGCTGCCATTTTGTCCCCAACTTCCACAAATAACCCTATTTGTTCAGTATACAATTATCTCTATAATTGCCGGGCCCGGCATATGTTGTCAGACAGACGAAGTCTCAGCTCTCTTTGTCCCGACGGCTTATCAAGTTCTAGTAAATCTCTTTTAGTTCTTCTTATGAGTATCATCTCTTTCCAGTGGGCTTGCTGTTTTCTCCGAGTTCTTCTGACCTCAATTCCCTCGTGGGACAGTATCCTTCTACTGGTGCAACTTAATTTATTGAAAAAATGAATAGACAGATGAAAACCTGATATTCAATTTGTTGTGGCAGCCCTAGGAAACCAACACACCATCCCTTCTTTCACTCACCAACCTCCCATCACATCAACCTCAAGCTGTTTTATTTTCTTCATAGAATTTTTTACTATATAAAGTTTCCTTGTTCTTTTATTTTTTAACGTTTTTATTGTCTGTTGCCCACCCATCCTCCTAGACTGTAAATTCCGTTAGAGACTGAATTTGTTTTATCCAGTTCTATATTTTCAGTGCCTAGCACGGTATCTGATAAACAAGTATTTCTCAAATCAATCATTTAATTTGCATATTAAATGTTATGGTTTTCTTTCCATGCTTCTTGTCACTATCTTATTCCACACAATCAACATCTCAAACTTAGATTACTTGCAATCATCACCCCAGCAGTTACACATACTGAAATTCATCTTGCAGGCTATACCTCTCTGGCCCAGTCCGTGCTGCAAAAAGAGAGGGCTCTCCTCCAACATGTCTGGACCTCAGGGGTCTGTATTTCAGGACAGCTCTCTTAACAGTTCATTCTGTTGCCGACTTAAGGAAGCGTTTTATAGGGAACATCTTAACAATTTCGTCTGGACCCTAGGCCTCTGGTTCCAGGAGCCTGCATCTACCACAGTTAAGGAAATGCTGTTAAAGATTTGGGAGAAGCCTAAGAGCTGGGTTGTCTGGCTGTTCAGGCAGCTCTCCAGAGACTGCTTTATCCTTATTGGAGCCATCACAATTCAGAGTCTGTTCCTCTCCTTTGCAGAATCAGACACTATTTTTATTTTATTTACTTATTTGTATTATTTATTTTGAGTCTCCCTCTGTCTACCAGGATGGAGTGGAGCCGTGCGATCTCGGCTCGCTGCAACCTCTGCCTCCCTGGTTCAAGCTATTCTCCTGCCTCAGCCTCCCAAGTAGCTGGGATTATAGGCGCGTACCACCACTCTCGGCTAATTTTTGTATTTTTAGTAGAGACTGTTTCAGCATGTTGGCCCGGCTGGTCTCGAACTCCTGACCGCAGGTGATCTGCCCGCCTCGGACTCCCAGAGTGCTGGGATTACAGGCGTGAGCCACCGCGCCCCGTCAGAAATTATTTTTATGTATTTTTATTTTTATTTTTTGTGACGGAGTCGCTCTGTCGCCCAGGCTGGAGTGCAGTGGCGCAATCTCGGCTCACTGCAAGCTCTACCTCCCGGGTTCACGCCCTTCTCCAGCCTCAGCCTCCCGAGTAGCTGGGACTACATGCGCCCGCCACCACGCCCAGCTAATTATTTTTGTATTTTTAGTAGAGACGGGGTTTCACCGTGTTGGCCAGGATGGTCTCGAGATCCGCCCGCCTCGGCCTCCCAAAGTGCTGGGATTACAGGCGTGAGCCACAGCGCTCGGCCGGAAACTATTTTTAAATTCACCTAGAGTTTTTAAGACTTGCAGGGCTGACTCACGGTAACTAAATGCCAGAAATATGCCAAGCCAGAATATGAACATATTATAACTTTCTTGATAATTGATCAGTATATTCCCTCCTACGTAAAATAAACTCTGCACTGGAAAGCAAGTAACAACAGAAGATTACTTTGGCACCTGTAAGCAGAGTAACAGGAATCATAAAATATTAAATACTTCGTATTCTAAGGTTGTCCTTAAATGTTAGTTTTCTTCAGAAAATCTGGGGCTATCTCACTGTAGAGGGCCCATGTATTCACCTTACTACTTTTATTTGGCATCAGAGTTACTCGCCTATTCGTGGTTTAAAATTTGGGGTTCTACAGGGTTTGGTGAATTTTTGCAGTATATGAAATCTGTCCCTATAAAACGATAGTGTCCTTTTTGGCTTTTTCAAACATGATACCAGAATCAGGTACTAAAAGCCACCACTCCCGCCCGAACAGGGACTTGAACCCTGGACCCTCAGATTAAAAGTCTGATGCTCTACCGACTGAGCTATCCGGGCTCCCTGCAAAAGCCTTCTTCCTGCACATTCTAGTGAGTAAAAAGGTGCAGAAACTTGATATCGTCCAACTTAAATCCTATCCATGTTCCTTTTCTTTATTCCCATCTATGCTTTTGCCCACTTTGAATATGGCTCACAGTTATTTTTGTCCCCAACTCATGGAAAAAATTAACTCCCATCTTTGTGTAATGTACTCCAAACAATTACTTGTAAAAGCAATGTATAACTACAGACGTAATCGCCGGGTTTGTCTTGTCTTTAGTCTTCAAAGGTTATGCTCCAGTCTTCCCTGCGACCTTAAGAACACCTGGCACACGGGCGCGGTGGCTCACGCCTGTAATCTCAGCACTTTGGGAGGCCGAGGCGGGCGATCACAAGGTCAGGAAATCTAGACCATCCTGGCCAACATGGTGAAACCTCGTCTCTACTAAAATACAAAAAAATTAGCCGGGCGTGGTGGCGCACGCCTGTAGTCCCAGCTACTCGGGAGGCTGAGGCAAGGGAATCGCTTCAACCCGGGAGGCGAAGGTTGCAGGGAGCCGAGATCTTGCCTCTGCACTTCAACCTGGTGACAGAGTGAGACTCCAGAAAAAAAAAAAATAGGTTTTGAGAACTTATTTTGAGCAAGGCTCTCAGCTTTGCCCCGGGTTTCCTGCAGTGGAGAAGTACTACTGAGAGGTGACAGCGTGCTGGCAGTCCTCACAGCCCTCGCTTGCTCTGGGCGCCTCCTCTGCCTGGGCTCCTACTTTGGCGGCACTTGAGGAGCCCTTCAGCCCACCACTGCACTGTGGGAGCCCCTTTCTGGGCTGGCCAAGGCCGGAGCCCACTCCCTCAGCTTGCAGGGAGGTGTGGAGAGAGAGGCGCGAGCGGGAACCGGGGCTGCATGCGGCGCTTGCGGGCCAGCTGGAGTTCCGGGTGGGCGTGGGCTTGGCGGGCCTCGCACTCGGAGCAGCCGGCAGGCCCTGCCGGCCCCGGGCAATAAGGGACTTAGCACCCGGGCCAGCGACTGCAGAGGGTGTACTGGATCCCCCAGAGGTGCCAGCCCACCGGCGCTGCGCTCGATTTCTCGCCGGGCCTTAGTTGCCTTCCCGCGGGGCAGGCTTCGGGACTGCAGCCTGCCATGCCTGAGCCTTCCCCCGCCTCCGTGGGTTCCTGTGCAGCCCGAGCCTCCCCGACGAGCGCCGCCCCCTGCTCCACGGCACCCAGTCCCATCGACCACCCAAGGGATGAGGAGTGCGAGCGCATGGCGTGGGGTTGGCAGGCAACTCCACCTGCAACCCCGGTGCGGGATCCACTGGGTGAAGCCAGCTGGGATCCTGAGTCTGGTGGGGACGTGGAGAATCTTTATGTCTAGCTCAGGGATTGTAAATACACATATCGGCACTCTGTATCTAGCCCAAGGTTTGTAAACACACCAATCAGCACCCTGTGTCTAGCTCAGGGTTTGTGAGTGCACCAATCGACACTGTATCTAGCGGCTCTGGTGGGGCCGTGGAGAACCTGTGTGTCAAAACTCTGTATCTAACTAATCTGGTGGGGACGTGGAGAACCTTTGTATCTAGCTCAGGGATTGTAAATGCACCAATCAGCACCCTGTCAAAACAGGCCACTCGGCTCTACCAATCAGCAGGATGTGGGTGGGGCCAGCTAAGAGAATAAAAGCAGGCTGCCGGAGCCAGCATCCACAACCCGCTCGGCTCTTCTTCCATATTGTGGAGTGTTGTTTTTTTTTTTGCTCTTTGCAATAAATTTTGCGACTGGTTACTGTTTGGGTCCACATTGCTTTTATGAGCTGTAAGACTCACCGTGAAGGTCTGCAGCTTTTTTCCTGAAATCAGCGAAAGCGCAAGCCCAGCAGGAAGAGCGAACAATTCCAGACGTGCTGTCTTAAGAGCTGTAATACTCTTTCCGAAGGTCTGCAGTTTCACTCCTGAGTTAGCGAGACCACGAACCCACCAGAAAGAAGAATACTCCTAACACATGGGAACATCAGAAGGAACAAACTCCAGACACGTCACGTTAAGAGCTGTAACACTCACCGCGAGGGCCCGTGGCTTCATTCTTGAAGTCAGTGAGATCAAGAACCCACCAATTCCGGACACACTACCTCAGCCCTTGGGGCGTTCATATTTTACAAGTGAAAAGCAGCCGTTAAACGACAAATTACACTGTTTAAACAGTCACTGTAACACATGCTCTTGAGAAAACGTTCAGGTTACAAAATGTTGAGGAAAAACAAGCAAAATCTCATGACCTTACTTTGCAAATTAAACGAGATAATGTAAGCAAACGCTTGGTGACATTTCCATGAAAATTAGGTGTTATCACAATTATTCTTATTGTAAAGTGGATCATTTAGAATACTGTATTTTAACCATTTTGCTTGTGCCACTTTAGACAAGTTTGTTAATCTCTTGACCACTTTAATCTCACAGCAGAAATCCCTCAAAGGCTAGGTCTAGCACAATGGTTGTCATGTACATTTCTGATCGTGCATTTATTTATGCTACTATTGAAAAACAGATTCGAGGTTATTTACACAACTATACTATAAGATAAAGTGAAAAATGTTAATTTAAATCAAGATAAAGGGAACATAGAGAAAAGTAAGGTGAGACAAAATAATGCACACTGTAAATCGCACACTGTAAATCACACCCTGCCCTCTATCTTCAAGAGCATGGATTATAAAGGGAGATGACCTCTTCCAGGGGATTAGAGAAGACTTCTCCCAGGAAGTGATGTTTAAACTGAAAACTAAAGGCCTAGTTGGACAAAAATGTGATTCCAGCATTCCAGGGAGATTAAAGAGCAGAACACTTCCAGACACCTGAGAGAAGGCCTGAGCAGCTTGTGTACAGAGAGCTCAAGAGAGTGTTCATGAAGGTGGGGTCTGAGGTGGACAGGAAGGCAGGGACAGACCAGTGACTCACAGGCTCAGAGGTTATGGCTAGTAGTGCAGAGAGCTGACTGCACCCTAGCAGCAATGTGAAGCCACTGGGAATTCTAAGCAGGAAGAAATGACATGATGAGATTACTTTTAAGAGTACACTGGCTTTATGTAAAGAATGAGTCAGAATGGAGGAAGAGGTGATGCAAAAACATAAATTAGGCCATTGTGCAGAAGAAGGCCATCGAGACATGGCAGTGGGGAGGAATGATGCAGAGAAACTGGGGAACAGCTAGAAGAAAGAAAACTTGGGCCCAGACTGCCCCTGGGAACCTGGAGGGCAGGAGGTGTCAAGATGTCTCAGCTGCTTATTTACCAAGAAAAGCTCTTTACAGGGAAAGGCAGAAATAAAGCAAAACAGGGCGAGGCCAGTGGCTCCCACCTGTAATCCCAACATTTTGGGAGGCAGAGGTGGGCAAATCAATTGTGGTCAGGAGTTCCAGACCAGCCTGGCAAACATGATGAAACCGCATCTCTACTAAAAACACAAAAATGAGCCAGGTGTGGTGGTGCATGACTGTAGTCCCAGCTACCTCAAGGGTCTGAGGCAAAATAATCACTTGAACCTGGGAGGCAGAGGTTGCAGTGAGCCGAGATCACACCACTACACTCCAGCCTGGGTGACAGAGCAAGACTCCATCTCAAAAAAAAAAAAAAAAGAAAGAAAGAAAAAAGAAAAATTAGAAATAAAGCAGAATAGGAAATGGCACCTTGTAGCTTTTGAGAGTTCTCTGGGAAGCATAGAGCATTTATTCTGCTCTTGATGAGGCAAGTGCTCCTAGTTTTAACCAGTAAGCAAGCCCTGGATGACTAAACAAAAATGAGGAGAATTTTGGGAGGAAATGATCTCTCCAGAGACGGTCAACATAGGATAAATGAATATAGGCCGAGTAAGTCCTTGACTGGGGCTTCCAAAATGTTGCCACACTGATGGCATTCAAATCTCCTGGAGTCACTGTTAAAAACTCAGATTCAGGCCAGTTGCAGTGGCTCACACCTGTAATCCCAGCACTTTGGGAGGCCCAGGTGCATGGATCATCTGAGGCCAGGAGATCGAGACCAGCCTGACCAACATGGAGAAACCACATCTCTACTAAAAACACAAAATTAGCCGGGCGTGGTGGCGCATGCCTGTAATCCCAGCTACTCCAGAGGCTGAGGCAGGAGAATCGCTTGAACCAGGAGGTAGAGGTTGCCGTGAGCCGAGATCGTGCCATTGCACTCTAGCCTGGGCAACAAGAGTGAAACTCCATCTCAAAAAAAAAAAAAAAGATTCACAGATTCTATCTCAGACTCATGAATCAGAATATTCTCAAGGTCTGGCTGACCTCCACAACTTAAATCACTGTTGTCTTTTCTCTCCCCTATGCAGCGAATTCCCTCTCTGAACATGATCATGACCTCTGAGACCCTGCATGATCTATGTGCATCCTGTAGGGTCTATGTGTATCTAACCCCCTCATCTCCTATCAAGTTCTCCCTTGTTTACTGACCTACAGCTGCACTAGTCTCCTCCTTCGTTCCTTGAACATGCCAATGGCATTCCTGCCAAGCCTTTTGTAATTACTGTTCCCTTGGCCTGAAATTCTCTTCTCCCTGATAGCCTCACAGCTCACTCACTCACTTCCTTCAAGTCTCTGTTCAGATGCCTCCTTATCAGGAAGGCCTCCTTGGTCACCCTTTATTATAAAGCAATCCCCTCCCCTTTGTTCTCCATTCTCTTGCTCTTTTCCTTCATGGCATGTATCACTACTTCACATTTTATATATCTGGTTGAATTTATTCTTTATCATTCCCCACTAAAATGTAAACTCCATGAGAGCAGAAGCTTTTTCTGTTGTGTGGAGTGCTATCCCTGCACCCCCTATGTGTGGTTCAGGGTCTAGTTAAGAAATAAGGCTGGGCACGGTGGCTCACATCTGTAATCCCAGCACTTTGGGAGGCCGAAGCGGGCAGATCACTTGAGGTCAGGAGTTCAAGACCAGCCTGGCCAACATGGTGAAACCCCGTCTCTGGTAAAAATACAAAAATTAGCTGGACGTCGTGGCGGGCGCCTGTAATTCCAGCTACCTGGGACGCTGAGGCAGGAGAATCGCTTGAACCCGGGAGGCAGAGGTTGCAGCGAGCTGAGATTGTGCCACTGCACTCCAGCCTGGGTGACAGAACAAGACTCTGTCTCAAAAAAAAAGGAATAAGACTAGGTATTTCAACTGGGCACACCATGGTAACTCAGAGGTGATAACTACTGGGAAGTAGCTACCACCTTGTAGGGCTGGAAGAACAAAAAGGAAGAGGTTGAGACCACTGAGGAAAGGCATCCTGGAGTGCTAAAGAGGACGCGCTGCAGCTGGACTACTACTTACTTATGTAATGGACAGTGAGACATTCTGGAATGCATGAAGAGAACAAATAGAGATGGGATTCAACTGCCATTGTTGGAGTGACCTGACAGGAAGAACAAAATTTAGAAAGCAGCCCCTGCTTCTCTCCTCTTGCTTTCTAGTCTCTTTCTGGTTCCTCTTATTGACAGAACACAAGAGGAAGCCAATGGGCAAAGGAGTTTGGGAAATATCATTTGCAGGCGCCCAGCCCCAATGTCACAAAACAAAGTATATAAGGGTGATTTTAAAGCTGAGAGGGAATGGATTAATAGGAACACAGCTTGGAACAAAGTAGGACTCAAGAGCAGGACATTAATGATCAGTCTTGCTCATTATTATTTGAGTCAGGGGCTCATCTTGACTGTAAATATCAGCCTATTTTCTTCACTTCTTGTTTCTCTTTTTACCCCTTCCTGCATCTGGTAGTTTGGATGATTTAGATCCAGTCAACAGGACTGGAAGCAAGAGAAAAGGTCCAATGCAATGAGACTGAGGGGGGAGTTTTTTGTCAGTTTTTTGTTTCCTTTCTTTTTTCATATGGAATGTTATTGGTGGCAACCTGGTGGTAAGCCATTCCAGAAGAATGGTAAAAGATAACCAAGTCAGTAATTGATAATTAGATTCTATACCTTCCACACCCCTAGTACAACCCTCCACCCACTTTTTCTTATCTCAGCACTCTAAAACTGGCAAGTTTCTTGACTCTGGTGTTGTTAAAACAAAGACAATTGCCAAGCATATCTGAAAAACATTTGAAAATGCTACCAGCTCTATCTCCAATTGGTATGCAGGGCGGGAGGGGAGATGAGAATTTTGGAGAATTTAATTCTTAGTGAAAATCACTGTTTTGTAACTGAACATGGTTCTATTAAACAGCAATTACCCGTTCTGTTCCATCAAAGCAATGTCCTTAGATTTTTTTTTCCCTTACCAGACATATTGTACACTTTTCTATAGAGAAAGAACAACGTTTTGTCAACTTCCTTTGTTGTCTTACTCATTTTGGGTCAAGAAGAAGTAAAATGGCAAAACAGACGCCTTGCCCCCTCTGAGGTTCGAACTCAGGACCTTCAGATTATGAGACTGACGCGCTGCCTACTGCGCTAAGGAGGCAACTGTCTCTCCCGTTTAACCAACGGCTCTACCAAGATGATTATGAGGCATTTTAATAAGGTTTTACGTTCTCTGAATTACAGTGTTTCAAAATAAGGCGTAACTATGATTCAATTCACTTCTAAAACACTTTGGATGACAAAACTACGTAGTACAAGGCAGGGGCCAATTCCTAAACCAACCTCGTTCTCCCACAGACCTTCCTAAGGAAACTTTAAGGGCTGCGAAGGCAATTGAGTCTGGACTTTGCGAAAGGCCTTCCTGTACGGGGCCCTAGATTTCTCATCTCATTTCTGGGCCAGGAACGAGGAGTCTTTCCCTCTATGATTAGGGCTTTCGTAGATGTACCGCCTCTGAAACGAAGACAAGACAAATAATAATGAGTTCACTCTTTTCCTCCCTTGTGAAGTTCCGTGGAGACACTCGGTCCCCTGAAGTGGATGAAGGGCGAGGGGAGGAGGTCTCAGGATTTTTCCTCGCTTTTCTTAGAAGCAACAGGCTCAAACCAAACGGTTGGCCTTGCTTACTCCTGAAGTCGAGAGGCTTACTTCCTGGAATCCAAGTGGATGTGGAGCCCATGGCGTCCTCTGGCGCTCTCGGTCTCTTCGACCCCTTTTTACTGTGTTGATGATAAATGGGGCAGGATTCCCCTCCTGCACCACCTGCAGCATCCTGTCCAGGATCCATCTGGGAGCTGAGAAGAAGCAAAGTGTCAGGGATCGGGGGTTCTCGGGCTATGCTGAGAAGCAAGGAATGCTGAAGAAGGGGCCTGAGGGAAGGGCTTATGGTGATGTGGGAATGGGAATGAAAGGACTGGAAAGGGGCGACAGTCACTTGGGTGAAACTGAAAGCGGCGACGCACCCTGTGGGTGGTAGCGTGGCCGAGCGGTCTAAGGCGCTGGATTAAGGCTCCAGTCTCTTCGGGGGCGTGGGTTCGAATCCCACCGCTGCCAGTGTGAGGTATTTTTTTTTTTTCCCCCTCGTCATTCTGACCCAGTAAAGTTCCATTTTCAAGCCTTGTGTGGGCAGTTCTCACAGCTTCCTAAGTGAGACAGGTTCCTCTTCTGTTTTCCTAGGGGCCACAGATAACACCTATATGTACAGTCCCACAAACGGTGCCCAAATGTTTCTCGATTTAGGGGCTCAGACATCTCGTCCCCTAGTTATTCCCTTCAGTGGCCTTCATGTGTTTTCATTCACTTTGCGAAATTTGTGAACCAACCAAGGGCAATCCTAAGGAAAAAGTACAACCTTCTTAACTCCAGACTCAAGAATAAATAAGCCACGCACGCTCATCTGCCCTATTTTCCATTGTCTTCTCCAAGGGATAAATGTGCTAAGGCTGAAAAAACAAACGAACCAACAAAAGAAACAGTCACCAGACACCTAGAGCCTTTCCCGCTTCACCTATCCTCAGAGAGCAGTTTAAGGTCCTTAGTTGAACACAGTTGAAGAGTTAGCTTTTGAGATTCTGTTATCTTCTTAAACAGTAAACATTTTTTTCTTTTTTTTTTTTAAGAAATAAGGTGGAGGCTCATAGAATAGAAAGAATAACACCTGTTTTAGGGAAGAAGGACTTGATCCGTTATTTACCTGGATCTGGGGTAGTTTAGACCATCTTTTAAGGCTAGGAGACTCGAGGAGATAGAATGGAGAGTTTTTGTGTGCAGGGAGGTGGGTAGATGCTTAGGAGCACTTTACAGTCGCCTAGGCAGAAGTCTTCTAATTTCACTGCTTCCTTCCTCACCTTCCAAAAGATGTATCCAATACATACTAATTGAGCAGATATTTTGTAACAGGCACCTTGCTTGAAAGGATGAATGCCAGCAAATGATTCCAGGGTTCCTTAGCAATTTAGTCTTGAGAGACTAGAGAGGCACATTAAGCATAGTTGACAAATAATTAATATTAAGATTGACTAAAGTAGTAATTTATATCTGAGTATTTCTTCCAGACACGCTACGTATATATGTGGTCTATTTGTTATATGTTGTTCTCACAATTACTAGATAAATAACCATGTTATCTTAATAAAGTTAAGATTTGAAAAAATGAATTACTACATCCAGCACTATAACATCCTAGTTTGGTCATCCATACTAAAGGACACCTATATGTTGGGTCATCTGGACGCTAAGATGTCCACCTGGGAGCTGGGACCTGGAAAGGCAAAAGAAGATAGGAGGAGGAGGAGAAATAATTATTCCCTTTTGAACTTGTAAAATTTAGCCTAGCAAGTGAAGGCAAAAAAGAAGTCTAAAGTCTCCCAAAAGTCTAAGCTGGGCTGTCCCACTGAGTATTCATTCATTCATTCATTCATTCATTCACTCATCCTTTCATTTATGCATTCATGCAACAAGCATTGGTTGAGCTTCTACAAAGTAGCAGACCGTGGGCTATCAAAGACTACTGAGACTCAGCCCTGCACTTAAGGCATTTTGGAGGAATGCGGGAGACAGATTTTAAAAATTTAAGCCCATGGTTACAACTGAGGGGCAGTGCCAAGATACTCGGAGGTTGTTCTAGAGGCATCTGTAGGTATCGTACAATGAATAAATAAGACTGTAGAAAGTAGATAGTATATTTTTTCTTTTCTCTCTTTTCTCCCTTTCAAACCGTGAGACTAAAATTCAATTCACCTTTTCGTGGGCTGGAAACGAAAGAAAATAAAAATCTCCAGGAATAACCATATTCCCAGATCAGTATACTGCCCTGCCCCGAAGGATGGAAAGAAATCTGGGAGAAAGGCGCGGTGGAAACAGTGTGTGAGCCCTACCCCTCCCATCCCTGCGTTTGGCCATCCAAAACAAAAAAACTGCCCCTGCAAAATTACTTTAAATCAATTAGTAAGTAGAAGACAAGAGAGACCCCAGGTGGATCGAGTATCCGTTTTTTGTTAAGTAGGGTTCCATGGTGTAATGGTTAGCACTCTGGACTCTGAATCCAGCGATCCGAGTTCAAATCTCGGTGGAACCTTTCATTTCTCTCCTTTTGCCTTGTTTCCGATAACCTTGAGCGTGAACCTTGCTGCTTTCAATTTCAGTTTCATCACTTTTATTTTTGATGGTTTCTGGCCGTGAGGAAAAACATGTAATCTGCGGTCCCAATAACCTATGAGCTCAGGGCCAGTATGTAATGATGGAGTCTGTATACATGTCTTTCTATTCCTACCTAGTCTAGTTTCCTCCCAGTACGCCTCTGGGTGAGTGCTCATGTGGTAAATGAATGCGCCTTTTAACGAACTGACCAAAGCGGGGCAAAACGTGATTCACTACTAAACAGCGAACAAGACTGAAAAGCAAGGGGGCAGACCTCATTGAGAGTGTATCATTTTAGTTAGAATAAAAAAAGTTGAGGTAGAAAGAATGAAAACACAGAAATGGCTGAGAAAGTAGAGTAAAAGGAGAATAAGATAGTTGTGTCAGAAGTGGGATTCGAACCCACGCCTCCATTGGAGACCAGAATCCTCAACACGAGGAAGCCAAGCTTGAGTCTGGCGCCTTAGACCACTCGGCCATCCTGACACCTGGAACACTTACCATCGCAAATTAATATAATCTTCGATTGTAATGAATGCGTAACCAGCGTTAAGTCATTACTACGTTCGCGATTTAATGAAAGAAATGGAAAAGGAAATTCCTACAAGTGAACAAAACGTTCTATTTAAATGGAATCAGGAACCGTGACTCAGCTTGCGAGGCTCTCCTACCAATTCAGGCTAGAATTCAGCGTTTCTCGCCCCTCGCCCCCTTCTTACACTTCCCTGCACGCCCCGGGTACAGGGGCGCGAGCATCCTAACAACCCAGCCGCGACTCTGCCTTGAACAAGAAAGAACACATAGCATGACAAGAAAAAACACATATCCATGACAAGAAAGAACACATAGCACGGGGGCTGTTCCCGAGATGCTGCTTAGCAAACTAATCAAAGAGCTCAGCAGGGAAGAAATGAGCGAGGCAATGTAGACCTGAAGCGAAGCAGGAGAGTTAGCGGAGAGTGGGGGATGAGAGCGGTTCAGGGGTCTTGAACATGAAAAATGACTGTCGATGTGAGTAACAGGAGTTGACTTGGTCAGGAGTTGAAAGAGGGTGAAGTGCAGGGGTGCTAAACCAGAGTAGCATGAAGGAAGTGTCAGCACAGAGCCGAAATCCCCAGATCTCTTCCCTCACCACATTCCCAGAACTAGTCAAACAGGCTCATCTCCCCTCCCCCTACCTCTCCCAGGAGGTTGAAGGAGTATGTCAAGGGAAACTGGGATAAAGTTTTCCAGAGATAAAGAAAGACAGATGAGATATCCAAGTCAATTTACAAGGAAAAAATAAAAATTAAAACAACGACAAACACTGGTATTTGAGGATCTCCCAAAGAAATGGCTGGGTCTCCATAGAATCCCCAAAGACTCTGCAGTCTACAGGCTTGGAGCAGGTCCACAGAGCTTCCAGAATCAGGTGTTTAGTGCCTTACTTAAAATATGTACGACAACCAAGGATAATCAGGTGGTTGTGAAAATATTTCTACAATAAGACAAGGACGAATACAAACAGAAGGGGGCAGGAAGAACCTAAGAGGAAACAAATACAATGCAGGAAGTTGGATTTTTTAAAAATTATAATTAATCCTCGGGAAAGTAAGAGAAGATACTGCACTCATGAAACAAAAAGGAGGGGAGTTCTTAAAATTATTAATAATATTATGATGGCTGGATTTTTAAAAATTTCTTTTTTTTTTTTCTTGAGACGGGGTTTGGCGCTTGTTGCCCAGGCTGGAGTGCAATGATGCAATCTCGGCTCACCACAACCTCTGCCTTCCAGGTTCAAGAGATTCTTCTGCCTCCAGAGTAGCTGGGATTACAGGCATGCGCCACCACGCCCGGCTAATTTTATGTTTTTAGTTAAGACAGGGTTTCTCCATGTTGGTCTGACTGGTCTCGAACTCCCAACCTCAGGTGATCCGCCCGCCTCAGCCTCCCAAAGTGCTGGGATTACAGTTGTGAGCCACTGCGCCTGGCCTAAAATTTCAAAATAAGGTTGTAGAAATCTGGAAAGTTTGGGGTGAATGATGGAAAATAGCAAAGAATTGATAAGAAAATAAAATGGTGTATAATAGAAGATATGCCAACAAACTAACAGGGATTCTAGGAAAAGAGGAGAAAGTGGAATAAAGGAGATAAAGATGTAATATAAGATTATTTTTCAGAACCAAAGACCTTAAGTCTCCAGATTTAAAAGGCCCACCAACTACCCTGCATAGGGTGTGGCAAAGCCCCACAATAAAGCTTGTCATTGTGAAATATCAGACGAATAAAGTGAATATCCTAAATGTTTCCAGAAGGAAAACAAAACTAAAAGATTGCACAGAAAGGATTATGAATTAGAATGTCATCTTTTTTTCTCCACAGCAGCACCAACACCAAAAGCTGAAAGACAATGAGGCAATGCCTTCTAAATCATTTCAATAAAGGAAAATAGTTTCCACAACTAGATTTCTGAACCCAGCCAAACTATCAATCAAATGTGAATGGACATTTGCAGAACATTATCTCCCAAGTACCTTTTCTCAGAAAGCTTCTGGAGAATTGTCCACTAACTAGGGAATTAAACTAAGAAAAAGGAAATATGAAATCCGGTGACTGGGGACCTAACACAGGAGAAAGGTAAAGGAAAAAACTCCGGGGCAACTGCTGAGCTACCAGGCTAGAAGGCAATCAGTCTACGGTGGAATAGAAAAAAGAGGGCTAAACGAGGGTTGTTTCCAATGGGGGAAAATGGAACTGACATACTGCCTCATGCATTTGACGAGAAAATAGTGTCAGAAAGCTGGTATTGAATTAGGAATAAATATTTAGAAAAGTAAGCAAAGAACAGGAGGCAATTATTAATCCCAGGAAGAACAAAAGGTTGTCAAAGAAGGTAATTATGGTATACCATGGAGCTCAGCTGTGAAAAATATTACAAAGTCATAATGATGAAAACCATAAATATTAATTTATTAATTTAACTAAAAATTATACATATGAGGCTGGGCACGGTGGCTCATGCCTATAATCCCAGCACTTTGGGACGCCGAGGCAGGCGGATTGCCTGAGGTCAGGAGTTCAAGACCACCCTGGCCAACATGGTGAAACCCTGTCTCTATTAAAAATACAAAAAAATAGATGGGCGTGGTGGCGGACCCCTGTATTCCCAAGCTGAGGCGCGAGAATCCCTTGAACCTGTGAGGCAGAGGTTGCAGTGAGCTGAGATGGCGCCACTGCACTCCAGCCTGGGCAACAGAGTGAAACTCCATCTCGTAATAATAATAATAATAACAAATATGAATGTATATTGCCATATTCAAAAATGTATTCAATAAATATATGTTGAATTAAGAAATGTATAAGTAAATAAATATGTCCACAAGAAGAGATTCATGAAGAGTGTAGGCATAAATATAAAGGATTCTTATGGATGTATTCTAATAATAAAATACACTATTGATTAATATATTTTCTTGAGTATTTTCTTTTTATGTCCATCAGTCTCACCTCTCTCTGCTGGGCTAAGGAAAAATTAATCTTTCCTACAAAGCTATCACTAAGACAAAGTAAAAACAGGTCAATGATAATCCCACAGAAACCTTTTAAAGCTGTTAAAACCGCTTCAACATATGAGTTGCTGTAAATGTTATAATTAGTTAAAAAGAACAAGTAGGCCTTGTGTGGTGGCTCACACTTGTAATCCCAGCACTTTGGGAGGCTGAGGCGGGCGGATCACTTGAGGTCAGGAGTTTAAGACCACCCTGGCCAACATGGTGAAACTCCATCTCTACTAAAAATACAAAAAATAGGCCGCGTGCGGTGGCTCATGCCTGTAATCCCAGCACTTTGGGAGGCCAAGGTGCGGGGATCACGAGGGCAAGAGAGCGAGACCATCCTGGCCAACATGGTCAAACCCCGTCTCTATTAAAAATATAAAAATCAGCTGGTCGTGGTGGCGTGGTGGTGGCTGCCCGTAGTCCCAGCTACTCAGGAGGCTGAGGAAAGAGTATTGCTTGGACCGGGGAGGTGGAGGTTGCAATGAGCCGAGATCACGCCATTGCACTCCAGCCTGGGCGACAGAGCCAGACACTGTCTTAAAAAAAAAAAAATAGCCAGACATGGTGGTGCACACCTGTAGTCCCAGCTACTCAGGAGGCTGAGGCAGGAGGTTGCAGTAAGCCGAGATCATGCCATTGCACTCCAGCCTGGACGGCAGAGGGAGACTCCGTCTTAAAAAAAAACAGAATAAGTAAATCTGGTGAACTGGTTTTCCATTAGTGCAGCTATTTTCTGCTTTTTGGACATAGTGGTTAAAACGAGGTGAATAGACAGAAATGCATTTACAAATTTATGATATAACTTTTCAATAAAAGGTGCTGGACCAATTAGGAAAAAAACTAAATCTAGACCTTTGCCTCACACCAAACACAAAAATGAATTCATAATGGACCATACACCTAAGTATGACAGGGAAAGTAAAGCTTCTAGAAAGAGGATATGTTAATGAATGTAAGGTACGCAAAGATTTCAAAAACAGGAAAGAGTAACCAAAATGAAAAAAAAAAAAAGTTAAACAGGCACCCACCTGTAGTTCCAGCTACTCAGGAGGCTTGAGGTGGGAGGATCGCTTGAGCCCAGGAAATTGAGGTCGTAGTGCACAATGATAGCCCCTGTGAACAGTCACTGCACTCTAGCCTGGGCAACACAGTGAGAACCCATGTCTATTAAATAAATAAATAAGTGTAAAAATTTTAAAAATAAATCAATAAAGTCGATGAAATAAAATTCATCAAAACTGGAAACTTCTATTCATCAAAAAACATCATTAAGAAAATGAAAAATGGAGGCCGGGCGTGGTGGCTCACGCCTGTAATCCCAGCACTTTGGGAGGCTGAGGCAGATCACAAGGTCAAGAGATCAAGACCATCCTGGCCAACACAGTGAAACCCTGTCTCTACTAAAAATACAAAAATTAGCTGAGCGTGGTGGCGCACACCTGTAGTCCCAGCTACTCAGGAGCCTGAGGCAGGAGGATCACTTGAACCCGGGAGGCGGAGGTTGCAGTGAGTCGAGATTGTGCCACTGCCCTCCAGCCTGGCAACAGAGTGAGACTCTGTCTCCCGAAAAAAAAAAAAGAAAAAGAAAATGAAAAATGGAAGCCACAAATTGCAGGGAACATTTGCAAAATACATACCTGAGAAAGGACTCATCCTAAATATATAAAGCACTCTTGTAAATCAACAAGAAAAAGACAAATAATTTTTTTTTAATGACAAAAGACTTGATCAGGAACTTCCCTAAAGACTACATTCAAATAGTACACATATGAGGCCAGGGACAGTGGCTCACGCTGTAATGCCACCAGCACTTCAGGAGGTGGGAGGATTACTTGAGCCCAGGAGTTCGAGACCAGCCTGGGCAACATAGTAAGACTCCCCCTGCCCCACCATCTCTACAAAAAAAAAAAAAAAAAAATTAGCCAGGCATGGTGGCGTGTGCCTGTAGTCTGAGCTATTCAGGAGGCTGAGGTAGGAGGATCCTGTGAGCCTGGGAAGTTGAGGCTGCAGTGGGTCATGATTGCATAACTGCACTCCAGCAAAAGAAAATTTGAAAATGTGCTCAGTATCATTAATTAGCAGGGAAATATAAATTAAAACCACAATGAGATACCACTACAAATCCACCTGAACAGCTAAAATATTTTAAAACACATATGCTGTACCAAGTGTTGGTGTAATATGTGCGGCAACTAGAATTCTCATGCATTGCTGCTAGAAGTGTTAATTAGCACATTCACTATGGAACATTTTTTGGCATTATCTAAAAAACTAAACATATGCCTACTAGCAATTCCACTCCTAGAAATGAGGGCATTTGTCCATGAACAGACATATACCACCAGAACGTTTAGGGCAGCTTTATTCATAACAGACAACAATTTAAAACCCCAATAAGTGCTCATGATAGGAGTCTCTTCATATGAAGTTCAAGAACAGGCAGAATTAATCAATGCTTCTAGAAATTTGGAATAGTGATTTTTTCTAAGTAACCTCTGGGAGTGGATACTGATGGAAAGAGACATGAGACAGCCTTCCTGGATGCTGAAAATATTTTTCCTCTTGATCTGGATGGTGGGTACACACATGTAACAATTCATTAGCTTATACACTGAAGGCTTGTTCCCTTTATGTATATTTTACCTCAATAAATTAACAATATGAAACAGTTTATCATTTAATGTCAATTAAATGCTCTACAGCATAAACTCTAAAAATGTTTGATATAGTTTGGATATTTGTCCCCACTCAAATTGGATATTTGTCTCACATTGAGATGTAATCCCCAATATTGGAGGTGGGGTCTGGTGGGGCCTCCTTGCTCCATTCTCGCTAGGCGATATGCCTGCTCCCCCTTTGTTTTCCGCCATGATTCGAAGTTTCCTAGGCCAGGTGCAGTGGCTCACACCTGTAATCCCAGCACTTTGGGAGGCCGAGGCAGGTGGATCACTTGAGGTCAGGAGTTCAAGACCAGCCTGATCAACATGGTGAAACCAGTCTCTACTAAAAATATACAAAATTGGACAAGCGCGGTGGTGCACGCCTGTAATCCCAGCTACTTGGAGGCTGAGACAGGAGAACTGCTTGAACCCGGGAGGCGGAGCTTGCAGTGAGCCAAGACAGCACTATTGCACTCCAGCCTGGGCAACAAGAGAGAAACTCCGTCTGAAAAAAAACAAAACAAAACAAAAAACCCGGAAGTTTCCCAAGGCCTCTGCAGAAGCAGCTGCCACTGTGCTTCCTGTACAGCCTGCAGAATCATGAGCCAATTAAAACTCTTTTCTTATAAATTACCCAGTCTCAGGTATTTCTCTTTTTTTGTTTTGTTTTGTTTTGAGATGGAGTCTCTCTCCGTGTTGCCAAGGCTGGAGTACAGTGACACAATCTTGGCTCACGGCAACTTCCACCTCCCAGGTTCAAGCGATTCTCCTGCCTCAGCTTCCCAAGTAGCTAGGATTACAGGCACACGCCACCACACACAGCTAATTTTTTTATATTTTTAGTAGAGACAGCGTTTCACTATGTTGGCCAGGCTGGTCTCAAACTCCTGACCTCAAGTGATCCGCAAGCCTCAGCCTCCCAAAGTACTGGGATTACAGGTGTGAGCCACTGCACCCGGCCCTCAGGTATTTCTTTACAGCAGTGCAGGCACAGCCTAATACAATGTTAAAAAGGGAAAAATTGTTGTGACCTGGGAAGACGAGAAAAGTTTTATGAGAGGCTGATCTGGAGGGAGTGGTCACCTGCAAGGAAAGCGGAGGGATCCGCTTATTCAAGGAGTTTAGCCCAGAAAGGGAAGAGAAATGGTTCCAGAGCTCACAAAAGCATTGAAATCTTCTTCAGGCCCAACATCTCTAGGTCCTTCAATTATTTCTCCCTTGCAGTTTGTGATGCCATTCCCACCCACTGTGTTATTCTTTCTCATAGCATCCTGTCTCTTCCATCATAGAAGTTGTCACAATTAGTAACCACATATTGATTTGATTAATAACTGAATGCAACTCCTTATTCTGATTATTTCATACTGCATAACAAACTGCCCCAACAGGTAGGGCTCACTGGGATGATTTTTCTGTAACACCTGGCATTAACTGGCAACTCAGAATGTATCCATTTGGTAGTTGGGCTGCTCTTCACTGAAAATCCTCATGCTTTTCTCAGGGAATGGCTGGAAGGATGGCCTCAATGAGCTCACTCCCCCCTTATGGAGTCCCGTAGTAGAGTAGGTGGACATCACTATGGACTGAGTTGTGTCCACTCTGCCCACCACATACACACAGCTCCCAACTCATGTTTTGGAATTTTAACCCCCAATGTGACTATATTTGAAGATAATTTTTTTTTTTTGATAGAGTTTTGCTCTGCTGCCCAGGCTGGAGTGCAGTGCCTCAATCTTGGCTCACTGCAACCTCTGCCTCCTGAGTTCAAGTGATTCTCCTGTCTCAGCCTCCTGAGTAGCTGGGATTACAGGTGTGCACCACCATGCCCAGCTGATTTTTGTATTTTTAGTAGAGACAGGCTTTTGCCATATTGGCCAGGCTGGTCTTGAACTCCCAGCCCCAAGTGATACACCTGCCTCGGCCTCCCAAATTGCTGGAATTACAGGCGTGAGCCACCGCGACTGCCTGGAGATAGGATCTTTATAGGGATGACAATTAAGGATAAATGATGTCATAAGAGTGAGGCCCTAAGCTGATAATACTGGTGTCCTTATAAGAAGAAGAAGAGACATCAGAGGTGCATGCGCACAGAGAAAAGGTCATGTGAGGACATAGTCAGAAGGCGGCTGCCTGCGAGCCAAGGAGAGAGACCTCAGGAGAAACCAACCCTGCAGACTTTGATCTTGGACTTCCAGTATCCAGAAAATAAAATGTGAGCAAATAAATTCCCGTTTTTTAAGCCATCTAGTATTTTGTATGCCAGCCTGAGGAGACTAATAAAGACATATCTATGGTGTCTCAGGACTCAGAGACACAAGACAGGGGCTGTCAGCCCTCTTACAGCCCTGGCCTGGCACTGGTATAGAATCACTTCTGCCATACAGTGTTAGTCACAGTACTCATAGGCCAGCCCACCAGATTCAAGGGGCTGGAGGAGTGGGCTGCACCCTGTTTTCTGTTGTTGTTGTTGTTTGTTTGTTTGTTTTTTGAGACAGAGTTTCACTCTTGTTGCCCAGGCTGGAGTGCAATGGTGTGATCTTGGCTCACTGCAACCTCTACCTCCCAGGTTCAAGTGATTCTCCTGCCTCAGCCTCCCAAGTAACTGGGATTACAGGCATGCACCACCATGCCCAGCTAATTTTGTATTTTTAGTAGAGACAGGGTTTCTCCATGTTGCTTAGGCTAGTTTTGAACTCCTGACCTCAGGTGATCTGCCTGCTTTGGCTTCCCAAAGTGCTGGGATTACAGGTGCGAGCCACCGCACCCGGCCTTTTTTTTTTTTAAGATGAGGATCTCACTCTGTCGCCCAGGTTGGAGTGCAGTGGCATGATCATAGCTCACTGCAGCCTCAAACTCCTGGGCTCAGGCAATCCTCCCACCTTAGCCTCCCAAGTAGCTGGAACTACAGGCATGTGCCATGATGCCCAGCTTACATATCTTGGTGATCCAATGTCATGTGCATATGAGAGGTCTCTAAGATAGTGACTATCTTGGAGACAGCTACCATCTCGGCCTCCATCCAGCCCCCAGTGGCCTGTCAGCTCCATAAGGGCAGGAATCTTGTCTAGTGTGTTTACCAGGCATGGTCTGCTCATATTCAAAATGCCTGTGTTAAAATCAAGGAAATCCTCAACCCCTTGCTGTTTGAAAGAAGGGGTCAGATTAGCTTTTCCTCCCACTGTCTTCAAAGATTTTATCCCCAGGAAATAGAATATAGCTAAATGTTGGGAAGCACATAACCAATTCAAAAATAAATTATATTTAGATGACTAATGACAATTACATTTTTCAGTGGGTCTTGATGCATAGACCAGTGAGCATTATCTCAGTCCCCTTGCCATAGTAATTGGTTCAGGAATAGGTAGTAAAACCAAACCTAAGCCAACTGGCACATGAATTTCTCTGTCCACAGGGATTAGTCCAATCAATAAGAGCAAAACACAGGGCTTTGCTGGCTGGGAAAGACAAGTCATTGATGCTGTGACTGCAGAAATTTTTTAAAATTTATTTTGACATAATTGTAGATTCACATACAGTTATAGGATGTAATTAAGATTCAGTGGCTGGGTGCAGTGGCTCGCTCCTATAAGCCTTGCACTTTGGGAGGCAGAGGAGGGAAGATTGCTTGAGGCCAGGAGTTCAAGATCAGCCTGACCAACATGGCAAAACCCTGTCTCTACTAAAAATACAAAAATTACCTAGCCATGGTGGCACATGCCTGTAATCCCAGCTACTTGGGAGGCTGAGGCATGAGAATTGCTTGAACCCAGGAGGCGGAGGTTACAGTGAGCCAAGATCATGCCACTGCACTCCAGCCTGGGCGACAGAGCAAGACTCTGTCTCCAAAAGAATAAAATAAAATAAAAATAAAGATCCAGCATACCCTTCACTCAGTTTCTCCCAATGGTAACATCTTGCATAAATATAGTACAATATCACACCAGGAAATTATTTTTGATAAAATCCACCAATCTTACTCAGATTTCACCATTTTTACATACACTCATCTGTTTGTGTGTGTTTAGTTCTATACAATTTTATTGCATGTGTAAATATCACATAGGAACAACATTACAGTCAAGATACAAAACTGTTCCATCACAAGGATCCCTCAGGGTACCCTTTTATAGCCACAGACACCTCCTTCCCTTCTCTCTCCCTAATGCCTAGCAACTACTCATCTGCTCTCTATCTCTATAATTTTATCATTTCGAGAATGTTGTGGGCTGGCCACAGCGGCTCACTCCTGTAATTCCAGCACTTTGGGAAGTCGAGGTAGGTGGATCATTTGAGGTCAAGAGTTGGAGACTAGCCTGGCCAATATGGTGAAAACCCGTGTTTACTAAAAATACAAAAAAAAAAAAATAGCTGGGCATGGTGGTACATGCCTTAATCCTAGCTACTCCGGAGGCTGACACAGGAGAATCACTTGAACCCGGAAGGCAGAGGCTGCAGTGAGCCGAGATTGTCCCACTGCACTCCAGCCTGAGTAACACAGTGGGACTCTTTCCCAAAAATAAATAAATAAATAAATAAATAAATAAATAAATAAATAA
Source organism: Homo sapiens (assembly GCF_000001405.40). NCBI lineage: Eukaryota > Metazoa > Chordata > Mammalia > Primates > Hominidae > Homo > Homo sapiens. The sequence goes on along the minus strand of NT_167249.2, from coordinate 240,180 downwards.
ATAAATAAATGTTATTAATGGAATCATACAAATCACAACCTGAGATTGACTTTTCTCACTCAGCATAATTTCCTTGAGATCTATCCAAGTTGCTGCCTATCTCAGTAGTTCATTCATTTTTATCTCTGGGTAGTATTTCATAATATGGATGTGCCACTGTTTAACTCTTCACCATTCGAGGACATTTGAATTATTTCTAGGCTTGGCTATTACGAACAATGTTTTGTGCAGATTCTTGGGTGAACAAACATTTTTATTTCTCTGAGATAAATGCCCAGTGACATGCAAATTTGAGACTCTAAACTGCAGCAGCTGTTTGGCTACCTCATCAGAGAGATTCCACCCTGATGACCCAATATAAAGTAATAACCATCACTCTTCATCTTCCATATTCTGATTCATTCCACTTTATGGCATGTTTCATACCATGTGTTTATTGCTTGGTTTGCTTATCATCCAACTTTCCCTCTAGAAAGTAATTCCATGACCCCAGCAACCTTGTCTGTTTTGTTCCACACAGTGTCCTGGAATCTAGAAGACTGGCACATAGTTGACACTCAACAAACATTTGTTGAATAAATTAATGAGTAAATAAATCTCAGACACCTTTCCCTATTAGATTATTTCTTCTTTTTCTTCTTCTCCTTCTTCTTCCTCTTCTTCTTCTTCCTCCTTCTTCTTCTTCTTCTTCCTCCTCCTCCACCTCCTCTTCCTCTTCTTCTTCCTCCTCCTCCTTCTTCTTTGTTTTTGTTTTTGGAAACTGCATAGCATTTCATTGTACACCTGCATAATATTTTCATTAACTTATCCCCTGTTGGAGCATATTGACGTTGGTCCCAGTATTTTACAAATCCAAACAATGCTGTAATGGCAATCCTTGTATAATCAAACATCTCTGTCCAGATGGGAGAGAAGCAGAGTAGAAGGTTCTAAGAGTGAGTGCATTTAAATTTTTTTAGTGATTGTCAAATTGTTTTCTTTTACTTTTTTTTTTTTTAATCGAGATGGAGTTTTGCTCTTGTCACCCAGGATGGAGTGCAATGGCGTGACCTCGGCTCACCGCAACATCTGCCTCCCGGGTTCAAGCTATTCTCCTGCCTCAGCCTCCTGAGTAGCTGGGATTACAGGCATGCGCCAACACGCCCAGCTAATTTTGTATTTTTAATAGAGACAGAGTTTCTCCGTGTTGGTCAGGCTGGCCTCGAACTCCTGACCTCAGGTGAGCCACCCGCCTCAGCTCCCAAAAGTGTTGGGATTACAGGCGTGAGCCACCGCGCCCAGCCCAATTGTCAAATTGCTTTCAATGGTGTTCTCCCAATTTACATTCTCACAGTGTACTGGAATTCCTCATATTCTCATTAATACTGAATACTGTCAAAGTTTTAAATCTTTGCTAATCTCATAAATTAAAATTAACATCACCTCTTTTCACATGTTTATTGACCATTTGTTCTTTTTCTCTGTACCATCTGTTCATGACCTTTGCTCATTTTTCTTCTCTCTTTTTTTGCTTTTATTTGTGCAAATATTTTGTCTCAAGGAAATTCATCCTTTGTTTAATTTGCTAAAAACATCTTTCCCCAATTTTCCTTTATCATTCAGCTGTTTAGAAAATTTTTTTATAAGAAGACATCTAATTTTGAATTCTGTGTAACCAAATTTATCCATTTGTGACTTCTGTGGGGTCATGTTTAGAAAGATCTTCCAGATGACAAGTGCCTTAAAAAAAATCAATCAGTTTTCTTTTTCCTGGAATTTTTATGGATTAATTTTCTTAAAAAAATTTCATTGATCAATAATATAGTTCAGTATAAGAAGTGAGATGAGATCTTTTTTCTCCCAAGTAGCTAGCCAGTTATTCCACAATCATTTATTGAATGTATAGCACCAACCTGCAATTTCTCCTGTATCTTGTACTAAATTCTTTTTTTTTTTTTTTTTTTTTTTTTTTGGAAATGGGGTCTGGCTCTGTCACCCAGGCTGGAGTGCAGTGGTGCAATCTCGGCTCACTGCAACCTCTGCCTCCTGGGATCAAGGGATCCTCCCACCTTAGCCTCCCCAGTAGCTGGGACCACAGGTGCACGCCGCAACACCCAGCTAATTTTTTGTATTTTTGGTAAAGACTGGGTTTCACCATGTTGCCCAGGCTGGTCTCAAACTCCTAAACTCAAGCCGTGGCCTCCCGAAGTGCTGGGATTACCCTGCATAAGCCACCGCGCCCGGACCTTATATTAATGTTAAATTCTTATTGATATTTTGTCTTTTTCTCCATTTCCCATTCTGTCTCATCTAATACGTTGGCTTCTTAAGTACTGTATTCTTGTATTTATTATGATAATTTTTTATTTTTCCAGACTAAGGTTAGTATCAGTTGGTAAAAGACAGATAAGAGAGAAGGAGATAGAAGAAGCAGAAATACTTTAGGCCTCATCAGGTCCCACTCAGTTTGCTGCTTGGAAGAAGAATGATCCAAGGAGGGAGGGATCAACAGTGTAAAATGTCACAGGTAAGTGACGACTAACTGGGCCTGTGGTGTAGGGGGAAAAGATTTACCAAGACCATTGTAGGTAAAGAAAGGCAGATTTATTAGAGAAAGTAGAAAAATATGTTGCCAGGGAGACAACAGGCAGTATCAACAGAAGAGAAGCTGACTACAAAGAAACAAAGACTTGCTAGGGATTTTATACAATGGAACTTGGACTGATTGATAACGCTAAGGTAGCAGGAAGCTTAACCCGCATTCTTCTGTCAGCCAAGGTGCTTGATAAATCGAGGCGTTTGATGGTAAGCAGGAAGTTTGTGAGTTATGTACAGGAGGGCCATGTGCCCTGGGCCATAAAAAAAGCAGACCTATCACTTGTTTGCTTTATCTTTGCTTTCCCCTGGTCCCACCAGCCTGACTCCTTTTCCCTGATTAGGACTCCACATAAAATGCCTTCGAGATGTTAAGATGAAGACTGAAAAGTGTCCCTTGGATTTGGCCAATACTAGTAAAAGTCACTCGTTCCCTTAGGGCAGGGAGGTTTAGAGGAGGCAGGAGGAAATTCATTTTAAAACGGTATATTTTATTTTATTTATTTTTTGAGACAGAGTCTCGCTCCTGTCGCCCAGGCTGGAGTGCAATAGCGCAATCTTGGCTCACTGCAACCTCTGCCTCCCAGGTTCAAGCGATTCTCCTGCCTCAGCCTCCCGAGTAGCTGAGGTTATAGGCATGCGACACCATGCGTGGATAATTTTTGTATTTTTAGTAGGGACGGGGCTTCCCATGTTGGCCAGGCTAGTCTCAAACTCCTGACCTCAGGTCATCCGCCCGCCTCAGCCTCCCAGAGTGGGTTTATAGGCGTGAGCCACTGTGCCTGTCCCTAAAACAGTATATTTTAGGCCGGGCGCGGTGGCTCACGCCTGTAATCCCAGCACTTTGGGAGCCCGAGGAGGGCGGATCACGATGTCAGGGAATTGAGACCATCCTGGCTAACACGGTGAAACCCTGTCTCTACTAAAAAAAATACAAAAAATTAGCCGGGCATGGTGGCGGGTGCCTGTAGTCCCAGCTACTCAGGAGGCTGAGGCAGGAGAATGGCGTGAACCTGGGAGGCGGAGGTTGCGGTGACGCGAGATCGCGCCACTGCACTCCAGCCTGGGCGACAGAGCGAGACTCCGTCTCAAAAAAAGAGTATTAATAAAATATACTTTTTTTTTTTTTTGAGACAGAGTCTCGCTCTGTCGCCCAGGCTGGAGTGCAGTGGCGCGATCTCGGCTCACCGCAAGCTCCGCCTCCCAGGTTCAAGCGATTCTCCTGCCTCAGCCTCCTGAGTAGCTGGGACTACAGGTGTGCGCCACCATGCCCGGCTAATTTTTGTATTTTTAGTAGAGACGGGGTTTCACTGTGTTGGCCAGGCTGGTCATGATCTCCTGACCTCGGGATCCGCCCACCTCAGCCTCCGGAAGTGCTGGGATTACAGGCGTGAGCTACCGGGCCTATTAATAAGAATTTTATTAGGCCTTTATACTAAAGAATTTGGACAATGTCCCAGAGGCAAACACAAACAAATAAACAACAACAACAAAAAACCCACAAAACTTTGAAGATGTCTGAGTAAGAAGCGACAGAATGAAAAGCATTTTCTTCTTTAAGAATTTTTAAGGATGATTCTATTCCTTGAGGTGGTATTTGAATCAGTGAAAAAGTACAAATAGAGAAATTAATGGGAAGGCTGCACGGTTACCGATTCTTTGAAAAATACTTGTAAACTGACACACTGGTGCAATAATATAGGTTAGGATTAGTAATAGAAATTAACATGAACAGGTAAATTAAGCAAATCAAAATTCCATGAAATCTGGATGATGAAGGGAAGACAGTAAACACTCAAGGAAGAGGGGCTGGGCATGGTGGCTTCTGCCTGTAATCCCCTCACTTTGGGTGGCTGAGATGGGAGGGTCACGATCACGTGAGCCCAGGAGTTCTTGACTAGCCTAGGCAACATAGTAAGACCCCATCTCTTAAAATTTCTTTTTTCTTACAAAATTTATTGAGAAAAAGACAGGTGTAACTTTTTTAAATTAAAAAAAAGGAAGGGGACTGTTAGAGATTGCTAATGTAAATATTCCCTTTCCCCCACTCCCACCTTGTTCTACCTAACTCATCTATTTTGTTCTACCTTTTTAAAATTTTTTCCTTTTGTTTTCTTTTTTGAAACGGAGTCTTGCTCTGTTGCCCAGGCTGGAGTGCAGTGGCCTGATCTCGGCTCCCTGCAACCTCTGTCTCCCAGGCTCAAGTGATTCTCCAGCCTCAGTCTCCAGAGTAGTTGGGATTACAGGTGTGCACCACTGTGCCCATCGAGTTTTTGTATTTTTGGTAGAGACGGGGTTTCACCATGTTGGTCAGGCTGGTCTTGAACTCCTGGGCTTAAGCGATCCACCCGCCTCAGCCTCCCAAAGTGATGGGATTACAGGCATGAGCCACCACACCCTGCCTGTTCTACCTTTCTTTACCCCCAGGTCACCTGCCTCCAGAGGTAATAAAGGGTTGGTAAGATAAACACAATCAATTCTGAAAAACAAAGCCAAACTCAAGGCTTGCATCCCCCAAGTAAAGGAGAAGATGAAGGGCAGCTTTATCTACCTATCCATATCTCTCATATTTCTGCACTGTATTGCAATGCTTATTAGTCCTTTTTGGAGTAAATGAGAATAGACATATCCTTTAATTCTTACAAATTTCATTGTTGACCCAATCTCAAACCAAGACCAGACTGTGGTGTGGCCTGGCCCAAGTACTCTACATTTTTCTGGAAATGGGCTAAAGCTATTTGGGACTGGAATTTGAATGACTGGGTACTCAGAGTATGGTTGAGAAGGTAGATGTGGGTTTGGGGCTGGCAAGTCCACTTAATCCCTCAGACTTCTTGTCCCATGGGGAAGAGGACCAGAGTGGAACTCTCTAAAGTGATGATGTGGGCTGCTTTGCCTACGGAGTAGCCATTCTTTATTCCTTTATTTTCTTAATAATCTTACTTTCACTTTGAAAAAATAAAAATAAAGTGATGGTCTGGAAGCAGAAGCCCGCCTTGCTCAGATAGCAAGACAATATTGAGAAAATCTCAAAGAAAACTAGGAAACACCAAGTAAGGGATAAGAAAGCAACATAAAAATGCTGGAGGTCTACTGGATGATAAGACAATGAGTATTGTGGGACTCCAAGACCCTGGGTCACCGCAGGATTCTTAGTTTCTCTATACTTCAGAAAGGAGCAAGCAATTTTTAGTTGCTACTCAATACAACAACCCTACGTAGTGGGCATTTTAATACCATTTTAATGGATAAACAATCTTATGGTTCAAAAAGTAAAAGATGTAACGAAATCTACTTCTTACTGCGGTACAATTATCATCCCCATTTCACACGAGGAGAAACTGAGGTAAATGAATGGTAAACCAACTTGCTTGGGCACAAGTGAGAGGTAGCAGAACTGGGCTTGTTATTGACACACAGAAATGTTACCATCTGATAATTAAACCTTTCTTTTTCTAAACAAAACTGCAAGTGCCTACAAATGGGGCTGTTTAATAAAAGGCCTCACTTATCAGGTGGGCTCAGTCGGTGACCCTCCTCATCCTCCAGCCTCTTGGGGAGGCCAGGTGTTTGCGCTCCCCAGCACCTATACAAAGCCAGCTTTCATTTTTTCGTTTCTTTTTTTTTTTTTTTTTTTTTTGAGACAGAGTCTCCCTCTGTCCCGCAGGCTGGAGTGCAGTGGCGATCTCGGGTCACTGCAACCTCCGCCTCCTGGGTTCAAGGGATTCTGCTGCCTCAGCCTCCTGAGTAGCTGAGACTACAGGCGCCTGCCACCACGCCCGGCCAATTTTTCTATTGGTAGTAGAGATGGGGTTTTACCATGTTGGCCAGGATAGTCTTGATCTCCTGACCTCGTGATCCACCTGCCTTGGCCTCCCAAATGCTGGGATTACAGGCGCGAGCCACTGCGCGCGGCCAAAGCCAGCTTTCTTTTGCAGGGGCTGAGACCTGGCACCAAGAGGAAACCCAACAAAAGACGAGGGGCCCGGGCCCGGCAGCCGCTGAAGTTTGTAGGCCCGGAGCGTGTGGCACCATCTGCTCTTGCGACCAGTGCCCTAGGATAGAGCTTCAGCGCGACCAGTCCAAAGGAGAGTGGCGGAGCCTCCTCGGCCTTTCCAAGAGGAAACAGCTCAGGCCCCCAGGCCACGAAATCTTGTCACTCGCTGGAAGCGCGAGCCAAGCCCCGCCCCCGCGAGCCGCCTCTTCCGCTCGCGCTGGGGTGGGGTTTACGCTGCCGCCGGCATCCGCTCGGACGCGGCCACGTTGTCTTGCGCGCTTTGCCCGCCTGGCCCTGGGACTCTGACCCTCGGCTACCCTTTCCTGCCCCACTAGCGTGGCCGCGAGCCTCGGTGAGCCGGCCGTATTCCCGCTCTCGCTTAGGGGGCACAGGCGCAGGCATCGGCCCGGCCACTCCAAGCCTTCGGTGCGCGGGCGCGTCTGGGATACGGGCCCGGGAGGCGCCGCCCTCCGTCCGCCCGGTGCCTCTCAGGAACAGCGAACCGGAGAGAGCGCCGGAGAGTTGGGCTCAGTGCGGAGCTCGGCGCCGGGGCCCATGCCCGTGCGCCCCCGCAGGCCGGCGCCATGGCCTCCGGGAGTGTGGCCGAGTGCCTGCAGCAGGAGACCACCTGCCCCGTGTGCCTGCAGTACTTCGCAGAGCCCATGATGCTCGACTGCGGCCATAACATCTGTTGCGCGTGCCTCGCCCGCTGCTGGGGCACGGCAGAGACTAACGTGTCGTGCCCGCAGTGCCGGGAGACCTTCCCGCAGAGGCACATGCGGCCCAACCGGCACCTGGCCAACGTGACCCAACTGGTAAAGCAGCTGCGCACCGAGCGGCCGTCGGGGCCCGGCGGCGAGATGGGCGTGTGCGAGAAGCACCGCGAGCCCCTGAAGCTGTACTGCGAGGAGGACCAGATGCCCATCTGCGTGGTGTGCGACCGCTCCCGCGAGCACCGCGGCCACAGCGTGCTGCCGCTCGAGGAGGCGGTGGAGGGCTTCAAGGTGAGGGCGCGGATCCGGGAGGGCGGGAGCGCGAGTCGGACAAAGGGAGGAGAGAGCCAAAGGGGCTTCCTTTTTTCCGCCTAGAAAATGGCTGAGCCGGACGTGTGGTTCACAGCCGTCATTTCCTCTCTGTCCGCTCCAGAGCCTCAGCACTCAGATTTGGAGGAAAACCTGTAGCTGGCGAGGAAGGCAGGAGTGTCCCCACCCCCACTCTCTTTTCTCTGTTTACCCCCATGTTACCTGTCTCACGGACACATTGTACACGGAGACATCCTTTTGACAGTTTAAAAGAAGTGCATAAAACCGCGTACACATCGACAAGCTGCAGACACTCTTACTCCCATCGGCTCTCAGACAAAACGCAGTTGGACGTTAACTGACTTATGCCCATTCCTTAGTCTATAAGCATTTCCCCAGCACTTTCCTGCAATCCGTCCTGGTCTAGAAACTCACAGAAAAGAACAGCTTTTCGCTGCTGGAGTAAGTCACTTAACCACTCTGAGACTCAGGAGATAACACAGTTATGAGGAATATTGTGGAATCATGTGACTCACAGAGCCCTTTGTGAACTGGCACAGCTAAACAGAAACGTGGAAACAAAGTATTACATATAAAACAGTTGTAAGGTGACCTTCAAGGAGTCCATGATACTGTGTATTTTCTGTACGTTGAGGGCTTCAGGAATGCGTACACAATTATGTCCGTGTTTAAATATGAGTACATTCATGTGCAATCACTTAACATTTATGGACCTTTCAGCTATATTATTTCACTCACTCTGGTGAGAACTCTTGAGTAGGTTGGGAAGATGGTGTTTGCCCATTTCACACATGAGGGAAATAAGTCACTTTCACAGTGTACCTATATGGAAGAGCTACAATACAACATAGTTCTAAGCCTCCTACTCCAGTCACAGTTCCGCTAAGTCATGCAATATCCTACCAGGGACAGGTAGATGACTCATTGTTTAAGATAGACACAAATAGTCCTGACGAGGTAGCTGAGTGGTTGAAGCCACAGGCTGCTAAGATAGACACAGATTGCCAAAGGAGTGGCTTGTTTGCCCCTGCGCCCTGAGTCTCTTGTGGGTGGCAGTGTGGCCTAAGGACAAGCGCCAACTGGAGACTTGGCATCAGGTGTGTGGACTCCATGTGTGATAAGAAGTACCATGCTGATGCTAAGGTCTACCTAATTTTGAACTGCCCATCTGTTTTGCTTTTCTCAGGAGCAAATCCAGAACCAGCTCGACCATTTAAAAAGAGTGAAAGATTTAAAGAAGAGACGTCGGGCCCAGGGGGAACAGGCACGAGCTGAACTCTTGGTAAGGGTTGTTGGAATTCACAGTTGGTTCTGCTGGTGCTCTCCTCTTCTGTAGAGCTGATGTTACTTCCCTTAAACTTGTCCAGCATGTCACCCAGAACTTGTAGGTAGAGGTGGATCAACCGCACATGGCAGTGGGAACTCACCCGGAGAACTAAGATTCCCTTACTTTTGGGGAAAGCATGGAGAAGCCAAGTTTGGAACCCTTGGAAATCAGACCTGTCAGTTTACTTTAACCTGCTAACTGCGTAGACCAGGGTTGATCCTTGGCAAAGCTGAGATAGGTAAAATTATTGGATACAGTTAGCTTGCGTTGGTACCATTCTGCAGACAATTGCTAATAGTGGATTTGTGTAATCCCCACTGTTGCTTCTCTTTGGCTTATTCTCCTTTCTTAACAATGCCTTAATTCTGAATTTTTTACTCTGCCCTCTTCCTCCAGTCTCAAGGCCTTAACAAGTGGCTGATGTGTTAATTTATATTAGGGGTATATGGGAATTTTTTTTTTTTTTTTAAGACAGGGTCTCACTGTCATCCAGGCTGGAGTGCAATGGTGAGGTTTTGGCTCGCTGCAACCTCTGCCTCCCAGTTCAAGCGATTCTCCCACCTCAGCCTCCCAGGTAGCTGAGGCTACAGGCGTACGCCAACAGACTCAGCTAATTTTTGTATTTTTAGTAGAGATGGTGTTTCTCCATGTTGGTTAGGCTGGTCTCGAACTCCCGACCTCAGGTGATCCGCCCACCTCAGCCTCCCAAAGTGCTGGGATTACAGACGTGAGCCACCGCGCCCAGCCTGGCTCCTTGTTTAGAACAAAAGTTTATAATAGAGTCCTGTTGGTGGTGGGGGTTGGGTGAAGAACGAAGGACAGTAAATTATGGCAAACAAATGAGCGCCAAGAGGGAATCGTGGGGAGAGCACCTCTCCCCCTCCTACCCAAAGCTAGAGACAGCAGTTGGTGAACACCCGTGAAGGACAGACAGCGGGTATGGATTACATATGAAGGGCCCAGGGAAATTGGGCAAGGAAGCTGTTATTGGTTGTTCCATCCTCCATAGGGCACATATCTGACCCTGTCACTTTCCTGTGTGACAATCTTCCATGCTTCCCAGTTGGGATAGAGTCCTTACCCCCAGCCTCCCAGGCCAGGCATGACAAGGCCTTACCTTTTCTGGTCCCTTCCCTCAACACTCATGTGCTCCAGCCAGATAGCACCATTTGCTTTCTCTCCCCACTCTTTTGCCTGTGCCATTTCTTCTGCCTGGAAAGGCTTCCCGCTCATTGCCTATGTGGTGAATTCTTGTTCATCACATGAACATTGTGTGAAATTGCTTCTGTGAAGATGGTACCAGTTTCTTTCATTGCAGGCTGTCACCCTATCTTTAATTACCCATCCATGACTATGTATATCATATGAACCTGACTCACTTCTCTGAGTTGCTTGAGAACAGGGACTATGTCTTAATAATCACTGGGGTAATTCAGTTCCTGGGCATTATATATCCAGTCAGTAAAGACTGGAAATAATGAGTTAGCACTGTGCTTGTTTTAATCCATAATGAGGTCTTGGGCTACATGGTCACAGGAGAACTATGAAGGCCCTAGAAATGAGCCGTTTTTCTCTTTACTGCCTTTCCCTGTCGTCTGCATAGAGCCTAACCCAGATGGAGAGGGAGAAGATTGTTTGGGAGTTTGAGCAGCTGTATCACTCCTTAAAGGAGCATGAGTATCGCCTCCTGGCCCGCCTTGAGGAGCTAGACTTGGCCATCTACAATAGCATCAATGGTGCCATCACCCAGTTCTCTTGCAACATCTCCCACCTCAGCAGCCTGATCGCTCAGCTAGAAGAGAAGCAGCAGCAGCCCACCAGGGAGCTCCTGCAGGTAAGGCTTGCAGAGCCCTGCTAGAGCAGCACCCACTGAAAATATCGTCCCTTCTCCTTTGCCAAGTAGTATCCAGGACCCCCTGTCTTCTTTTTAACTCTGCAGGAATAGCAAGAGCTTGCCAAACTCTATATTGTGCACCTTGGAAGGAAACTGTGTAAACTAGAAGTTCTGGTTCACACAACTTGAATTAGTCAATTGCGTTGTCTCATAGAAATGGCAAAAAGAAGACCTGGTGCTTGTGCCTACACAGCACTGACAAGTGGTCTGATTACAGGCAAGGCTCTCAACCTTTTTGGGCCTCAGTGACCTCATTTGTTCAGTAATGAGGGGCTTAGACCACATGTCATTCAAAGACTCTCCTCACTCCAGTATCCTGTAGTTTTAATGTATTACTATAGCCACAAAACAATGAGCACTTGAGCAGGAGTGGTTAGGTTACCTGAGCAGTCCTGTGATTTAACCTTGGTAGAGCAGGTGATAAAGCTGCAGCAGACCTACCCCGGCAAGACTACAGGAAATGAGCTAATGCCTGTCTGTCGTTTGCTCATTCAGTGCGTATTAATTATTTGCTTTGTGTCAGGCACTATTCTAGGCACTGGGATTAAGTGCCAAATAAGCTTTCCTGAATTATATTTTAGTGTGGCGATCAGATAGTTCTTATAGGTATTTGATAAAAGCCATTAAAAATGGATGATGGCGGGCCAGGTGCAGTGGCTCACACCTGTAATCCCAGCACTTTGGGGGGCCGAGGCGGGTGGATCACAAGGTCTAGGACTTCAAGACTAGCCTGGCCAAGATGGGGAAACCCCGTCTCTACTAAAAATACAAAAATTAGCCAGGCATGGCGGTGTGCCTGTAGTCCCAGCTACGCGGGAGGCTGAGGCAAGGAATTGCCCAAAACCAGGAGGAAGTGGTTGCAGTGAGCCAAGATCGCGCCACTGTACTCCAGCCTGGGCAACAGAGCGAGACTCTGTCTCAAAAAAATAAATAAATAATAAAAAATAAAAATAAAAATGGATGATGGCATAGGGCAAGGGTCAGCAAATTATGGTCCATCCCCTGTTTTTGTATGTCCTGGGCAATAAGTATGGTTTTTACATTTTAATTTTAATTTAATATTATTTATTTATTTTGAGATTGAGTCTTGCTCTGTTGCCCAGGCTGGAGTGCAGTGGTGCGATCTTGGCTCACTGCAACCTCCGCCTCCTGGGTTCAAGCGATTCTCCTGCCTCAACCTCCTGAGTAGCTGAGATTACAGGCGCACACCACCATGGCTGGCTAATTTTTGTATTTTTAGTAGAGACGGGGTTTCACCATATTGGTCAGGCTGGTCTCAAACTCCTGACCTCGTGATCTGCCCTCCTCGGCCTCCCAAAGTGTTGGGATTACAAGTGTGAGCCACAGCGTCAGGCCAGTTTACATTTTTAAATGGTAAAAATCAGAAAAATGTATTTCTTTCTTTCTTTTTTTCTTTTTTTATTTTTGAGACGAAGCAAGAAGGGAGTGGACAGCATAGTAATGCAGTTGAGGTCAAATAATATCAAAGCTGATACCCATTTGATTCAATAACATGACCATCATTGGTGATCTTAGGTAGAACTATCACAATGGAATAATTGGGGCAGGAGCCACATTAGGGGGAGTTGAGTAGTGACTAGGTCAGGTGAATGGAGACTACACAAGTAGATGACTATTTCAAGTACAACTGTTAAGGGGTTGTAATAAAATACTTAGAGACGAGACAGGATTATGGAGTTTTATCTGGAAGGGTTGGTTAAAGAAACTAGAAGTTAGACATATTTTCAAAATACGTATGGAAAGGAGTATATGTTGTAAGGTTTCTAGGTGAGGGAGAACACTGAAGCCACAAGAAACCATATACTGGCCGGGCACGGTGGCTCATGCCTGTAATCCCAGCACTTTGGGAGGCCGAGGTGGGCAGATCACCTGAGGTCGGGAGATTGAGACCAGCCTGACCAACATGGAGAAACCCCATCTCTATTAAAAATACAAAATTAGCCGGGTGTGGTGGCGCATGCTTGTAATCCCAGCTACTCAGGAGGCTGAGGCAGGAGAATCGCTTGAACCAGTGAGACGATGGTTGCAGTGAGCCGAGATTGCGCCATTGCATTCCAGCCTGGGCAATGAGCGAAACCCTGTCTCCAAAAAAAAAAAAAAGAAAGGAAGAAAGAAACCATGTACTGATCAGCAATGTGCGGTTCCTGAGAAGGCAGGTGGAAATGAGAACTAAAGTACATATGCCAGGAATTAGTGTCAGAGAGTCTTCTGTTGTATGGGAAGAAATGATTGTTTCAGAGTATGGGAAAGACAGTTGGTTTGCGAGAACTAGTAGGAGTATTTGGTCAGTGAACATCTATTTATAGTGTAACCATTCTGCCCTGTTGTGTAACTTTCTTTTTTTTTTTTTTTTAAGACATACTCTTGCTCTGTTGCCCAGGCTGGAGTGCAGTGGTGCAATCTTGGCTCACTGCAACATCCCCCTCTCAAGTTCAAGCAATTCTCCTGCCTCAGCCTCCCAAGTAGCTGGGATTACAGGCATGTGCCACCACGCCCAGCTAATTTTTGTATTTTTTATAGAGACGGAGTTTCACCATGTTGGCCAGGCTGGTCCTGAACTCCTGACCTCAGGTGATCCTTCTGCCTCGGCCTCCCAAAGTGCTGGGATTACAGGTGCGAGCCACCGTGCCCAGCCCCTGTCGTGTAACTTTCTTATCAGCTTTGCTTTCTCAAATCTTGACTGCTCTGGCGTGGGCACTGAGTAAGCAGATGGTCAGTCTCATCCAGGATTGGGGTTTTGCAAGATGGACTTGAGTGTTTTTTTTTCCTTAGTTTTTATTGTTGTTGTTTGAGACAGGGTCTCACTCTGAAACCCAGGCCGGAGTGCAGTGACATGATCATGGCTCACCGCAGCCTTGACCTCCCAGGCTCAGATGATCCTCCCACCTCAGCCTCCCAAGTAGCTGGGACTACAGGCGTAAACCACCATGCTTGGCTAATTTGTGTAATTTTTGTAGAGATGGAGTTTTGCCATGTTGCCTCGGCTGGTCTTGAACTCCTGGGCTCAAGCAATCCATCCGCCTCAGCCTCCCAAAGTGCTAGGATTACAGGTGTGAGCCACCACATCCAGCCTTCCAGCCTTCTTCATTTTTTTAATTGTAAAATATACGTAACCTAAATTTCACCATTTTAAAGTGTAAAACTCTGGCACAAAGTAGCATTTAGTAAATCCACAGTGTTGTAAATTATCAACCACTGTCTGGATCTAAAACACTTTTACCACCCAAAAGGAAACCTCACACTATTAAGCAATCACTCCTCATTTCCTTCTACCCCTAACTCCTGGCTCTATGGATTAGTCTATTCTAGATATTAGATATAATTGAAATCATACAGTACGTAGCCTTTTTCTTCACTTAGCATACTTTTTTTTTTTTTTGAGGCAGAGTTTCACTCTTGTTGCCCAGGCTGGAGTGTAACGGCACGATCTCCGCTCACCGCAACCTCCGCCTGCCAGGTTCAAGCGATTCTCCTGCCTCAGCCTTCCGAGTAGTTGGTATTACAGGCATGCGCCACCACCCCTGGCTAATTTTGTATTTTTAGTAGAGACGGGGTTTCTCCATGTTGGTCAGGCTAGTCTCAAACTCCTGACTTCAGGTGATCCACCCACCTCAGCCTCCCAAAGTATTGGGATTACAGGTGTGAGCCACCACGCCCGGCCTATCACTTAGCATATTTTTTTAAAGATTCATTCATATTGTAATATGTTTCAGTACTGGCCAGGCGCGGCGGCTCACGCCTGTAATCCCAGCACTTCAGGAGGCCGAGGTGGGCAGATCACGAGGTCAGGAGTTCGAGACCAGCCTGGCCAACATGGTGAAACCCCGTCCCTACTAAAAATACAAAAATTAGCCAGGCGTGGTGGCGCATGCCTGTAATCCCAGCTACTCAGGAGGCTGAGGCAGGACAATCACTTGAACCTGGGAGGCAGAGGTTGTAGTGAGCCGAGATCGTGCCATTGCACTCCAGCCTACGCAATAGAATGAGACTCCATCTCAAAAAATATATATATGAAAAAATATATATTTCAGTACATATATATATGTTTCAGTATTTCTCTTTATGGCTGAATAACATTCCATTGTATGGATATATAATATGTTTTGTTTATTCATCAGTCGATGGGCATTTTGGTTGTTTGCACCTTTTGGCTATTGTCAATAGTGCTGCTGTGAACATTGAACACAAAAAGTAGAAAATGGTTCACAAATTTGTGTGTTATCCTTGTGCAGGAGCCATGCTAATCTGTGCATGGTTCCCATTTGAGGATATCTGCTGCTGAAGCAAGCACCATAATTAAGGCTTTAAAACCTTTTTTTAAATTTTTTTTAGACAAAGTCTCACTCTGTTGCCCAGGCTGGAGTGCAGTGGCACAATCTCAGCTCACTGCAGCTTCCACCTCCTGAGTGAGTCTCCTGCCTCAGCCTCCCGAGTAGCTGGGATTACAGGCACACACCACCACACCTAGCTAATTTTTGTATTTTTGGTAGAGATGGGGTTTCACCATGTTGGCCAGGCTGGTCTTCAACTCCTGACCTCAGGTGATCCGCCTACCTTGGCCTCCCAAAGTGCTGGTATAATAGACGTGAGCTACTGCGCCTGGTCTAAAGCTTCTTTTTTTTTTTTTTTTTTTTTTTAAGAATATTTTTTTAAACAGATGGAGCATGAAACTGAAGGTGGATGATGAGGAAAGGAGAGAAAGAAAGAAGTCATGGACTCAGTAAGGGAGGAGGGGCTCCATGAATATCAAAAAGTGTTTATGTTGGAAGTCACTGGAAAAGCAGGATAAATATTACTTAATGGGGCAATACTGGAGGCATTCCCATTGAGGTCAGAAACAGGCCGGATGCCCAGTATCATTTATCTCTATTTAACACTGCATTAAAGGTTCTAACCAGTTCAGTTAAATAAAATAATTATAGGTATACAAATTGGGAAAGAAGTTAACATACAGAAATCAGCAGCCTTCATATGCCAGATAGCAGCCACTAGAAGACATATTAGAAGAGAACATGCTGTTTCCATTTGCAAAAAAAAAACAAGTGATAAAATATCTGGGAATAAATTTATAAGAAATATACAAAAACCTATGTGGAGAAAATTATAAAACATTCAAAGATTCCTGAAAGACACAAAATAAACTTGAACAAATAAAGAGATATCACTTATTCTTTGATAAGACAGGGAAAGCAAGTTGTCCTTCACATTCATAAATGCAGTTTCTTTTTTTTTTCTGTTACTCGGATATATTATGTAGTGAAGTCTCGGATTTCAGTGTAACCATCACCCAGGTACCCAGTGTACGTTGTACCCATTAAGTAATCTGTTATCCCTCATCCCCCCCCCCCCACCCTTGCAATTTCAATAAAAATACCAACAAGCTCTTTTTCTGGATCTAGACAAATTGACAGTCAACTTCAGATAGAAAAATAAGCACATAATAATATGCACATATAAAATAAGCACATATTATTATGTGCTTATTTTTATGGGATAGGCCGGGTGCAGTGACTCACACCTGTAATCCCAGTACTTTGGGAGGCCGAGGCAGGTGGATCACATTAGGTCAGGAGTTTGAGACCAGCCTGGCCAACATGGCAAAACCCCGTTGCTATTAAAAATACAAAAATTAGCCAGGTGTGGTGGCACATGCCTGTAATCTCAGCTACCTGGGAGGCTGAGGCAGGAGAATCTCTTGAACCCGGAGGTGGAAGTTGCAGTGAGCTGAGATCGCACCATTTCACTCCAGCCTGGGAGGCAGATCAAGACTCTGTCTCAAAAAAAAAAAAAAAAGCTGGGATAGATCACTAGAGCCCAAGAGGTTGAGCCTGCAGTGAGCTATGATTGCACCACTGCACTCCAGCCTGGGTAACAGAGCAAGACTCTGTCTTAAAAAAAAAAAAAAAACATAGGTAGGCTACACTGTGAAAGAAGAGCTCTGAGGGAGAACTGGCCCTACTAGATACTACACCATATTTTAAAGCCCATATAATTAAAGCTGTTGGTATTAGTACAAGAAAAAAGCGCACACACATTGTAACCAGTCAGAAGATAGTATTAAAATTGAATATTTGCCACAAATATCACAAATACAAGTGATAGTTCTAATATAAAAAGACCTTTTAAGTATTGCGAGAGAAAAGACCAAAATTCTAGAGAAAAATGGGTTGAAGGCACAAATAGACAAGCTGCAAAAGACATAAATTGCTTTGTGAACATGTGAAAAAATGCTCAGCTGTACTTATAATAAGAGAAATGCAAACTAAAACCACACTAAAATACCATTTCTTACTCGTTACAATAGCAAAAATTTTCAACTTAATACACTTTTGACGAAGTGTCGGAGAGACACTCATATGCCAGTGGGCTGGTAGGAATGCAAAATCATGACCCTTTTGGAGGAGAATTTCTCAATATTTAACAAAACTGTATGTGTGTGTGTGTATGTATACACACAGTTAGAATTAACAATTTTTCTAGGAAGGGTAGAGGGAGGAGAGATGAGAGATTGATTAATGGGTACAAATATACAGTTTGATAGAAGAAATAAAACCTAGTGTTTGATAGGTCAGTAGGGTGACTGTAGTTTACAAAACTATTATATATATCTATGTATATACACACACATATACATACGTATATTATATATATATATATATATTTTTTTTTTTTTTTGAGATGGAGTTTCACTCTTGTTGCCCAGGCTGGAGTACAATGGCAAGATCTCAGCTTACCGCAACCTCTGCCTCCCGGGTTCAAGCGATTCTCCTGCCTCAGCCTCCCGAGTAGCTGGGATTACAGGCATACGCCACCATGCCCGGCTAATTTTGTATTTTTAGTAGAGACGGGGTTTCTCCATGTTGGCCAGTCTGGTCCCAAACTCCCGACCTCAGGTGATCCGCCCGCCTGGACCTCCCAAAGTGCTGGGATTACAGGCGTGAGCCACTGCGCCTGGCCTATTTTATAGTCCAAAGTGACTAGAGGAGAATAATTGCAATGCTTCTTGCATAAAGAAAAGGCAAATATTTAACGATGTGATGGATATCCCAATACACTGATTTCTTTACAAATTATGAATGTGTTAAATTATCGCATGCACCCCCAAAATATATATGTCTGTTACGTATCAATAAAAAATTTTAAAAATCTAAGAATTTACTTTGAAGATATAACTATTAAAATATATTTGAAAATACATATGCACAAGATAACCTGCTGCAACATTTTTATAATTGCAAAATACTGGAAATAGTCTGACTTAGAAACCTACAAGATTGTTTTAGTTAATTATGCACATATACACTATGGAATACTATCCAAGTTAAAAAAAGGAAAAGAATGATACCTATGAACTGATACGGAGTGGTTTTCAGTATATATTGCTTTGTGGAAAATAAAAATGTGAAATAGAGAGTATGCTACTTTTTTTTTTTTTCCTGAGACAGAGTTTCACTCTTGTTGCCCAGGCGTGAGCCACCGCGCCTGACAAGAGTATGCTACTTTTTGTGTATGAAAGAAGGGAGAGGCCACCGCTGGCTCACACTTGTAATCCCAGCACTTTGAGAGGCCGAGGTGGGTGGATCACCTGAGGTCAGGAGTTCAAGACCATCCTGGCCAACATGGCAAAATGCTGTCTGTGCTAAAAACACAAAAATTAGCTGGGCGTGATGGCAGACACCCGTAGTCCCAGCTACTCAGGAGGCTGAGGCAGGAGAATTGCTCGAACCCGGGTGGCAGAGGTTGCAGTGAGCCAAGATCGCGCCATTGCACTCCAGCCTGGGCTACACAGAGCGAGACTCCGTCTCAAAAAAAAAAAAAAAAAAAGTATACTGGAGTTCTTTGTACTAACAGCTTTTCCGTGTATTTGAAATTATTTCATAATAAAAAGAAAGCAAGCTGGACAGGTAGGCAAGCTTGAGGTCCAATCATAGGACGCTTAAGTTAGTAAATTTGAAATCCTGAGGTCCTTGACCAGTGGATGGTGGGTACTGAAGGAGGGTATGGGAAATGCTGGTATAGCAAATAGTATGCATCCCATTTTCCTCTGCCTGCCTTTTAGCTCCTCAACACTGAGTTATGTTCCAGTGATCCTTTTCTCCCTAATTTCTCCCATGAGAGCCAGTCTGTAGTTGGTTTTTCAACAAACATCTGTGAAAGAAAACCGAAGTTTTAAATGACTTCTCATGGTTATTTTTTTTCCTTTCTCTTGCAGGACATTGGGGACACATTGAGCAGGTATAGTTTTCTGTTTCCCTAGTGTTAAATCAAATATGAGAAGACTGTCTCCTTCACATTTGTAAATCCTGAAAGGAGCCCTGAGCCTGAGGATGGACATCTTATCAAATTGACACATATCCCTGAAGAGAGTCACTAGTATACAAAGAATTAGATGAACCACAGCTCTACTCAGTAAAATTCAGGAAGTAGGGGGTTCATGTGGGAGGCTGCCGGTGGATTAGGGGTATGAGGACACTTCCATGGAGAGGGTGTGGCCTTACAGGGACCTGGGCTGAATATAAGGGTAGTTTATGTCTATTGCTTCCTATACATTTCAGAATCCTTTCCCCCTTCATTATCTCATTTTTTTTTTTTTCTGTAATGGGGGAAATAAAGCCTAAGAAAGGTGTGACTGGCCTGCATTTACATAATTACTGATGAGCCACCTGGATTCTGGCTCTTATTCTTACTCTTGCTATTTCTCTATGTTCCATCAAAAAAAAAAAAAGTGAGGAAGAACTCCCTGGCAGCTGGAACACGATCAAAGAGGGAGAGCTTGGAGGGGGCAGTAAGCCAGGGCAAAGTTGTTTTGCAGGATGGATGACGAGGCAAGTGGGATGGGCCTTGGGAAGCTCATGTTTGGTGTAAGAATGCCTTCAGGGGTGGAAACTGACTTTGAGGAAGCTGTACTGTGAAGGTGATTAAGATCCTGAATGGTGAAAACCTTCTAAAGCAAAATGCAGCTTGACTATGTGGGAGCATTTAAGGAGATTGGGGAGGTCCTTATAGATGGGGCAGTTTGGCTGGGAGGCCTGTGTTGATAGAATCATGTTGATGGAATTGAGGTTCCTGAGGGATCCTAGGATGGAGATAAGGTGGAGTTCATACCAGTCCCAGCCAGATGACCTAAGCAAATAATACTGTTACCTGATACTTTATGATGCCAGTCTAGCTGTGACCTAACATACAGAGTTAGCTGCCTCAGACCCTAGCAGTTTGTGACATTAAGGATTGAATTTGGCTATATAAGATAGGAAACCCAAAATTTTATTGGCTTAAGGCTTAAACATAATAAAAGAAATGTGCAGGTTGGGTGCGGTGGCTCACACCTGTAATCCCAGCATTTTGGGAGGCCAAGTCAGGTGGATCACCTGAGGTCAGGAGTTCGAGACCAGCCTGACCAACATGGTGAAACCCCATTTCTACTAAAAATACAAAAATTAGCTGGGCGTGGTGGTGCATGCCTGTAATCCCAGCTACTTGGGAGGTTGAGGCAGGAGAATTGCTCAAACTCTTGTGGCGGAGGTTGCAGTGAGCTGAGATCATGCCACTGCACTCTAGCCTGGGCGACAGAGCCTGACTCCCTCTCAAAAGAAAAAAATAGTAAGAAATGTGCAGGTAGGTAGTCTGTGGCTAGTGTGGTAACTCCAGTGATCCTCAGAGACTCAGGTTTCTTCCCATTCACTGTTCTACCATCCCTAAGGTATGGTCCTCATATAGTCCACAATAGCTGGTAGAATGCCAACCAAGAAGAAGGAGATAAGTCGCATCACATTACCTTTTTTTCTTCGTTTTTTTTTTTTTTTCATTTTTCTTTTTTGTAGAGGCAGGGTCTTACCATGTTGCCCAGGCTGGTCTTGAACTCCTAGCCTCAAAGTAATTATCCCACCTTGGCCTCCAAAAGTGTTGGGATTGCAGGCATGAGCCACTGTTCCCGGTCATGTTACATTTTTAAGTAGATTTCTCAAAACACCATGAGATACGTCTTACTTCTCATAGGCCAGAACTTAGTCACAAGGTCACATCTAGCTATGAGGGACTGGGCAGCTGTGAGCCATAAAAGGCAGAAGATGGCAGAAGGGGTATTGGATAGGCAACTGGCAGTCTTTGCTATAGACATCCTTGCAGGGCTAGGGAATTGGGTAATGTCCCCCACAGTGCCTTTCTATCTGAACATGTCATTCTTTCCATATTTGGGAACCTGAGAATTCGGGTTAATTGCCCACCATAAATATCAAGGACTGTCATGGAATCTAGTGCTTTCTGGCAAAGTCAGCCTCATATGTAATTCAGTAAACCTTTTTGAGTACTTAGTATTTGAAAAGCTGTGAGCTAGGTGCTTTGGGGGGTATGAGAATGAGTACAGTATCCTATTTTGGTCTAGAGGATCATAGCTCAGGAAGAGAAGGTGGGAAAAGCTGTAGTGGCTGATTTTAAAGACTGTCCGTGTACGCTAGACAGTTTAACTTAGCCCCTGTCCTAGTTCCTGGAAGGTCATGGAATTGGGAAAAAGAATTTACTTGGGCCGGACGTGGTGGCTCACGCCTGTAATCCCAGCACTTTGGGAGGCCGAGGCGGGAGGATCACCTGAGGTCAGGAGTTCGAGACCAGCCTGACCAGTATGGAGAAACCCCATCTCTACTAAAAACACAAAATTAGCTGGGTATGGTGGCGCATGCCTGTAATCCCAGCTACTCAGGAGGCTGAGGCAGGAGAATCGCTTGAACCTGGGAGGCAGAGGTTGCGGTGGGCCGAGATGGCGCCATTGCACTCCAGCCTGGGCAACAAGCGAAACTCCATCTCAAAAAAAAAAAAAATTTACTCATGTTTTTTAAATTTAGGGCTGAAAGAATCAGGATTCCTGAACCTTGGATCACACCTCCAGATTTGCAAGAGAAAATCCACATTTTTGCCCAAAAATGTCTATTCTTGACGGAGAGTCTAAAGCAGTTCACAGGTAATGTGAGGAGAGGTGTCATGAGGGGAAATGGATTTATACTGAGTATCTGCATATTGCCTGATGAAGAGGATAATTTTCCAGCCAGATAGTGGGATGCAGACTGAATATTTTCTTGTTTTCTTTTCTTAGAAAAAATGCAGTCAGATATGGAGAAAATCCAAGGTAAATTTATCTACCTACTGGGCTTTTGATGTAAAGTTGCTTGGAAAAAAGAACATCTGCACTGAAAGTGGGAAATGTGGGATAAGGGTGATACCCATTGGCCAGCCTTCCCTGATATTTTACATCTTCCCTTTGGTCTTAATTAATTTTCTCAATTAACAGCTTCTTGTTCTAATTTGAAGTTTGTTAACTGTATTTAGTCAATTCGCAGTCTGCATTGATGGAGGAGAAAAATAAGCAATCCAAAAATTAATCCAGAATTAATTTGATTGTTTACTTCGGAAAGAATGAACAAAAACTACCTTGGATACGTTTCACTTGAGCCAGTGTTTATCATTGTAATTTACTGAGTTCCTACTGCTTGTGGGCACAGGTGCCAGCTCGGGCTGGAGGAATCCAGCAGCACTGACAGGCAGCACCGCCAGGGACATGGTTAGGAGCGGGCAGTCAGGAGTCAGGCTGCCTGGGTTCTGGGCCTGCCTCTACCACTTAGTAAGGATTCAACAAGTAATTTCCTCATCTGTAACAGAACAGTAATAGTTCTTACCTCCTGAGGTATAAGAATTAAGGTTATTTACCATTTCTAACACTTCTAGAATAGAACCTGACACATAATAAGTCCTATATTTATGTTTATTAAATCGTTCTAGGCATTTGGAGAAGCTTTTCCAAATTAAAATTTTTCTGCTCACGAGCCACATTCAGTAAAGAGTTGGCCATATATTATTCCACCCAGGAATACTAAAATTCCTGGGCAGTCTGGTGGATTCTGAAATCCTTATATGTAGGTAAACCCTTCTCTTAATTATTAGAAATTACAAACCCCCACAATCTTTGATAATTTTCTATTTTGTATATGCTGGGTTCATATATGCATTGCATCTATTCAGATATATACTTTTTGGGGCATCTAGCAACATAGAGCTAGCAGATACATGTCCTCTACAAGCAAGACAAATGGGGAGAAACTCCACTCAATACAGTGGATAATACCAGAAGTGGTTAGTTCAGGCATGACTTTCCTTGATCTGGCTCTTCTTTTCTTGCCACTTAAAAGTCTTAGTGGGATAATGTGTGAAAAATTCTGTTTCAACTATAAAGTGCCTTATAAATGAATGGTCATGTTTACCCCAGAGTGTCAGTGAGTGTCACTTGAGCCATTCAGCT
The DNA here is from genome assembly GCF_000001405.40 of Homo sapiens. Classification (NCBI taxonomy): domain Eukaryota; kingdom Metazoa; phylum Chordata; class Mammalia; order Primates; family Hominidae; genus Homo; species Homo sapiens. Next base: position 217,038 of record NT_167249.2, on the reverse strand, counting down.
CTTGTACACAGATGACTTATGCAACTCAAAAGTTATGTATGACGTGGGGTTGGAACCGCGTTTCCCTCTGCAGAATCAGCTGACTCACTGGAAGGTGGAATTCTTGATCTTGGCTCAGTTTTATCCCATATTCTACCAGTCTCAGGCATGTGGTTATCCCTGTACTTAAGATTCCCAATCCCTCTCCCCTTAAAGCTTTTGGTTGGATGATAGAGCCATACATCATATGAAAAAATTAGTGCATGACTAACAACAGAGGTTCTGGGGTTTCTGGTGGAGACCACTGCTTTATGATGACTAACCAAAGCCCCCTTAGTTATGTATTTCCTGGAAACCCTCATGACTTCCATAACTTTGCTCTTTTATTCTTTCAGAATTAAGAGAGGCTCAGTTATACTCAGGTAGGTGATGAGAGACAAAACCATATTAGGGTAAGGAGTAAAAATCCTTGTGAACCTAACTACTATTATGAATGATTTGGAAATTGCTTAGATTTGGATTCTTTTGGTTACATGTATAAAGATGATACACAACAACCACAAAAATCCTCAGTTGTTTCTATGTGTTAACAGTATCTTTGCCTCCTGAAATGTCTCAGAGCTGAAGCCATAGGGTAAAATCAATCTCAGGTGTTAAAGAAGGATTATAGGGTGGAAACCGCAGTTCCCCAAAAGTAGAACAGAGCTGGTACACTAGTACACTGCTCTGCCCGCCCAGCTTCAGGGTCAAACCATGGTTTGTGACAAGCAGGACTGATTGAGCTCCACAATAGTGCTCTTGAGTGCTAGAGGAAGTCTAGGAGTCTTGTGTCATCCCATCACTGTGCCTCAGAGCAAAGTTTGAAACTTCCCTTCCCCCTCACAACCGCTTTCACCCTACTATAGAGCCTGGGTAAATTTAACATTGCAGAAGTATTCAAATCTAAGGTGTATTCGTCCCATAGTCACAGTCACCTTCTGTTATGAATTATCCTCTAAATGAAGAGAAGGACTCTACATACAGTGGATCTGCAGTCCTTGGTGTGCAGTGGCTCTGATCCATATTTATTTTCAACAAGTATTAAATGAGTACTTTGCTTGTATCCTACACTGCCTAACATTGTGCAGGGTATTTTAGAGGAACAGAAGAGCATAAGTCATCCTACTCTTGGGGTTTACATTGTCTGGTTGGAGGTATACCCATGACACAAGAAGAAGGTAGGCAGCTGTTGTAGACAGATTGTTGAACCAGGAGCCAAGGGTTCTGGGGTTCTTGGTTACCTCTATCAGTTGCCTGTCTTTTGTGGGAGTAAAAATTTGTGGGCTTAAATTTCTGAGAGGTAATGTTTGGGACTCTTCCTCCTGAACAAGATGTGAGGAGCAAATGAGAGAATACATATCAGTATTTTTATTTATTTATTTATTATTTTAATTTTTTAAATTTTTTATTATTCATTTTAGAGGCAGGTTCTCTGTTGCCCAGGCTGGTGTGCAGTGGCATGGTGATAGCTTGCTGCAGCCTCATACTCCTGGGCTCAAGTGATCCTCCTGCCTCAGCCTCCTGAGTAGCTGGAATTACAGGCATGCACCACCATGCTTGCCTAATTTTTTTACTTTTATTTTTTGTAGAGACAGGGTCTCAAACTCCTGTATGCAAGCAATCCTCTTGCCTCAGCTTCCCAAAGTGCTGAGATTACAGGCATGAGCCACATATCCAGCCCATTATCAGTGTTTTTGAAGCAGGAAAACACTTGATGATAGCAAGATGCTGTAATACTAAATGCCAGAGGAGATGACATGGGTCATACACAGTTTTAGATTTCAGAACAGTAAGTGTAATGGCCTGGGCAGATTAAGAAAAACTTGGAGGATGTGTGTTTTGGACTGGACATTAGAAGAAGATGAATAGAGCTTCGATGTGCAGAGTAAAGATCTTATAGAATGGATAAAAGAGTGATTTGGGCTGGGTGTAGTGGCTCACACCTGTAGTCCTAACACTTTGGAAGGCTGAAATGGGAAGTCTGCAGTGAGCCATGATTATGCCACTGTACTACAGTCTGGGTGACAGAGTGAGACCTCATCTCAAAAAATAAAAAAAAGTAAAAAATAATTTTAAAAGAGTGATTTAAAAAGTAAGCATACTGATACAGGTTCCCAGTCCCTTACCCACAGTTCTAAAATCCCAAATCTCTGAAAGCCAAAACCTTTTTCATTATTTTGTGGGAAATTAATTATAGCATCAAAACCTGAATTTATGTGGTACTGTTTAGAGCCTTTATCCTTCATTATGTAAACATTCATGAATCTCACAGCAGATCTATTAATACTTCATTATAGAATGCTGCCTGTCTAAAACCTGTAATATTCTGAATTCTGTGAAACTTGGGGCCCCTGGAATTTTCAGAATAAGGGATGATGAGCGTGTAAGAAAACCTCAATTCAGCGTATCTGCCAGGCACAGTGGCTCATGCCTGAAATCCCATTGCTTTGGGAAGTTGAGGTGGGAGGATTGCTTGAGGCCAAGAGTTCGAGACCATCCTGAGCAACATAGTAAGACCTCATCTCTACAAAAAATTTTTTAAAATTAGGGTGGTAGTGCACACCTATGGTCCCAGCTACTTGGGTGTCTTAGGCGGGAGAATCACCTGAGCCCAGGAGTTTGGGGTTACAATGAACTATGACCACACCACTGCACTCCAGCCTAGGCAACAGAGCAAGACCCTATCTCTTAAAATCAGTTCATGATGGATATTGTGGCTTCAGATGTGAAAGAAAAGATACGGGGCTAAAATTCTGTATTTTCAGTGTATTCTGGTAACCAGCTAATCCAAGCAGTAATTTTTGAAATGTGAAGTTTAGAATATATTCTAAATAAAATACGTGCAACCTCCAGTGGGAACCTCTTATTATTGGGGAGGTAGTAGAAAGGCGCTGGGTGTTCTAAAATAGGCTCTCCTGGCCCACGGCTGACTGTCTTCCTTGTGTCTCTGCAGTGGACGTGACTCTGGACCCAGACACGGCCTACCCCAGCCTGATCCTCTCTGATAATCTGCGGCAAGTGCGGTACAGTTACCTCCAACAGGACCTGCCTGACAACCCCGAGAGGTTCAATCTGTTTCCCTGTGTCTTGGGCTCTCCATGCTTCATCGCCGGGAGACATTATTGGGAGGTAGAGGTGGGAGATAAAGCCAAGTGGACCATAGGTGTCTGTGAAGACTCAGTGTGCAGAAAAGGTGGAGTAACCTCAGCCCCCCAGAATGGATTCTGGGCAGTGTCTTTGTGGTATGGGAAAGAATATTGGGCTCTTACCTCCCCAATGACTGCCCTACCCCTGCGGACCCCGCTCCAGCGGGTGGGGATTTTCTTGGACTATGATGCTGGTGAGGTCTCCTTCTACAACGTGACAGAGAGGTGTCACACCTTCACTTTCTCTCATGCTACCTTTTGTGGGCCTGTCCGGCCCTACTTCAGTCTGAGTTACTCGGGAGGGAAAAGTGCAGCTCCTCTGATCATCTGCCCCATGAGTGGGATAGATGGGTTTTCTGGCCATGTTGGGAATCATGGTCATTCCATGGAGACCTCCCCTTGAGGAGGTGAATTCAGGCCAAAAGGGCTGTTGGCTGTAATCCTACGCCAGGCACAAGGCATCTTGTTGCCTTGCCACGTCCTGTCACAGCTGGGTATCCTTACCATGTTCCACGCCCTTGCAGTGGGAGACAGGATGTCCATGTTCTCTACCATCCTTTTCCTTCCCATGCAGATTGTGAAATGTAATGAGATGTATCAAGATATCCTAGAAATAAAAACCAGATGTCCACCTCCAGTGTTTCATACTTTCTGGTTTTACACATCGCTGGAGGGATAAAGAGTATGGATAATCTTTGGATTTGGAGAGCCGTTCAAGATACTTCCAGCTTCTTGGCTCAGCCTGGCTTCCTCTGGTTCAGCCCCACATAATGATTATGGCTATTTGCTGTCATTTCTGGGCTAGGGCTCCTTTCTAACAACCTAGACTGGAATAAGGCCCTGTCAGCATGGCTCCCTTTATCCCAGTTTTCCGTCTGGGAACAGTACCTCTGCCCCTGATTCCCAATGTGCCATAGTTTTATTAACTCCATTAAAGAAGCCTGTATGTGTTTTGGTTAGTTACAGTTATTTTACAATAATGGTGGGTAATGGCCCCACCTCTGTTATGAGATAATGTTCTAATCAATGTCTCTGCCTTTGTATCTTTTCTGAGGGCTTTGTCTGTTCTCTTCATTCTAATGAAAGGTGTATTCTAGTGCTGGGTGCATATCATCCAGGATAATATTCTGCCCAACTCCATCCTCTGTTACTAGATCCCTTACCAGTCACATTTGTGGACTGGTGGCCAGTCGTATACCATCCCTGGAAGGATTCTGGGACAATATTCCAGGGATTCATTGACTTCTTGGCTCCTTTTCTCCATTTCCTTTGGGGGAAGGGGGAATTGACCATGCTTAAGTGCATCCTATCAAGGGGCAGCTCCGTCCCCATGGCCATTGGATCATGAGACACTCTGAAGTCAGAAGGCTGGGGCAGATCACTTCAAGCAAGCCCCCATGATGGTTCTCAGTCCTGCTTCTCTGTGGGTACGTGCCCCTCTGTTTAAAAATAAACTGAATATGGATGTTTACATTGTTGTTGCTTTCTGGGTGTTGGTAGGATTGGGTTCAGATGTTGGAATGCGTGTGGGGAGGAAATGGTTAATGGTGTTGCTTTCCCATATGGGTGCAAAAATCCCACTCTGGCCAATAGTTTACTTCAAACTGGAAAATAAAACCACTTTCTCAGTGCCATGTCACTACTTTCTAGTGGTGCTAAGAAAGTAGTGTTGGACATTCATAGCCTACAGTTCTTTTTTTTTTGAGGTGGAGTCTTGCTCTGTCGCCCAGTCTAGAGTGCAGTGGCACGATCTCGGCTCACTGCAACCTCTGCCTCCCAGGTTCAAGCGATTTTCCTGCCTCAGCCTCCTGAGTAGCTGGGACTACAGGCGCCTACCACCGCGCCCGGCTAATTTTTTGTTTTTAGTAGAGACGGGGTTTCACCATCTTGGCCAGGGTGGTCTTGAACTCCTGACCCTTGTGATCCACCTGCCTTGGCCTCCTAAAGTGCTGGGATTACAGGCGTGAGCAACCGCGCCCGGCCTGCCTACAGTTCTTATATTGGTTAATCCTGTAATTTTACTAGGAAAGTATTTTCTCAAGTCCTTTTTGTAGTATTGTGCCAGGCATTGGGGTTCCATGGCTGAGGTTCATGAGTTGGTGATATCATGTCCTAATTCTTCATTTATTCATCAGGTTTTAAGGGAAATAATAGAACCAGGGCTATAGAAAGTAGCTTCCATGAGGCTAGATTAGCTTTTGCTGAATATTCTGAGATCTAAATGTATACGGTAATATATATACAGGCACATAAATACTACTAACAAACATAGAGCAGTGCTTGGCACATCATATGAAGAGTTTTATGCACAGTAGCTTCCTTAATGCTCATGATAATTTTATCAAGTGTGTACTGTTGTCTTACTTTACAGATAAACTGCAGCAGAGAGGGTAAATGACTTATCCAAGGTACACAGCTAGGAAGCAGCAGAGCCAGGATTCAAACTGAGATGGAACACATGACCACATCAGGTCCTGCCCCACAACATGTGTTATTGGTTATCTTCTAGTTCTTGTGGGTGGTGTGTTTATAGGTATTTATTTATATTTTTAGTTTTAAAAGCCTGCCATTTTGAATGGGATTAAATGAACTTGTGATTCTAAGTTTACTCATCTGCAGAAAGGTAAGCAACTTTTGAGTTCACCGAGTCAGGAATTGAGTCACTAAAGACATATGGGGCCCACTCCGATTCCTTTGACTCCCCTCTCTTTCCTCAGAACATCTGCAATTGTTAATTATACATTACGGTTTCAATAACTTCTTCCTTAATTCTTTTGCTGTTCCAGGAAGTGTGTGTTTGTGCATGCACGTATGTGCACATGCCTGTGTGTCTTCAGGTGCTCTTGTTTTTTCTGATAAAGGCCAACATGCAAAGAAGACCATCTTCCCCAAGAGCAGACAAGGCCTAGAAGAGATAGGTTCAAAGAATAAAGGGAAACTGAACATGGCCCATACCCTCCACCATGTACAATTAAGTGAGAAGATGAGAGAATGCATGTAACAGCCTAACACTTAAAGGCACTATGAAATTAAGAGCAAATAACTGTCAGATGGTAAATGAGAGCCATTTGCTAATGCCTTTAGTTACCTGAGATGCAGACCAAAGAGTATACGTGGAAATCACGTATCTCCTCCCAGCAAAATAAAAAACAAAACTCAAAAGGTTCTTAGCATACCAATGGTGGTTGAGTTGCTTCTTCACAAATGAAAAACATTCTTTTATTCAAATAGACAATTCAACCAGTGTTGGGTGCCCCAGCTGAACTTGCTCCTGAAGAGAATACAAGAGAGCATGGCTTCTATCCTTTGAAAAGTTAATTAGGAGAGGGGGAAAATAACGTGAAAAAATGTAGAGTACAACTAAAGATGATCTGGGGAGAAGTGAAACTTGTGCTCCAGGAGACCTCATTGCAGACCACAGTAATGTAAGAGGAAGCCTAAATGCCTGGGCTATGTTTCTTAGTGCCCTTTTTCTTGAGACTAAGAGACTTGCCCACTAGCTCCGTCCTGCACTAAATTTTGACTTAATGATATAAGCACATTACTAAATCCTGCACTTTGTTGAAACCAGAAATTCCTCCTATATGAAGTCTGTGAGAGTAATAATAAATCCCAACCAAACCAGCGTTAGAGAAAGGGTCTCACTTTGTCACCAAGGCTGGAATGCAGTGGCAAGATTATTACTCACTGCAGGCTCGAACTCCTGGGCTCAAGGGATTCTTCCTCCTCAACCTCCCAAAGTGTTGGGATTACAGGCATGGGCCACCATGCCAGGCCAAATAGTACTTCCATTTGACAGTATTGCCCCATTACATTTCCTTTTTCCCGTTGGAGAAAAGATACATTTCTTAGATCTGGCTTATCTGTTGAATTAATTTTGCATTTGAAGTTTGAAATGTAAGCAGGACATTTGAAGGTAACCTTTAGAGATACACACATCTCTACCAGATTCTTTGTTTAGAGGATGTGAAGAACTTGGATTTGTATGGGATGTGATTGCCAAACCCATTTTAGGGTTCTGATGCACAAAAAGAATAATAGAAAAAAGTGAGAATTAGAAAGATTTGAACCTACATATTTCTTTAAAAACTGGGAAGAAATATGCCAAAATATTAGCATAGATGCTTTTGATGAGACTTGGTGATTTTTTTTTTTTCTGTATTGAATGAACTCTTCACTATGGAAACCTGTAACCATATACAAAAATGAAGAAAATACACAGCGAACCCTCCTATATCATCTCCCAACTTCAACTACCAATTTATGGTCAGTCTCATTTGAATACAGCATCATCTCAATTTCCACCCCAATCTCTGTTACTCTCACGTAATCCTGGACATACCAGAAAACCAAGTTATATGAACCTCAAACAAAACAGTCAAGGGACTCATTTCAAGGTTGGAAATTAAATCCTGTTTTTTTGTTTTGTTTATTTCATTTTCATAGACCACCATTGTTAGCTTCTTTCCTTTTTAGTCCCTCTGCTTCCCTCTTCAAATAATTTGTCAGGCCTTTTAAAATTCCTCTTACAGATGTTTTCATAAAAATGTAGAATGGCCTGTGGGGAGTCTTATTGTGCAATAAATATTATTAGTAAATAGTTAAAATATTGACATATTTAATTATATTTTACCTTATTCCAAAAAGGACTTAAAGCCATTTAAAACATAAAATCATGTCTGGGCTCGGTGGCTCACACCAGCACTTTGGAAGGCTGAGGCGGGCGGATCACCTGAGGTCAGGAGTTCAAGACCAGCCTGGCCAACACGGTGAAACCCCATCTCTACTAAAAATACAAAAATTAGCCAGGTGTGGTGGTGCATTTCTGTAATCCCGACTCGGGAGGCTGAGACGGGAGAATTGCTGGAACCCAGGAGGCGGAGGTTGCAGTGAGCCAAGATTGCACCACTGCACTCCAGCCTGGGCAGCAGAGCAAGACTCCATCTCAAAAAAAACCAAAACAAACCCATAAAATCAAGACATCAGGAGTTTAACATGCCATAAAGGAAGAAAGAAAAAATACGGCACAGCCGGGCGCGGTGGCTCACGCCTGTAATCCCAGCACCTTGGGAGGCCCCGGCACGCAGATTACGAGGTCAGGAGTTCAAGACCAGCCTGGCCAACATAGTGAAAAACCCCATTTCTACTAAAAATACAAAAATTAGCTGGGCATGGTGGCACGAGCCTGTAGTCCCAGCTACTTGGGAGGCTGAGGCAGGAAAATTGCTTGAACCTGGGAGGCAGAGCTTGAAGCAAGCCGAGATTGCGCCACTGCACACCAACCCGGGTGACAGTGCGAGACTCCGTCTCATTAAAAAAAAAGATGGCACAAAAAATGACCAGGATTAGAAGTGAATCTATAGTATGAAAACTACGAGGACACTAAATGTGGGCCACAGTTGGGTTTTAAAAATTGACATGGGAACATTGTTAATTGTATAGCTTCTAGTTTCTGTAAGATGGAAGTAACTAAATGTTTAAGGGACATAATGGGATTCTTGTTAATAAGAGATAGGAATTTCTGCTTGGGTTCTTGGTAAATAGAAACTGTATCCCAAGAGTTTACTTTTCATAAAATAAGTCTTACAAATCAATAAGGAAAGATGGACACCTCATAAAAATTTGGTAAGCAATTTACTGAGGAAGGAGTATAAAAATCCTTTAAACATGAATATTGGACCTCACTAATAATCAAATCAGAAAAAAAAGGGGGGGCGCTATATCATTTGTTACCTATTAAAATGTGCCAGGAGCGGTGGGTCACGCCTGTAATCCCAGCACTTTGGGAGGCCGAGGCGGGCACATCATTTGAGGTCAGGAGTTTGAGACCAGCCTGACCAACATGGTGAAACCCTGTTTCTACTAAAAATACAAAAAAAAATTAGCTGAGTGTGATGGCTCATGCGTGTAGTTCCAGCTACTCGGGAGGCTGAGACGAGAATCACTTGAACCTGGGAGATAGGTTGCTGTGAGCTAAGATCATGCCACTGCACTCCAGCCTGGGCAACAGAGCAAAACTCCGTCAAAACAAACAAACAAAAACTGGATAAACATTGATGTAGGCCGGGCGCGGTGGCTCACGCCTGTAATCCCAGCACTTTGGGAGGCTGAGGCGGGCGGATCAAGAGGTCAGGAGTTCGAGACCAGCCTGACCAACATAGTGAAACCCCGTCTCTACTAAAAATACAAAAATTAGCCGGGCGTCGTGACGGGCGCCTATAGTCCCAGCTACTCGGGAGGCTGAGGCAAGAGAATGGTGTGAACCCGAGAGGTGGAAGTTGCAGTGAGCCAAGTCGTGCTACTGCACTCCACCCTGGGTGACAGAGCGAGACTCCGTCTCAAAAAAAAAAAAAAAAAAAAAAATTTGATGTAATGGTTTCACTTTTAGAAATTTAAGGAAATAATCGTGGATGTTTGAAAATATTTATGTAAGGATAGTTTTTACAGCATTGCTGATGAAAATAAAAAATTAGAAATAATCCAGTTTTCAAGAATACCACTTTGATATGGAATATGTGCAGGAATTAAGATTTATACAAAATATAGTACTTAGCAAGTATATATTCATAATATATTCATTTAGAAAGCAAGTTAGCAAATTATTTACTACACATGACCATTTTTGGAAAAAATGTATACCATATGAAAGACTAAATATATAAAAATGTTAATAGTTACCTCTGACTAGTGAGATTATGGATGATTTTAATTTTTGACATGTTTGTATGTTCTACAATTTGTGTGTACTTTGCAATTAGAAAAAAATAATTATAGTTAGGGTAAGATTACAGTTGCCATGTTGGGAATCACTTCCTGGACAATTTCCTTCCAATCGAAAGAAAATATACAAATCTCATGTATTGGAGGGAGACTGGGGAACCAGTGTTCACTGTACTTCTCACTACTAATTTTCTCTCTATCAAAAATAGGATATGAAACCAAGGAAGTCTGTGGAAATTAAGATAGAGCCTACTGAAACTCAGTTATTTCTCCATGCAGAAAAGAGACCTAACTTTGCCTTACAAAAAGGAAATTTTTTTTATATTAACAAATACAAAAAGTAAGCTATTAGGACAAAATCTAATTAAAATATCCAACTTTATATTTCCTCTATCTGAACCTCACAGCCCCAAATACAAGAGTTAAGACGGTTGAGTTAAAATGTATTTATTGAACCTCTACCGTGTTTGCCAGGCACTGTTACCTGGACGGCATTGGTCTACACATGTTATTTTAGCGGTGTCGCTGGCCTCTAGGGGCTCTTGTTCTAGTGGGAGGGATGATTTCTGTTTAGTTTCAGGGCTCCATTAAAATTTGTGACCTTGGGGCTTCCCGGCCTGGAGCTCAGATTGCTTGGCGAAGGCTGAGAAACAGAAAAGTGGATCAGGCGATGTGGTGCACTCCCCTTAAAAACTACCGCTGTGTTCCCCGACCTGGCAGTGGTCACTTGGAGCCCATTAATCGGGAACATCCGAGAGCGACAAGGAAGGCCGCGGGCGAGCGCGTCGCTCCCGGAGTTTCCCCGGACCTGGGATCGCCGATCCCTCGGCGCGGACACCAGCCTTGCCCATGTGGTGGTCCCTGTGGAGACCTTCCCAGCCGTTCCCGGCTACCACTTTTAGAGCCCAAGACAAACTTCGACGAGTGGCAAGGCAGTGACAAATGGAACCAAAATAGAGGGGCTAAAAGGGGACCTTCCTATAGAACCGGGGTCTTTTGTTAGGGTTTTGTTTTGTTCCTCACCATCTTCCAAACAATGAAGTCCTGGGGGAGGCTAACCACGATCAAGATTTCAGTAAACATCAGACACTGGAGAGCCGACCCAGCGACCGAAGAAGCAAAAGATCTTCTTTCCTTCCTGAAATCTGGGCAGGCTGGGAGCAAAAAAAAAAAAAAAAAACCCGCACACGTTTTTCGAGATGGCGATAACAGTTATAAGGCCCGTAAGAGACTTGATCCAGTTTTATGCAGAAACATTTTCTAGTCCTGCGAACCCTTTTGCTTTTTCAATCCACAAGTGGCTTTCTGCCCTTCTGTTACCAAGCAACCCTGACGTCATCGCGTTTCTGCGTGCGTGCACGACACAGAATCATTGCTTGTTGATCTCTATTTTAGTGCAAAAATCAGGGCTGTTATGCAGTGTGTCAGGATGGCCGAGTGGTCTAAGGCGCCAGACTCAAGCTAAGCTTCCTCCGCGGTGGGGATTCTGGTCTCCAATGGAGGCGTGGGTTCGAATCCCACTTCTGACACATACTTTTCTTTTTCCTCTCCTTACTTTAGAGATATCCTGATCTCAGCAGTAGGCATAAACAATTACCAACGTATATTTTTAAGAATCGGCTTTTAGGTACCGGGCGCGGTGGCTCACGCCTGTAATCCTAGCACTTTGGGAGGCCGAGACGGGTGGATCACGAGGTCAGGAGATCGAGACCATTCTGGCTAACACGGTGAAACCTCGTCTCTACTAAAAATACAAAAAAAATAGCTGGGCGTGGTGGCGGGCGCCTGTAGTCCCAGCTACTCGGGAATGAGGCAGGAGAATGGCGTGAACCCGGGAGGCGGAGCGTGCAGTGAGCCAAGATCGCGCCACTGCACTCCAGCCTGGGGACAGAGCGACACTCCGTCTCAAAAAAAAAAAAAAAAAAAGAATTGGCTTTTAAATTTATCTCAAAGGGCTTGTCCAAACTAAAAACATTAAAAGCGGAAGCATCGCGATATTTTTACGAAGCCGCGAGATTTGGGCCAAAAAACGCCTAATTAAAGGCAGAGGTTACTAGTGATTGGTCTCTGTGCTGCAGTGCGAGATAATCCTGATGTCGCGGGATTCGGAACGCAGATAGCTTCCTGCCTCGCCGAGGGAATGGAGAGAAGGGGCTCTGGGCGGGTTCTTTTCCCGCTTCTCGACCAGGCTCACACTCTGTGTCTCAGATCCAAGCCCTCCCCTAGATATTTCCTGGAGCACTTTCCTACCAATCTCACAACCCTGTGGCTCGTGACAGTGCAGTCTCTTTAAAAATCTTACACAGGTCCTCTGCTCTCCTATTTTCAAAACTCATGTAACCAGTTCTCAAAAATGTCTTTCGTAAATTATGCACATTCACACTCGTTTTGGCATCTGATCATTACCGTTTTGTCAGTCAAAATTGAGTACCATTTTAACCATTGAATGAAATATGAAAGCTGTACGTTCCTCTCGCAAATGTAATCACCGTGAAAAATTTATTGTATTTTTTACATTTCTTTTTTCTCTGCATTCGCATATATATATAACATTTTGTTTTTTTTTTTTTAACAGAAATGTAGTCATGCTATGACATTTTTCACTTAATATATCTTGGGTTCTTTCCATGTGGAACACTTATTCTTTTCTTTTACAGAAGAAATATTGCTGGCCGGGTGCAGTGGCTCAGGCCTGTAATCCCAGCACTTTGGGAGGCCGAGGCGGGCGGATCACGAGGTCAGGAGATTGAGACCATCTTGGCTAACACAGTGAAACCCCGTCTCTACTAAAAATATTAAAAAATACAAAAAATTAGCCGGGTGTGGTGGTGGGTGCTTGTAGTCCCAGCTACTCGGGAGGCTGAGGTAGAAGAATCGCCTAAACCCGGGAGGCGGAGCTTGCAGTGAGCCGACATTGCCCGCTGCACTCCAGCCTGGGCAACAGAGTGAGACTCCGTCTCAAAAAAAATAATAAATAAATAAATAAATAAATAAATAAATAAATAAATAAAACCCTATGGTAGGCCCGGAGTGGTGGCTCACGCCTGTAATCCCAGCACTTTGGGAGGCCGAGGCAGGTGGATCACTTGAGGTCAGGAGTTCGAGACCAGCCTGGCCAACATGGTGAAACCCTGTCTCTACTAAAAACACAAAAATTAGCTGAGTGTGGTGGCAGATGCCTGTAATCCCAGCTACTCAGGAGGCTGAGGCAGGAAAATCACTTGAACCCGGGAGGTGGAGGTTGCAGTGAGCCAAGATTGCACCACTGCACTCCAGCCTGGGCAACAGAGTGAGACTCTGTCACAGGAAAAAACAAAAAACAAAAAAACAAAAACACAAAAACCGTATGGTAAATTTTAAATTTTAAGGTGGTACTTTAGAACACTAGTGTTCCATCTTCTCAGTTTGCTGGCTTTCGGATTAAAAGCAGCTTTTCCTCCCACCAAACCTCCCCTCTAGCATTTGGCTTTGGAGCGGTGAGCAGCAGAATCTGGGTCAGGTTACGCTTTTTTCTCTTCAGTCCCATTAACTCTGGAATCCTAGGTGCCCTCTGCATACTTGGACTCCAAAAACCACTTTCTCCAACAAGAAAACAAAGTAAACTGCAGATTATATAATAGGAGATTTTAAATTCATTTCAAAATTCACTATGGAAGATATGGTTTCTCATCTGGAATCCATCCTGCTTGTCTGGATTTACCTTACTTCTCCCTGCATTGCTCACATTTCTGATTCTTTCATGGAACAGAGTACGTTATCCTCTAAAAGCTTTCACCAAACTGATGGAATTTTCTATTTCTCGCCCCCTACCCCCACCTACTGCTTTTCAAAGTAAAATGGCATTTATCTGTAAGGCGGGATGAAGTTAATATCTGTTAAACCCCCATTTATTTCCAGAAGCTTCCAAAGTCAGCCCAACCTCCCAAGGTTACTTAGCTCTCTAATAAAACAAAAGGTGAACTCCCTGAAAGAATTCTCCTGCAGAATTCTATTATAGCGTTAGAGGAAAAAGCACTGCCACTGTGTAAAATTGTGTAGATTTGGGGTAAAAGGCCAAGGTACTTTCCAGTTTCAATTTTCTTGACTGTCCTGCTGGGCACGGTGGTTTACACCTATAATCCCAGCACTTGGGTGAGGCTGAGGAGGGAGGATCACATGAGGCGAGGAGTTCAAGACCAGCCTGGGCTTGTCTCCAACCCCTCACCCCAACCCCGCCCCCACCCCCACAAATGCTCAACTGCAGTTGAACTGAATTAAATTGCGTTTCTTTCCTTCCTTCCTTCCTTCTTTCCTTCCTTTCTTCCTTCTTTCTCTCTCTCTTTCCCTCCCTTCCTTCTCTCCTTTCTTCCTTCTGTCTCTCTTTCTCTCTCTCTCTCTCTCTTTCTTTCTTGAGACAGAGTCTTGCTGTATCACCCAGGCTAAAGTTCAATGGCGCTGTCTTGGCTCACTGCAACCACTGCCTCGCAGGTTCAAAGGATTCTCCTGCCTCAGACTCCCGAGTAGCTGGGACTACAAGCGTGCACCACCACACCTGGCTAATTTTTATATTTTTTAGTAGAGACAGGGTTTCACCATGTTGACGAGGCTGGTCTCGAACTCCTGACCTTGAGTGATTCGCCCACCTCAGCCTCCCAAAGTGGTGATCCTGGGTTTTAAGCAGAATAGGGGACATACCACTACCCACTTATCGAATGTATTCTAAATAAGTTTTCTTATCCTAAATTTTTTTATATTCCAATACTGGAAACTTTTATTTACAGAAGCCATGTATTCTATACTCTATATGTAGAATACATGGTTCATTAAGGCCAAGATAATTTCCCATTTTGTGTATATCATTACTTATACTACTCATTAAAATAATCTTCAGTGCGGAGAGATTATCTCTTTTCCTCTGCTAAAGACACAATAATCTTTCATTCAGACAAATAAGACATTACATAAGACCTACCTAGTTACATAAAAACAAAGTAACTACACTAGTACTCCTGTCTGTTAAAGGACTATCAGATAAGTCACTGCGGTTATCTGTACATAACAATGCACAATCATCCTAATAATTACTAGTGAATGCCTTTTCTAGATAGAAGAAGCTGAAGATATAAAATCTAAATCTAAATTCGAATGTTAACTTTTGTCTCAACTGACAGAATACCGTACATTGACCAAATAAAGGATTTTATTGAATCACTAAATTTTTACCAGCTTTATTGAGATATAATTTACACACCATTCAATTCAATTCAATCACTTTTAGAATATTCAGAGTTGTGCAAACATTATCACCATCAGTGTTAGAACATTTTTATCACCTCAAGGTAAAAAAAAATACTCCTTAGCAGTCACTCCCCATCTCTCAGCCTCCCCCAACCTGCAGGCAACCGACAATCTATTTTCTATAATTTTTTTTCTTTTCCTTCCTTCCTTCCTTCCTTCCTTCCTTCCTTCCTTTTTATACAGGGTCTCACTCTGTCACTCAGGCTGGAGTGCAGTAGCACAATCATAGCTCACTGCAGCCTTGACCACCCTGGACTCAGGCGATTCCAATATTGGAATATAAAATATTTTAGGATAAGAAAACTTATTTAGAATATGTTCAATAAGTGGGTAGTGGTATGTCCTCTATTCTGGTTAAAACCCAGGATCACCACTTTGGGAGGCTGAGGTGGGCGAATCACTTGAGCTCAGGAGTTCGAGACCAGCCTGGCCAACATGGTGAAACCCTGTCCCTACCAGAAAATACAAAAATTAGCTGGGTGTAGCGGTGCGTGCCTGTAGTCCCAGCTACTCGAGGGGGCGAAGGTGGGAGAATCACTTAAACCCGGGAGGTGTAAGTTGCTGTGAGCCGAGATCACACCAGTGCACTCCAGCCTAGGCAACAGAGACCTTTTGTCTAAATCAATCAATCAATCAATCAATCAATCCCAGGAGTGCAGTGGCGCGATCTCGGCTTTCTGCAACCTCTGCCTCCCCGGTTCAAACGATTCTCCTGCCTGTCTTCCGAGTAGCTGGGAGGCCCGTGCCACCACGCCCGGCTAATTTTTGTATTTTTAGTAGAGACGGGTTTTCACAATGTTGGCCAGGCCTGTCTTGAGCTCCTGACCGCAAGAGATTTGTCTGCCTTGGCCTCCAAAGGGCTGGGATTACAGGCGTGAGCCACCGTGCCCGGCCAGTCTTGTCCATTTTCTCCTTGAAGACCATCTTTCACACTGTCACTATAGTGACTTGCATAAAACTGAAAGCTAATATTACACACACCTTCTTTTTTTTTTTTTGAGACGGATTCTCGCTCTGTCACCAGGCTGGAGTGCAGTGAGGCGATCTCGGCTCACTGCAAGCTCCGCCTCCTGGGTTCACGCCATTCTCCTGCCTCAGCCTCCTGAGTAGCTGGGACTACAGGCGCCTGCCACCACGCCGGGCTAATTTTTTGTATTTTTAGTAGAGACAGGGTTTCACTGTGTTAGCCAGGATGGTCTAGATCTCCTGACCTCGTGATCCACCAGCGTCAGCCTCCCAAAGTGGTGGGATTACAGGCGTGAGCCACCGTGCCTGGCCTACACACATTCTTAGCATCTGTTAATGGTTCAATTCATTATCCTGGCAACAAGACTGTTCATGATGTAGCTTACATTTTCAGCTTTATCTCCTTTCGCCTTCATATTCAATCTGTGTTCTAGCTAGACCAAACTGTTCTCAACTGTCTGAAAGTACCATTTTAAAAGTGCCTTAATAACTTTGTATGTATATACTTTCCATCTAGAAAGCTTTTACTGCCTTCCCTTTTTCTGACTATTTGTATTTATGTTTTAAGATACGCCAATCAACCATTCCGCTGCAAAACTTTCTGTTTGATTCTCTCAGGCAGTTAGATGTTTCCTTCTTTGCACTCCCAAAGCTCTTATGCTTCACTCTTATAGTATTTACCACACTGCCTTGTAACTGAAGGACATCTCTAGGTTGTGGCCTTCAAGAGGGCATCTTATTCGTCTTTATACCAGGTATATAGCAAGGAACTACTATACACAAGACTTGCTACAAAGCTACTTACATGACATTTTAATAACCAAGAAAGAATTTGTAGAAATAGCAAGTAACATTTCTTAATCCTTTTCAATTTAAGATAAGCAACATGTTGGGATACTGAGATGTGACAACAATGGTAACAATAGCAACTCACACTTAATAATGCTTACAGTGTGTCAGACACAGTTTTGTGTGCTTTCATAACCCTTTGAGGTTGCAACTGTTGTCCATGTTTTGTAGGCAAAGATACAGATGCACAAAGTTATGTGACTTGCCTAAGGTCATATAGCCAACAAGATAGGAAACACTGAAACTAGAGTTTAGTGTGAATTTGTGTGTGTTCAAATCCTTCATTTACAGCTAAATTTGCAAATCTGTTGAAGGAAAGGGAAATAGAACTTACTGCTCTTATTTAGCAGTGAAATTTAAATAATTTTTTGTTGTTTTATTTCAGAAGGTGAGTGTAGGTTTATTTATTATTTTTGAGACAGAGTCTTGCTCTGTTGCACAGGCTGGAGTGCAATAGCACAATCACTGCAGCCTTGACCTCTTGGTTCAAGCAATCCTCCCATCTCAGCCTCCTGAGTAGCTGGGACTACAGGTACACACCACCATGAGCAGCTTTTTTTTTTTTTTTTTTTTTTTTAGAGATGGGGTCTCATGATGTTGCCTAGCTTGGTCTCAAACTCCTGGGTTCAAGTGATCCTCCTACCTCAGCCTCCCAAAATGCTGGGATTACAGGTATGAGCCACCATGCCTGGACTGAGTATAGGTTTAGAAAGCTAAGCATGACTTCAGGGTTCCAAAAAGTACTGAAGAAGTAGCATCTCACTCACTGTTCCTGGGAAGATGGAAAAGTGATGATCCCTTAAATCCTGCAATTGAAAACATTTGTGACCCTGAGGGCAGGTATGAGAGGCACTAAGAAAATCCTTTGTTGGTGAGACAGAGAACATTTTCACCCCAGGAAAAAGAGATCATAGAGAAGTCATGAAAACTGTACTGAACAAAATACTTATGGGAAAGAGGGGTTGTAAAAGTGATGAATGTAGACAGTTCTTCACTAAGAAATCAAATCTTATTCAACAGCAAAGGATCCACACTGAAGAGAGACCCTGTAAATACAAAGTTTGTGGCAAGCCTTCAGTGGGAACACTAGCCTCTATCTCCAGAAGATCCACACTGGGGAGAACCCTTATAAGTGTGATGAGCATAGAAGGGCCTTCACCGTGAAAGCCTGCATTATAGAAGCTGTATTTTCACAGACACTATGAATGTGATCAGTGTGGCAAGACTTTCATTTGGAGCTCAGATCTTAGTAAACATCAGAGGCTTCATACTGGAGGGAAATCCACAAGCGTAATGTATGCAATAAGACCTTCAGAATTCTGACCATCTCAAACATCAGAGAATACATACTGGAGAGAAACCCTACAAATATCTTATGCATGGGAAAGCTTTTAATCAGAGCCCACTCTTTCTTAAGCATCATAGAGTACACACTGAGAGAAACCTTATCACTTTAAGGAATGTGGAGAAAGCTTTAGTCACAATGGAGGCCTGACATCGTATGAGAGACTGCACACAAGAGAGAAGTCTTATAAAAGTAAAGTATTTGGGGAAGTCTGCATTGAGAGCTCACACTTCATTAACTATCCCAACATTCATACAGGGGAAAGACTTCCTCATTGCCCTGAATATGGAAAATGCTTTACTCAAAATGAAGGTCTTATTTCCCATCAGAACCTTTTTAGACATTAAAAAGAAAACCCATATCAGAGAAAAAAGATATATACCTCTGATGAATGTGTGTAAAACTTTGTGTTTCTCTAGTAATTGACCTTTAGAGAGTAGATATAGAAGGGAAATATTTTGAATATAACAATTTTGAAATGTTTGAATGGCAGCTTCTTGCCTCACTTAACATTAGTAAATTTGTCAAGAGCATGCCCAGGAAATGGGTTGGCTAGAACTTGTTTTAGCAGAAATAAATGTGTTTTCAGTCATTATCCTCCTTAAGGAAAGGGTCAGTCTCACCCAGTGACCACTTCTAAGTTCCCGACTCTTAGATGGGAAATGAAGAGTATTTTGTGTGAGCCTGTAGATGTTTGAAAACTTTGATATTCAGAGGGTAGGCGAAATGGTCACTCACTCCTGAGACTTCCTTTGTGAAAACAGAGCTTTGTAATATTTGTGATTCCCTGCTCTCTCTTTCAGGAAAAGATGCTCACTATATCCAATAAAGCTTATAAAATACTGGGTATCAGTTGAAAGGTATTAAGACATCAATTGTCGGCTGGGTGCAGTGGTTCACACCTGTAATCACAGCATTTTGAGAGGCTGAGGCAGGAGGATCACTTGAGTCGAAGAGTTCGAGACCAGCCTGGGCAACATAGTGAGACCCTTGTCTCTACAAAAAATAAATTAGCTAGGCGTGGTGGTGCAGGCCTGTAATCCTGGCTACTTGGGAGGCTGAGGTGGGAGAATCACTTGAGCCCAGGAGGAATAGGTTGCAGTGAGCTGTGTTCATGCCACTGCACTCCAGCCTGGGCAACAGAGTGAGACCCCTCCTCAAAAAACTAAAACTAAAACTAAAATAAAAATTAAAAAAGAAATAAATTGTTTTCTTGTCTCTGTTCAAAACCTGGACCACTATGTGTAGTCCTATTCCCAGACTGTCACACAGATCTAGTGATGTTGGTACAAATTGAGAGAAAGGGAACCAGATGGTTCTTCCTCATCTTTGTATGCATGTAGCTGGCATAGTGATTGGCATTTGCATTCCATAAATGTTTATTGAAATGAGTTAAATTAAAATAAATAGAATTAAATCCTGGACTTATATAGTGTACTTGCTGAAATTCAGTTTTAAGAAGTGGCATAAAGTGAAAACAAAAGTATTTTAAACTTATGTAGAAATATTGACGAGATGGCTAAAATGGAAATCTCTGATCTTTTGAAGATGTATATGTAATTCATGAGTTGATATGTAGGAGGGCATTGCTTCCTCCCACAGCTTCAGAATCATACAGTAATAGACTGGGGGGATCATAGGCCTGACCAAGTGGGACTATTGTTAAGTTATGCTCTTAAATAAAGAAAAAAAAAGTAACATCAGTTCTTTAAGTACTTTGTTCTAACAATGTAATTATTGTGTTCTGTCTAAAACTATGATACAGTGTTAAACTTCTCAAGGTTTCCTTTGTCTACGAGCTACAGTCCAGTGTTGTTCCCCGTCTTTTTGTGACATGGCCTGTCTTCACTTACTGTGGAAACAAACTAACATATGCTTCTTTTTTATTTATTTATTTATTTTGCGACGGAGTTTCGCTCTGTCACCCAGGCTGGAGTGCAGTGGTGCGATCTCGGCTCACTGCAAGCTCCGCCCCTCCAGGTTTAAGCAATTCTCCGCCTCCGGAGTAGCTGGGATTACAGGCGCGTGCCACCATGCCAGGCTAATTTTTTGTATTTTTAGTAGAGACGGGGTTTCACCATCTTGGCCAGGCTGGTCTTGAACTCCTGACCTCGTGATCCACCTGCCTCAGCCTCTAAGTGCTGGGATTACAGGCGTGAGCCACCGCGCCTGGCCTGCTTCTTTTAAAAGGAAACTCTGAGATAAAAAATACGAAGTTCTCTTCAAAAAAGCAATCAGCTTTTCATTAAAGGGAAACTATGGAGTACAACACTTGAGTTTTTTTTTTTTTTTTTTTTTGAGATGGAGTCTCGCTGTTGCCCAGGCTGGAGTGCAATGGCGAGATTTCAGCTCATTGCAACCTTCCCCTCCCTGCCTCAGTCTCCCAAGCAGCTGGGACTGGGACTACAGGCGCCCACCACTACACCCAGTTAATTTTTTTATTTTTAGTAGAGATGGGGTTTCACCGTGTTAGCCAGGATAGTCATGATCTCCTGGCCCCGTGATCCACCCGCCTCGGCCTCCTAAAGTGCTGGGATTACAGGTGTTAGCTACCGTGCCTGGCCCCACTTGAGCCTTAAAATACTTTATTTGGGCACTGAATAAAATTTATCTGTGCTAATTCTTTACCTGTACTAACACGCAGTAGTCTTTAGCCAGGGCATTGCTACCTACTACGATGTATTTGGGTACACTTATGGTTCTCACAATGACCAGGTTATGGCATGTTCATTTTTATGGGTGGGGTTCAGGCATTATAAACATTATAGTATACATATATGTTGTAGTATGTAGCATAAATACAACAGGTACAACCATTAGAAATCTCCACGCATCCAGGAACCGTGGCTCAACACCTGTGATCCTAATGTGCCAAGGAATTGGTGGGTTCTTGATCTCACTGACTTCAAGAATGAAGCCATGGACCCTGGCCGTGAGTGTGGCAGTTCTGAAGAGCAGTGTGTGGGGAATTTGTTCATTCTGATGTTTGCATATGTTCAGAGTTTCATTCCATTCAGGTGGGTTTGTGGTTTCGCTGACTCGGGAAAGCTACCAATCTTGGCAGTAACTGTTACAGCTCTTAAGACGGTGTGTCTGGAGTCATTGGTTCCTCTCAGTGAGTTTATGGTCTCCTTGGCTTCAGGAATGAAACTGCAGACTTTCACAGCAATTATCACAGCCCACAAAGGCAATGCGCATGCAAAAACCGAGCAGCAGCAGGAATCATTGCAAACAGCAAAAAAAACAAACCTTCCACAACGTGGAGAAAGCATTAACCAAACAGCCACCACCGTTCAGGCAGCCTGCTTTTATACTCTTATCTGGCCCCACCCACATCCTGCTGATTGGTCCATTTTACAGAGAGCTGATTGGTCCGTTTTGGCAGGGTACTGATTGGTGCGTTTACAATCCCTGAGCGAGACGCAGAAGTTCTCCAAGTCCCCACTAGATTAGCTAGATACAGAGTGTGATTGGTGTATTTACAAACCCTGAGCTAGACGCAAAGTGTATTTACAAACCTTGAGCTAAATACAGGGTACTGACTGGTGTATTTACAATCCCTTAGCTAGACATAAACATTCTCCAAGTCCCCACCAGGTTAACTAGTTACAGAGTGCTGACTGGTGCATTCATAAACCCTGAACTAGACACAAGGTGCTGATTGGTGTGTTTACAAACCTTGAGCTAGATACAGAGTGCTGATTAGGTGCATTCACAAACCCTTAGCTACAAGACATAAAGATTCTCCAAGTCCCCACCAGGTTAGCTAGATACAGAGTGCCGATTGGTGTATTCACACTCCTTACCTAAAGATTCTCCAAGTCCCCACCAGGTTAGCTAGATAGAGTGCTGATTGGTGCATCCACAAACCATGAGCTAGTGCGGATTGGTGTCTTGAGCGCGGGTAGTGAGGAGCTTATCATCTGAGCCAGCAGCTGCGGAGGGGGCGCCAGGTCCCCCAGCACTGCCCGTCCGCCCGCGCTGCGGTCGAATTCTCGCCGGGCCTCAGCCGCCTCCTCATGGGGCAGGGCACGGGACCTGCAGTTCGCCATGCCCCAGCCCGCCCCCGACCCTCCCACCCGTGGGCTCCCTTGCGGTCCAAGTCTCCCTGATGGGCGCCGCCCCCTGCTCCGCGGCGCCCGGTCCCATCGACCGCCCAAGGGCTGAGGAGTGCAGGTGCGTGGCACGGGACTGGCGGGCAGCTCCGCCCGTGGCCCCAGTGCGGGATCCACTAGGCAAAGCCAGCTGGGCTCTTGAGGCGGGTGCGGACTTGGACAACTTTTATGGCTAGCTAGAGGATTGTATATGTGCCAGTCAGCACTCTGTGTCTAGCTCTGGGTTTGTGGATACACCAATCAGCACTCTGAATCTAGCAACTCTAGTGGGGACCTGGAGAACCTTTATGTCTAGCTAAAGGATTGTAAATGCACCAATCAGCACTCTGTGTCTAGCTCAGGGACTGTAAACACACCAATCAGCACCCTGTCAAAACAGACTAATCAGTTCTTTGTAAAACAGACCAATCAGCTCTCTGTAAAATGGACCAATCAGCAGAATGTGGGTGGGGCCAGATAAGGCAATAAAAGCAGGCTGCGCGGAGCAGCCACGATAACCTACTCGGAGTCGATCTCTCTGTTGTGGAAACCTTGTTCTTTATGTTCTTTGTAATAAATTTTGCTGCTGCTTGCTTTTTGAGGTTTGTATTTCCTGTGTGAGCTGTAACACTTACCGTGAAGATTTGCGGTTTCACTCCTGAGACCGGCAAGAACCATGAGCGCATCAGGAGAAATGAACAACTTCAGACATATCATCTTAAGAGTTGCAACACTTATGCTGAAGGTCTGCATGTTTCGCTCCTTGTAAGCCAGCCAGACCAGGAACCCACCAGCGGGAAGAAACTCAGAACATGGGTGAACATCAGAAAGAACAAACTCCAGCCACACTGTCTTTAAAAAATAACATCACGAGGGTCTGCAGCTTCATGTTTGAAGTCAGTGAAACCAAGAACCCACCAATTCTGGACACCAGGCTGAGGCAGAAAAATTATTTGAACCTGGAGGTAGAGGCTGCAGTGAGCTTAGATCATGCCACTGCATTCCAGCCTGGGTGACAGCTCCATCTGAAAGACAACAAATAGATGATAAATGGAATTTAATCAAAAGAAACTTTTGTGCATCAAAGGACGTTAGGCAGTGTTAAAAGAGCACATAGAATTGGTGAAAATGTCTTGGAAATTACATGTTTGATAAGGGTCTAACATCCAGATATATCCAAAAAAACAAAAACCAAACCTTAGAACTGAAAATCAACAAGGCAACTCAGTTTAAATGCACAAAGAACTCAAATAGACACCTCTCCAAACAAAATATGTAAATAGGCAATAAGCACTTGGAAAGTACTCTGTGTTTATTCACTAGGGGAAATGCAAATCAAAACCAAAGTAGGGTACCATTTCCAACTTTCTTGGATGGCTATAATCAGGAAAATGGCCAATGAAAAAGTGTTGGTGAAGATGTGGATAAACTGGAACTTTCATGCATTGTTGGTGAGAATGTAAAATGATAAAGCCACTGTGGAAACCGGTTTGGTGGTTCCCTTAAAAAGCTAAACATGGGTGTAGCATATGACTTAGCAATTCTAGGTGTATACCCAAAAGAATTGAAAGCAGAGACTCAAACAGATCCTTGTAATCCAATGTTCTTTGCAGCATCATTCATAATAGCTAGAAGGAGAATCCAGCCATCAACAGATGAGCAGATAAGCAAAATAACAAAAATAAAACTGCGTAAGCAGAATAGGCATCAAAATATAAGAAATTTTAAAAAATGAATATACATACAATATGGGATATATGCTGGTATATGCTGTGAGATGGATGAAACTTGAAAACATTTTGCTTAGTGATGAAATAGGCTAGGTATGAAAGGACACAAGTACTGTATAACTCCACTTATATGAAATATCTAGAATAGGCGATTTCAAAAAGACAAAAGGTGAGGGGCTGAGGCTCATGCCTGTAATCCAAGGACTTTGGGAAGTCAAGGCAGGAGGATTGCTTGAGACCAGGAGTTCAAAACCAGCTTGAGTAACATGGTGAGTCCATGCTGCCCCCCACATCTCTACAAAAAATTAAAAATTAGCCAGGTGTTGTGACACATGACTGTAGTTTAAGTTACACGGGAGGCTGAGGCAGGAGGATTCTTTGAGCCCAGGAGTTCAAGACTGCAGTGAGAATGAGACCCTGTCTCTTTAAAATGCCAAAACAAGGGCTGGGTGCGGTGGCTCACGCCTGTAATCCCAGCACTTTGGGAGGCCGAGGCGGGTGGATCACGAGGTCAGGAGATGGAGACCATCCTGGCTAACACAGTGAAACCCCGTCTCTACTAAAAGTAGAAAAAATTAGCTGGGCGTGGTGGCATGCGCCTGTACTCGCAGCTACTCGGGAGACTGAGGCAGGAGAATCGCTTGAACCCGGGAGGCAGAGGTTGCAATGAGCCGAGATAGCCCAGATCGCGCCACTGCACTCCAGCCTGGCGACAAAGCAAAACTCTGTCTCAAAAAAAAAAAAAAAGTTAAAGTGACATTTTATGTTATATATATTTTACCACACTGCATCGTGCCATTAAACAATAAAAATTTGTTCTAAACATTGAGACTTGTGCTCCAGAAATAACTTAATATTTTGGTTAAGTTTCCAGCTTTACCCTTTACTAGTTGTGTTGGGCAATGTGTTATACCCTTTTAGGTGTCAGTTTCTACATCTGTAAAAGAAGACTATTAATATATTTCTCATAGTTGGAATAGTGCAGCTACAGTGTATGCATTCGGTAAATGTTAACTGGCGTTGGTGTTAAATCTGGGAATTGCGTTGTTTCTTTTTAAAGAATTCTTATTCAGTTACCACATATTCTCACAGAAACAAATGTTCTTGAGAATCAATTTTAGCTTTCTTTTCCTCAAGAAGCGACTGGAGCTCAATTAAAAATGATGAAAACTTGCTTGATCCTGCTCTCACTGTGCTTTCTTTGCAGTAATGTTCAGATCAATTTATGGCATTGGCCCACTTGCAAAAATTCAACCTATCATGACTACTCTAATACAGGTTGCACTAGAGGACAGCTCAGTTTGGATTAAAGCTTTTGGTGGTTTCTGCCTTTAGGCTTAAGTGATGACGATTTGCCAGGTGATGACAGTTACCTTTTTTGGTAGTTAGTGAAAATCTGGAGAACACTAATTTTAAACCATGTTCAGAGTCTCAGCCATAGAGAATCTCTGTGAGAGATCTTGTTCCCAGAAATTTAATTCCCTTTATCCCTTTTTGTTGATTTTTCTCTGTAGTGATTTCCACTCCTTCCCCCGCCCCCACCCACCCCCAGCTCCATACACATACACACAAGAGTTCAGCAACCTGAACTTTGAAAATACTTAGTGATTTCAGATTCTCAGTGAATTAACAAATGCTATTCCTTCTGCCTGAAAAATACTCATTTTTCAGCTAAATAGCATTTCTTCAGGACCTCCAGGAGGGTGGATGCTTCCTAAAGAAGTCCCCATCCCTTATTTTTTTATTTTATCCTCGTACTTCTTTTTTTCACAGGAGTGGAAACAATTTTTTTTTTCTTCCCAGCGTTTGCTTGATTTCAACTGTTAGATCCAGTAGAAAGTAAGCTCTTTGAGGCCAAGTGCTATTTCTGCTTTGTTCTTTTATAAAGCAGTTGTCACAGGGCAGGCACACCGTATATACTCGTTAAATAAGACTTCTACCTTTAGTTGTTAATTGGCAGCCAGACCGGAGCAAGAAAAGGGAAAATGCTCTGAATCAACAAATATCTTTCGAACCAGAGAACGCAAAACGACGACCACGAAGGGACTCGAACCCTCAATCTTCTGATCCGGAATCAGACGCCTTATCCATTAGGCCACGCGGCCAACCGCCGAAGACAGATGCTTATATAGCACACAAAGGGAATGTAACATGGTGGGGAAGGGGGCTTTTTAAGTGCTGACTTCAAAGATCCAGCTTAATAAAAAGTTCCTCGTTTGAAATTAAAATTCACTAACAGTTAAAAACTATTTACAACACCTTCCAAAACTTGCAAATACTAATACACAGTTGTCAGAAACTGTGAGAGGACGAGCAGTTAGATGGGTCATCAGCGGTGAACCCTGTTGAAATCTCTGATTAATGGCTTCGAGAAGTGGGATAGGGAGATTTTCAGTTCTGAACTGATGCTGCACCCCTTAGGGAAAACAATCAAGAGGAGGGTGAGAGAGCGCACAGAACGTACTTTCGGCAAGTGGGGTGTGTGAAAGGAATGATGGCGACGCTGGAAGCGGGGCAGTGATGGCCAGGAAACTTCAAAGATGGTTCTGTTGGAAGTGCAGGGTTGGCGTAAGGCCGGAACAAAGTAGGTTATTCAGTTCACATATACTGTTTATTTACATGGAGCTTAGTGACTTCCATTCCTGACTTGAAGACTTCCCAAGTTTGATTTGGTCTTGACAAAAACGCGTCACCAGCTCGCTGTGGATTAATGCACAGAACAATAGGGTGTTTGGGGGGAACCCCACAGTCACCAAAAGTGTGGATGGGATAGGAAAGATGTGAAACGTCCAACCCTTAAGTAGAACTATAACACCGGTCTGTCCATTACACAGTATGATTTTGGTTCCTTGAAAATGACATGTTATTCTAACACAATGAAATCCGAGCAAAATCTCTCCCTTCCTGAACACTACACTCGTCAACAAAGAATCCCATCAACTTCTATTTTTCCTAGTGTTTTCTTCTATAGTATTTTCTTTGGGGTTAAGACCAAGCTCAAATTATTGCCGAATATTCAGTCAAAATTTTTAGAGTGTCTTACTTTAGGCTTTGCTCAGGAACCCAGGGACATCGATGAGGAAGGGACATTGATGAGGAAGAGACCACAGAGTGGCATAGGATATGAACTAGCATGAGTACAAGATTTGGAATAATATCGTACTTCTTGTCATTCCAATACAGGTTTACATAAACTGTTGCAGAACACAAAAACAACAAAATGTCCCACTGCATTTTAGAAAGGTAGCTTAACATCTACTGCAAAAACTGCAAAGATTGCCTAAAGATACAGCAATTATTATTATTATTTTGTTGTTGTTGTTGTTTTGTTTTTGAGACAGAGTCTTGCTCTGTCACCCAAGCTGGAGTGCACAGTGGCACGATCTGGGCTCACTGCAACCTCCGCCTCCAGGAAGCAATTCTCTTGCCTCAACCTCACGAATGGCTGAGACTACAGGCATGCGCCACCACACCCGGCTAATTTTTGCATTTTTAGTAAAGACGGGATTTCACCATGTTGGGCCATGGCTGGTCTGGAACTCCTGACTGCAAGTGATCCGCCCTCCTCGGCTTCCCAAAGTGCTGGGATTACCGCGTGAGCCACTGCGCCCAGCCTATTATTTTTGAGACAGGGTCTCACTCTGTCACCCAGGCTGGAGTGCAGTGACGCTATAACGGCTCACTGCAGCCTCGACCTCCTGGGCTAAAGGGATCCTCCCACCTCAGCCTCCTGAGTAGCTGGGACTACAGGCGCGCGCCACCACGCCCAGCTAATTTTTTTGTATTTGTATAGCTGGGGTCTCGCCATGCTGCCCAAGCTGCTCTGGAACTCCTGGACTCAAGAGACCCACCCGTCTCTTCCAAAGTGCTGGGATTACAAGAGCCAGCCACTGCGCCCTATCTATGCAGCAACCATTAACAAAACATAATATCGCCATGATGAACAAGTACAAGGACAAATGTAAAAACTGAAGAGGATTCTCTGTTCTAAAATAATTTTTGATAACATGGGAAGATGTTCTGAATACAATGTTGAGAATAAAGCAAATAATAAAAACATATGCAGTATGATCCCAATTGGATAAGTCTGTATTTATATGTCAGAGTCTCCACTCAGATTCAGTCTTGAAGTTCTTAATCCCTTTAAATAACTGGAAACTGGAACCTGTACAAGACACATTATAAGTGTTTGATGCAATACACATACATATTGTGTATAATATGTGCAACTCTCTCTCCCCATTTTCAAAGTTTGGTGAACATTTTCAATTAAAGCCAAATATTTGAAGTTATATGCAACTATTGAAACTGGATATATTGAAAGTATTGAAACTGAAAAAAAGTTAAGCTACTGGAAGATATTTTCTCATCTTCATCATCAGCATTGGGACACTTACTGTTGAAAGAATATATGTGGCTCACCTTTTTAATGAATTGGAATCAGGTCACCTGGGGCTTAGGACATCTTCTAGAACTGCCCAAGGACAGATGTGGATGATACCATGATTCATGGTCCTAATCCTTCCTCCAGAGAGGCCACAAGAGAGCTAAAAGGTTTAGATCCTGGATAGTGACAATATTAGGGTTTGAGATCTTTGTGAGCTAAAATACAATTGTCAGCTTTCTCACAGGGTTCTAATTCTAAAATAAAAATAAGTACTGAGAGTTCATGGAGATGTTTTTTCCTCTCCTTTTAAATCTCACCTTGCTAACCTGAAAATGTTAAGCCTCCTAACCTGCTTCCCACTCTATTTCTGATCTCCTTTACCTGGTTATCATTCAGAACTATTCTCTACAGTTTCTTCTGCTCAGAGAAGGGCAATTTCTGACTGGCTCCATTTTCCTTCTTTTATTTCTGCCCCCTTTTTTGTCTCAACTTTAGCTCCATCCCCACTTTCTCTTCCACTTGTACTTTGCATCCTGTGTCTTCTGCAAAATATACCCAGAAATATGTGCTTAGCTTCCTCTCTTCCATTTTGTTCCCTTTTATTCTCCTTTTCTCATTTTCACTGTCCCTAGATAATAATAGGTCTGTCTTTAATGGGAGAAAAGGGGAAAATAATGAAATTTCAGAAGATTTGTGTATGTGTGTGTATGTGTGTGAGTAAATGTTAGGGCTTTGCATTTTTATATTCACATTTTCCTCTCACGTGGGTTACATCAATTTATAATAATCTACATAAGTTGAAACAGAACATGGACAAAAAAATATATCCTTACCAACTTATTTTTTTGTTTGTTTTTTTGAGACGGAGTCTCGCTCTGTCACCAAGGCTGGAGTGCAATGGCCGATCCACAGATCATGTTTATCAGACATTTCCATGAAGTTGCCTTTAAGTATTTTAAATTCTTGTCCAAAACCAAACAGCTTCATCCCCTTCTGGATACCATCCTACTTCCCACAAATAAAAACAAACAAACAAGCATAATTCCTGCTTCTCCTTCTCTACTTAATAGTTTGGTGAAAGGCAACATCCATCTCTTACACTACCTGTGTGTGTGTGTGTGTGTGTTTCCTGAGGACACTCTCCATCTTTGTTTCTTTTAAAATCCATAAAGTCTCTCAATCCTGCAGCATCCACCTTCTTTCTCCAGTTCAAATAGGTTCCTTCTTTGTTTTTTGTCACTCAAGTCTCTGCTAGTTTAGACCTTAAGCATTATTCCTATGACCGATTGCAGGAGACACACATTATGCCCTCCTTAGAGTAGGACAGAGAATAAGGTCAATGATTAACAAAATGTTGAATCATTCGCTCTCCAATTGTATAACAACTTTAGCTTTTTCACGGTTCTGCGCTTGAGACTTTTTTTTTTTTTTTTTTTTTTTTTTAAAGACGGAGTTTCGCTCTTTGGAGTCTAGCTCTTATCGCTGAGGCTGGAGTGCAATGGTGCAATCTCGGCTCACAGCAACCTCCATCTCCCAGGTTCAAGCGATTCTCCTGCCTCAGCCTCCCTAGCAGCTGGGATTACAGGCGCCTGCCACACCACACGAGGCTAATTTTTGTATTTTTAGTAGAGACAGGGTTTCACCATGTTGGCCAGGCTGGTCTCCAACTCCTGACCTCAGGAGATCCACCTGCCTTGGTCTCCCAAAATGCTGGGATTACAGGTGTGAGCCACTGTGCCCAGCCAAGACTTCTTTTTATCCAATAGCAGTGTGCCAGTAGCAGAAGAGTCAGCTGCATATGCTATAAAGAGCGTGCCCAGGAAAAAGCTGGATTTTGATAGCTTTCTACCTGGAGGAGAAAGACGTAATTTGGGTGCACAGGGATCAGAACTTGAACTTCAGATCCTGGGAGTAAAATGCTACTTAGATTCATAAACTCAGAAACTTTGTTGCTGTTGTTGTCTTGAGAATCTTGTAAAGTGTACACATTTGTCTGTGGTCTGTCTTGTCTTTTTTTGTTGTTGTTTTGGATTCTCAACTAGATATGCTAAAAATAAGCAGGCAAAAAAAGCAAGAAAGCAAACATGCTAAATTGGTGTTTCCTTCTGCAACTGGAGCTGCCCAACCCTATGCAGCCTTGCCTCTTGTGTGAGCATTTAACACTGCTCTCTGACAACCAGATGGGTTGGCTTCCTTATGACAGTTTCAAAGAGCAGCTGTATGTGACTAACGAACTTCAAACATACAGTTTAAGAGATGCACCTGAGAAAATGCTGAGCCCATTCAGAGACTCAGTGAGTCACAAAAGTCTCAGACAAGACAAGCTGGGTCTCTTGTAAGAGGTTCTGGAATTTGGTCCATGGATCACCATCAGTATAATCTGGAAACCTGTTAGAACTGCAAATTCTTGGGCCCTACCCCAGGTCCACTAAATCAGAAATTCCCAAAGGATGTTCCAATATGTTTCAACAAGTCATCCAGATGATTCTGATGGACCTATGCTTTGTGAACAACTGAACTCGAAGGATTGACACCTTCTGTTGCCTCACTTTAGAGTAAGGGGCATTCATTCTTCTCTAGTACCTGGAGGAAGCACAGATGCATTGGGGACCTGGGACACATCCAGATCTGAGCATCCAAATCCTGAGCATCCTTGAGGCTCCACTACCCAGCACGCTGCCTCTCACCTCATGGGTTTCCTCTTTTCCCTTCCGTAGTGTGATGAATCCCCCACCAGATTAGGTAAGGATGTATGTCCACTGCCTGAATCCTGAAAGCCAGGTGGTGAGCCAAGGCCATGGTGCCCAGCCAAAGAGTAGGTGTCCCTAAGAACCCAAACATCCGGGAGAGTATCTAGGAACCTACTAAGAAAAACAGTCTCATCACTCAAACACAGTAGACAAATAGCCAGAAAATAAGCTTAAAAGCAGTTTAGAGGCTGGGTGCGGTGGACATGCCTGTAATCCCACACTCTGGGAGGCCGAGGTGGGTGGATTGCTTGAGCCCAGGAGTTCGAGACCAGCCTGGCCAACATAGTGAAACCCAGTCTCTTCTAAAAATACAAATATTAGCAGGATGGGGTGGCGGGTGCCTGTAATCCCAGCTACCCGGGAGGCTGAGGCAGGAGAATCACTTGAACCCAGGAGGCGGAGGCTGCAGTGAGCCGAGATGGCAGCACTATACTCGAGCCTAGGAGACAGAGCGAGACTTGGTAAAAAAAAAAAAAAAAAAAAAAAGCCATTTAGAGACAGGAGGCTGCATGGATCTCTGGAGCTGTCCTGCTACATCCAGGAGTACCCTGTGTGTAAGTCCTAATAAATTCATCTTACTTGTCAAGCTGTACGTGTCCAAGTCATTCTTTGGTCTGTTGGCTGCTTCCCAATTTAGGGGGACGTTACAGTCCCAAGTTTTGCTCATAACAATTGGCATCACAAACAGGATCTGAGAGACCAAACAATGAGTCAGGAAAGGGCATCTGCAGGGGGAATCCTGGGGTGGTCGGCAACATGCAGGTGGGGTGGAATTGCTCCATCGCTCAACCTTTGTGGACTGCTGAGGAAGTATAGGGATACTCAGAAAATGTGGCGGGGACTAAGCGCATATTGCAAGAGGCTAAGATATCAAAGTAGGATAAGGATAGCAAATGTGCTATTGTTGCAATAAGGCTGGCCCCTGAGAAATCATTAGAGCAGGAAACAGAGAAAGGATAGAAACACCTGCAGAAGTTCAAAGCATGCCAGCTTTTTTAGGACTCCAGCTGGTTACCTATTATGTATGGCCCTTTCTTGTGCACATTTTTTAACTGATGGGGAAATTACAACAAAAAAAATGCGGATTTTAAATGGTTAAGCTGCAACTATAGAGTTAAGTAGAGTCTCCTAAAGCTATTTCTCTCTTTATTTTTGTTTCTGCTTATTTTGAATATGCTATTTATTTATTTAGAGACAGATTCTCACTCTGTCACCCAGGCTGGAGTGCAGCTCACTACAGCCTCCGCCTCCCGGGTTCAAGCTCTTTTCCTGCCTCAGCCTCCCGAGTAGCTGGGATTACAGGAACCCACCACCACGCCCAGGTATTTTTAGTAGAGATGGGGTTTCACCATATTGGCCAGGCTGGTCTCGAACTCCTGACCTTGTGATCCACCCACCTCGGCCTCCCAAAGTGCTGAGATTACAGGTGTGAGCCACTGCGCCCAGCCTCGAATGTTGGGAGAGAAGCTGAGTGTTGGGAGACAACAGGACTTGTATGTCTGCTAGACTTGCTGGCTCCTTGCTTTTAGCACTCCCATTATCTAAAGTAGCCATATGTTTCTCTTTCACTTGATACACCATTTCCTTTCAACCCCCACATCTTCACTACCTGTTTGTTTGAGCACCAATAAATAGCGTGGGCTCCCAGAGCTCAGGGCCTTCGCAGCCTCCACACTCGTGATGGCCACTTAGTCCCACTTTCTCTCTCAAACTGTCTTTTTCTCATTTCTGTGACTCTGCAGGACTTTGTCGCCCCCACGACCTGGTGTTGGGTCTGATCACCCCAACACTCAAATATGCCATTATTAAGCTATTGGTGTTGAAATAAAACTCACTAATTCAAAGCCACTCGGAGATTTTACTTTTCTCTACAGTACAGCCAGTTCTTACTAAAATGTAAACAATGAAACTCATTTGAAGCACAGAAAAAAGGGGATGTGGATAAATGAGGATTTTAAAAATCAAACTGCTATAGAAACTGCTTTACCCAAAATTGTGTTCCACAGTCTTTATTGGATTACCTATCAGTGCAAACAAAGTCTAGTCTTGTGGACAGGTCTCAATTTTGTGAAAAATAATTTGGATCTAGCTTTTCTTTTTTTTTTTTCCTTTTTTTTTTTTTTGAGATGGAGTTTCACTCTTGTTGCCCAAGCTGGAGTGCAACGGTGAGATCTCGGCTCAGTGCAACCTCCATCTCCCAAGTTCAAGTGATTCTCCTGCCTGAGCCTCTTGAGAAGCTGGGATTACAGGGGTGCGCCACCACTCCCAGCTACTTTTTTGTATTTTTAGTAGAAACGGGGTTTCACCATGTTAGCCAGCCTGGTCTCCAACTCCTGAACTCAGGTGATCCTCCTGCCTCGGCCTCCCAAAGTGCTGGGATTACAGGTTTGAGCCACTGCACCCGGCCTGATCCAACTATCTTTTGTAAAATAGTAAATTTATGATGTTGTCTCATGGCTAGAGTTCCAAGTAAAAGCTGTTGGATATTGGTTTGTGTGTATAGATACATGCTTAAATGTGTTTATGTGTATGTATATATATTATGTGTTATGCCTAGCATACTACCAAATGGCTTATACATAAATGAGTACTCATAAAGTCCAAATGCTTTTCAAGTTCATATGAATTTAGTAATCTTTAATAAATAATCTGGCTTTAAAATTATTGGTAAAATAAAAATAGAAATGTCCTTGAATTGTCAGCATACGTTTTTGTCTCAGTTTACCAATTAGTTTTACATTTGCCTCTGCTAGATATTTTAAGGTGTCAGGGTTTGACCTAAAGATCATAAGTCTGTAAACCCAGCCAAAAACAGAATGATCTTTATTTGTGTGATTTTTTGGTAAGTATGACTAATTTAATATTGTTAGGTCAGTGAAAACAGCTAAAATTCCTGAGTTATTGGCAAAAATGCCCATGTGTTTAACTTTAAAGTTCTTGCCTAGGTGAACACCTGACATTCACAGTTTAACAGAAAAAATAATTCAGAATGATGAGTAACTTTGTCTAATGTCTTCGTTCCAATGAGTAATCTAGGTAAACTGCTAAAAATGAATAAATTGAGTAAATGTAAGAGATAAATGCTTACGGGTGAACTTTTTGTGTAGTTTAAAACCTTAAAATTGTTTTAAGTACTTGTTGAATGTCTGGATCATTTCCAATTCAAAAAATGGCATTTATAATATAGGGCATTGGTCACACTGAGGTGACAGCGTGCTGGCAGTCCTCAGAGCCCTCGCTTGCTCTCGGCACCTCCGCTGCCTGGGCTCCCACTTTGGTGGCATTTGAGGAGCCCTTCAGTCCCCCACTGCACTGTGGGAGCCCCTTTCTGGGCTGGCCAAGGCCGGAGCCCACTCCTTCAGCTTGCAGGGAGGTGTGGAGGGAGAGACACGAGCGGGAACCAGGGCTGTGTGCCGCACTTGCGGGCCAGCTGGAGTTCCGGGTGGGCGTGGGCTTGGTGGGCCCCGCACTCGGAGCAGCCAGCCAGCCCTGCTGGCCCCGGGCAATGGGGGACTTAGCACCCGGGCCAGTGGCTGCGAAGGGTGTACTGGGTCCCCCAGCAGTGCCGGCCCACCGGCGCTGTGCTCGATTTCTCGCCGGGCCTTGGCTGCCTTCCCACGGGGCAGGGCTCGGGACCTGCAGCCCGCCATGCCTGAGCCTCCCACCCCCCTCCGTGGGCTCCTGTGCGGCCCGAGCCTCCCGGACGAGCGCCACCCCCTGCTCCACGGCACCCAGTCCCATCGACCACCTAAGGGCTGAGGAATGCGAGTGCAGGGCGCAGGACTGGCAGGCAGCTCCACCTGCAGCCCCAGTGCGGAATCCACTACGTGAAGCCAGCTGGGCTCCTGAGTCTGGTGGGGACGTGGAGAGTCTTTTTATCTAGCTCAGGGATTGTAAACACACCAATCAGCACCCTGTGTTTAGCTCAAGGTTTGTGAGTGCACCAATCGACACTCTGTATCTAGCTGCTCTGGTGAGGACGTGGAGAACCTTTATGTCTAGCTCACGGATTGTAAATACACCAATCGGCACTCTGTATCTAGCTCAAGGTTTGTAAACACACCAATCAGCACCCTGTGTTTAGCTCAAGGTTTGTGAGTGCACCAATCGACACTCTGTATCTAGCTGCTCTGGTGGGGCCTTGGAGAACCTGTATGTGGAAACTCTGTATCTAACTAATCTAATGGGGACGAGGAGAACCTTTGTATCTAGCCCAGGGATTGTAAACGCACCAGTCAGCGCCCTGACAAAACAGGCCACTCGGCTCTACCAATCAGCAGGATGTGGGTGGGGCCAGATAAAAGAATAAAAGCAGGCTGCCCGAACCAGCATTAGCAACCCGCTGGGTTGTCTTTTCTGCACTGTGAAAGCGTTGTTTTTTTCACTATGCGCAATAAATTTTCCAACTGGTCACTCTTTGGGTCCACGCTGTTTTTATGAGGTATAACACTCACTGCAAAGGTTTGCAGCTTCACTCCTGAGCTAGCAAGACCACGACCCCACCAGAAAAAAGAAACTGCGGACACATCTGAACATCAGAAGGGACAGACTCCACGCCCGCGAACTTTAGAGCTGTGACACTCTCTGTGAGGGTTTGCGGTTTCATTGTTGAAGTCAGTGAGACCATAGAACCCACCAATTTCAGACAACACTTCTGAGCCTCTTAGTGGGAAATGAAATCTGTGATGGGGGGAAGCATTGGCAGACCTCAGTGAGCTGGATAAAAATAACGATCAGGTCCACAGAGAAAGCAAAAAGGGGATAGGCCAAATATGCACCTGTATCCTTGCAGGTAATGAACATGAAACAATACTTTCTGCTATTGGGGGGGCACTCTGAAATCACCCAAACAATCCAGAAAGTACATAAGGTACAAATAGTCAGACTGGCCCAGAGCCCCTACAGCAGCCTTGTTTGGCCTGTGAAGAAGCCAGGTGATGCCTGGAAGATGATGGTGGATTACCGCTAGCTGAACAAAGTGGTACGCCCTGTACATGCAGCTGTATCCAATATTGCTCAACTGCTAGAGCAAGCAGTACCGAAGCTGGGAAGTATCCATTCTGTGACTGACTGCATTAATACCTTTTCCAGTATTCTTTCAGCTGAAGATTCACAGTTGGTCTACACTTAGGAGGACCAAGAATGGACTTTCCAGGTGTCACCACAGGGGCATCTGCAAAGCCCCGCCATCTCTCACAGTATGGTTACACAGGAGCTGTCTATAATCTCTTTGCCTGCCTTGGTCTCCCTGTTTCACTATATTAATGATAACATGCTACCCTAGAGTCTCTTACAGATTTGGAGACTATCCTACAAACTGTTTTGGACAGCCTGAAGGAGGGATAGAAAATCAACCCCAAAAATATACAGAGGCTTGGCATGCCTGTCAAATTCCTGAGAGTTACCTGGTTGGGTAAGATGTGAAACATACCCAAAGCCGTCATTGATAAGATAGCATAGTAGTCTGCTCTCCAGACAGTAGAGCAACTCCAGGTTTTCCTAGGTTTACTGGGCTACTGGAGGATATTCATTCCTCATCTGGCACAAATACTCCACCCATTATACACCCTAATAAAGACAGGTAAAAAATGAGATGACATAAATAGAACAAGAGGCATTTGACAAAACAAAAATATTGGTGAAACAAGCCCAAGCATACAGACTCTACTGCTGTATTAGTAATCACCAGAGATGTCACAGGGATGAATTTAGGTTTGGGGCAAAAGCAACTAATGGGAATGGTACCTATAGGGTTTTGGTCTCAGTTATGGGAGGGAGCCAACATGGCAGTGGAGCCACCCATCAGGCCAACCACCATATATAAGGGTACCCCGCCAATATCTGCTAGGCCCTGGTACATTGATGGGCATAGCAAAGATATCCAACACTGGGCATCAGAAGAAAATATAGACTGGACCAGGTGCGGTGGGTCATGCCTGTAATCCCAGCACTTTGGGAGGCTGAGACAGGCAGATCACTTGAGGTCAGGAGTTTGAGAGCAGTCTGGCCAACATGGTGAAACCCCATCTCTACTAAAAATACAAAAATTAGCCAGGCGTGGTGGCGCATGCGTGTAGTCCCAGCTACTTGGGAGACTGAGGTGGGAGAATTGCTTTAATCCGGGAGGCGGAGGTTGCAGTGAGCTGAGATCGCACCATTGCATTCCAGCCTGGGCAACAGAGCGAGACTCTGTCTCAAAATAAAAAAGAAGAAAATATAGACTGGAGGTTCCACTTACCACCACAATCCAACAGAGGCAGGACTTACAGAAAGAAATAATGGCCTGTTAAAGACCCAGATGTGTGCACTGTTTCAGGTTGGCTCTTTAAGTTCCTGGACTAAGAATCTCCATAAAGCCATACAAACTTTAAATGAGTCACCCACTAGCACACATGGCATCACTCCTTATAAATGGTTGGCAAGGCCTGTAAGACATGTCCCACAAACTCTCGGGGTTACCTCAAAGACACTGAGCCATGCTCCTGAGGCAGATGGTGAGACATGCTCCTGAGAACACCAGTGGATCTGCCAAGCAGTGATGGCTACAGGGACCTGAAGCTGAGCTGGAATATGCCTCCATACTGGATTAGTTTTATAGTACTGGAGGGTGGTGCCATGATAACTGCCATAGGGGCAGTGGTCCCAGCTGTGCTCCTTGATAGAGTTCCGAGAGACTTACTTTATCAACAGATGGCAGCACCCATACCTGCTGGAATAATTATAGTATGGATAGCATGGGCAAGGCTGGAAACTTATCAATTGGCTATTGTGGCTGCTTCTAGGAAAAGAAGACATGGGTGGTTTTGTAATCCAGGCCTGAAGCCCACAGTGGCATCCCTAATAGTGCCAGTGGGAGAAAACACAATGATAATAATGTTGCAAGGTGTGGCCAGGCGCGGTGGCTCACGCCTGTAATCCCAACACTTTGGGAGGCCAAGGCGGGTGGAGTATGAGGCCAGGAGATCGAGACCATCCTGGCTAACACGGTGAAACCCCGTCTCCACTAAAAATACAAAAAATTAGCCAGATGTGGTGGCGGGCGCCTGTAGTCCCAGCTACTCAGGAAGCTGAGGCAGGAGAATGGCGTGAACCCAGGAGGCGGAACTTGCAGTGAGCCGAGATCGTGCCACTGCACTCCAGCCTGGGCAACAGAGCAAGACTCTGTCTCAAAAAAATTAAAAAAAAAAATGTTGCAAGGAGTGAATACGCCTGTGAGAGTTCCTACTAACCACCTGTGTTTATACCCATAGGTTGTTCCTGCTACTCATGGCAGCTGGTAATGTCTTTCTAGACTGAGCTGCAACTCCAGAAGCAGTCAACAACCAGTCAGATACCTCTCCCTATAAAATAATAATGATATGCCTTAAAATACTCTGCCTTTCTCCTGACAGAACTGGAGTGACTTGTACAATAGCACTGATAATGCAACCCGGGCTCACTAAGGATTGCCTCCACCTAGAGGCTCAATCGCCAACGTGACAAAGACCCAAAATGTGCCTTTCTAGGTGCTAACTGTTGCACCTATTTCCCTGATG
The DNA here is from genome assembly GCF_000001405.40 of Homo sapiens. Taxonomy (NCBI): domain Eukaryota; kingdom Metazoa; phylum Chordata; class Mammalia; order Primates; family Hominidae; genus Homo; species Homo sapiens. The sequence continues at coordinate 178,221 of NT_167249.2, read as the reverse complement.
AAGAGAGTAATGTCAGAGGTACTTTAAACCATTTGTCAACTCAGATCCATGATATAACCTAATTAGGTTTCTTTTACTCATTCTCAAATTGGTTACACAGCTTCTCTAGTCATGGGAATTAGGTTTTGCTAATAGACATTATAATTGTAGTTAACTTCTGCTTTTTGTGCTCCTACGTATACTGTAGATGTGACCTGTATGCGCAAGCCATGGCTAGACGTTATAGACCTGTATAGTTCTTTCCTTCCACCCTACTCAAGGAGTCTCACACAAGATTGGCAGAAAGAATGTAAGAGATGGGAGGCAGGGTGGATTGCAGCATGACAGATCACCCACCATGTCACTTAAGAGTGTATGTCTACTGCCTGAACCCTGAAGGCCCAGTGGTGAGCCAAGGCCACGATGCCCAGCAGAGGAGCAGGTGTCCTTGAGAACACAAACATCCCAGAGAGTATCTGAGAACCTACCAAGAAAAACAGTCTCATTGCTCAAACACAGTAGGCAAAAAGCCAGAAAATTAACTTAGAAACAGTTTAAAGACAGGAGGCGGCATGGATCTCTAGAGCTATCCTGCTGCACCCAGGAGTACCCTGTATCTAAGTCCTACTAAACTCACCTGCTTATTAAGCTGGACTGTCTTTGGTCTTCCGGGACCTTCCCAGTTTGGGGGGAACGTTACAATCCCAAGTTTTTCTTGTAATACTTTCCAATCTTTCTCCTCCCCTTGTTAACTTTCCCCAGATCCTAGTTTCAGTTTCTGTTGTGGCTAGATTTTCAGGCCCAGTGGTTTTCAAACTTGCCTGAATATCAAATTCAACTGGGAAATATTAAATAACACAATATTCCATAGATGTGAGGACGATCTAGCTGTGACATCTGTCACCCCATAATAATTCCTGGGCCCTTTTCTGGAGACTCTGAAAGCACTCAGCATCTCAGTCTCTGGGGTAAGGCCTGGGGATTCCTGTTTTTATTAACTCCCGCAGGTAAATTTTCACCTTTGGGGACTCCTGCAGTGTTGTCCCAAAAGCACTTATAGGAAGGTCTAGGGCAGAAAAACATCTTTTCCCACCCAGTGCCAGGTTCATGGCTGACACTTCATAATAAAAGATAGATTAACAAGGGAAAAGCAGGCCGGGTGGGGTGGCTCATGCCTGTAATCCCAGCACTTTGGGGGGCTGAAGCTGGTGGATCACCTGAGGTCAGGAGTTTGAGACCAGCCTGGCCAACATGGAGAAACCCCCATTTCCACTAAAAATACGAAATTAGCTGGGCATAGTGGCACACGCCTGTAATCCCAGCTACTCGGGAGGCTGAAGCAGAAGAATCGCTTGAACCCGGGAGGCGGAGGTTGTGGTGAGCCAAGATCGCGCCATTACACTCTAGCCTGGGCAACAAAAGTGAAATTCTGTCTCAACAACAAAAAAAAAAAAAAAAAAAAAAGGAAAAGCATACAAATCAAACAAATTTTATTGACACAAGAGCCTTCAAAAATGAAGACCTAAAGAAATAGGAAAATCTGCGTACAGCAGACCCTTGAATAACGTTGTTTCATTCAACATCATTTTGTTATAATGTTGATGAGAAAAAAGTCTATTTCTCCTGGAAGCCACTGTCTGAGTTTCCTCCCACATCCCAAAAATGTGCACATTAGGTTCATTAGCATATCTAGTCTGAGTCTAGCGTCATCAGTCTGAGTGAAAGAGCACGCGAGCATATGTGTGAGTGTGTGTGTGTGTGTATGAGCCCGCCCTGTGATGGAATGGCCACCTGTCCACGGTGGGTTCCCTCCTGACACTATGAGGAGTTGAATTAGGCTTCAGCCACCAAAGACCTTGAACTGGAGTGAGCAGGTTGAAAAATGCATGAATGAATACAAGTTACTGTAAAAGCAAAATTCAGGAAGCATTTCATAATCCTACAAATGCATGACAATAAACGACATGGTGCTAAAACAGCCAGCCGCCATACTGAGAGGTGACAGCTTGCTGGCAGCCCTCACAGCCTTCGCTTGCTCTAGGCGCCTCCTCGGCCTTGGCGCCCACTCTGGCCGCGCTTGAGGAGAACTTCAGCCCGCCGCTGCACTGTGGGAGCCCCTTGCTGGGCTGGCCAAGGCCGGAGCCGGCTCCCTCAGCTTGCAGGGATGTGTGGAGGGAGAAGCGCAGGCGGGAACCGAGGCTGCGCGCGGCGCTTGCGGGCCCAGCGCGAGTTCCGGGTGGGCGTGGGCTCGGCGGGCTCCGCACTCGGAGCGGCCCCCTAATCCGCAAGCCCCGAGCAGTAAGAGGCTTAGCACCTGTGCCAGCAGCTGCTGTTCTCGACTTCTCGCCGGGCCTTAGCTGTCTCCCCGCGGGGTAAGGCTCGGGACCTACAGCCCGCCATGCCTGAGACGCCCCTCCCCGCCATGGGCTCCTGCGCGGCCCGAGCCTCCCCGACGAGCGCCGCCCCCTGCTCCACGGCGCCCAATCCCATCGGCCACCCAACGGCTGAGAAGTGCGGGCGCAAAGCACGGGACTGGCAGGCAGCTCCACCTGCGGCACCGGTGGAAAATCCACTGGGTGAAGCCAGCTGGGCTCCTGAGTCTGGTAGGGACTTGGAGAACGTTTACGTCTAGCTAAGGGATTATAAATACACCAATCGGCACTCTGTATCTAGCTCAAGGTTTGTAAACACACCAATCGGCACCCTGTGTCTAGCTCAGGGTTTGTGAATGCACCAATGGACACTCTGTATTTAGCTACTCTGGTGGGGACTTGGAGAACCTTTATGTCTAGCGAAGGGATTGTAAATACACCAATCGGCACTCTGTATCTAGCTCAAGGTTTGTAAACACACCAATCAGCACCCTGTGTCTAGCTCAGGGTTTGTGAATTCACTAATGGACACTCTGTATCTAGCTACTCTGGTGGGGACTTGGAGAACTTTTGTGTCTAGCTCAGGGATTGTAAACGCGCCAATGAGCACTCTGTGAAGATGGACCAATCAGCTCTCTGTAAAACAGACCAGTCAGTTCTCTGTAAAATGGACCAATCAGCAGGATGTGGGTGGGGCCAGACAAGATAATAAAAGCAGGCTGCCGGAACCAACTGCGACAACGTGTTCGGGCTTTTTCCCACGGTGCGGAAGTGTTTTTTCGCTCTCTGCGATGGATCTTGATTGTTCTTTGGGTTTACACTACGTTTATGAGCTGTAATTTGTTGATGGTCCGCAGCTTATCTTTTGAAGTTAGGAAAAACATGAATTCTCGGACAAGAACAAACAACTCCGGAGGCGCCGCCTTAGAAGATGTAACACTGACTGCCAAGGTTTGCAGCTTCACTCCTGAGCCAGTAGAAGACCAAACCACCAGAAGGAAGAAACTCTATAACACATCCGAACGTCAGAGGGAATGAACTCTGGCTACACCGCATCTAACGATTGTAACACTCATCCGGAGGACTTGTGGCTTTCTTGAAATCAGTGAGATCAAGAACCCGCCAATTCCGGACACAATGTTTTACGAATTGTGTGTTAGTAGGAGTTGCTCCTTACAACTGCTATTTCACAAACATTTATTCCTTGATATAACCTGCCACCACTAGAACTGCAGTCACTGATTCACCAAAAATAAATCAATCACGTCTGTTTTTGCTGATCTTAACTTGAGGTGCAGCTCATATTTTTTTCAATATTTAGTGTTAGAAGTGTTTGGAGTCCTTATTTAGAAATTTGGTGTTTTTGTGATCAGACATTTGCCAAGAAAATTAACTCTTAAATCAATTAGTCTAGTCTATGGTAGAATTAGTTTTATTTTGCTTAAAGTAATAGTTTCCAAAAACCAACTGACAATAAGTGAGGACTTCCTATATTTTTATGCTTAGGTTTGATGAAGTGGATAGTCCCATAGCAGTATAATTGGATAAAAGGGGGTATGATCTAATGGTTATAAACTGGGGTGAACTTAGCAAAGCCTGTTTATTCAGGTTCTCTTTGGCATCTCTGTGTCTTCGTTTATTTCCTCCAAGTACATTTTCTCCCCTCTGAATTGACGGTCTTATCACCTACTTTAATTGGAAGATCAGGTAGCTTTCATGGCCCGCTTCACGGAACAAGGGCCCAGAGAAAAACGTTTCTGCTTCTGCTGTTTTCTCAAATGCCGAGGTGTCGTATTTTGGGAGTAGTGTGACCTGAACCCAGTCAAAAGACGTCCGAGTCTTTCTAATCTCTGGGTCATAGGGTCGCCTTTGGCCTATGCATTGTACGTATACAGTATGGCATTTCGCATGTCTGTCCACTTCTAGGCGCACAGTCCAACTGGCTTTGACTGGTCAGGAAGGCCAGGCCTGGATCTGGGGTTGGTACTATAGGTTAGATGTTTTCAGGTTTTGAAGGAGAAACAGGTCCCTTAAGGATGAGAGCGAATCAGAAGAAGACAGACAAAAAAGGATTTAGGATTTGTTCCAGAAGCTCATTTCTGGATTGACTGTCGTACCAAGGTTTGGCGAACGGCGGCAAGCGCTTGCCAGTTTGTCGAAGAGTGGAGAGGTCAGTTGTGCCAAGGAGTGGAGAGGTCTAAGAACTCTCCAGGAGCACGGAGGGTTTATGCAGTCATAAATCGCCTTGCTTCTGCATACTTTTTATTCCGTGGAGGATTCCGCCCGGGCGATGGCGCCATAAATGCAGGTGCGTCCTGGCTCTTTTCTCTTCCCAGTGCGCATCTCGGCGACTCTCACCACCCGAGTCTCAGAGCCCGCGAAACGTAGCGTGCCAGGTTCTCCATCCCGAGGCTGGGCGCGGGAACCTGCAGGGGCAGTAACTACGACCGGGACAAGCCGATCTGCAATTCCCCTCCTGTTTTCTCTGCCCCTTGGACTTAAATTCCCACGGCGGCGTTTAGGGCTTTCGTTTTATCTTTCTGCGTTATGCTCGCGGTTTCCTGGCAACCTTTCCAAGCAGAATCACCCCATCACAGACCTTTCTCTGGGGGGCGGCCAGGCAGGACGGCTCCCTTATAAACCCCGATAGGTGGTTGTCGAGCGGCCGTCCGAGAGGGTGACCTGCAGCGGGAGATCCCAGGCCCAGCACGGGACTTTCGATATAACATTCAGTTTTCCTTCTCTCAGCGCAGTCAGGAAACAATATCCAGTATAGCGAATTCAAAATTAAGTTCGACAAAATATGCTTCTTGGCACGACCGATAATAGTAACAGGTCATAGAAATATTTTGGCCCACGTTGAGCGTTGGGGGGTGTAGCTCAGTGGTAGAGCGCGTGCTTAGCATGCACGAGGCCCCGGGTTCAATCCCCGGCACCTCCAGCTTCATTTTTCTCCCGCCTTTTCTCCTAGATGTGCCTTGTTTGCAAAATCATGTCTATCATGTCCACGACTCGCCTCAATTTTTTTTCTTTTGTTTTTGTGGCACTTTCATTCTCTCTCAATTCTTCAAATTCACATGGAAACCAAGGAAAACAAGCTCCGTTTTGCTTTCAATATTGATGCATTTCTGCTCTAAGGCTTTGACACCACCCTGGGTGGCTGTGTCAAGAGATGAAAGACAAAATGAAAGAGGCCGCGGAAGCACAGACTGGCAGAATTCCAAAACCCGAAAAACAAGCAAGGCACCAAATTAACAAGCCCAATCACATTGGTTACATTTCCCAGTATTATCGAAGATCAAGCAAGAAAGAAAAAGACAGAAAACAAATGCGAAACCACAGGTAATTTTTTACAATTTATTTTAGATCCTTTCTTTTTTGAGCTGTTCCTTGGTCAAGGGACAGACCCAGAAAATAGGAAAACTGTCCCACGGATTTCCCCACCACTCTCTTCCCATCGCAATCTCTTTTCTTTTCCCCCATCAGGTGTCCTCTTGTTCGTCCGATTTTAGACTTTGTAAGCTTTTTGTAGGCTTTTTTTTTTTTTTTTGGAGACAAGAGTCTCACTCTGTCTCCCAGGCTGGAGTGCAGAGTGCAATGGCACCATCTCGGTTCACGTGCAAGCTGTGCCTCCCAGATGCAAGTGATTCTCCTGCCTTAGCCTCCCGAGTAGCTGGAATTACAGGCATGATGCACCACCATGCCCGGCTAATTTTTTTTTTTTTAGTGGAAACGGGGGTTTCACCATGTTGGCCAGGCTGGTCTCGAACTCCTGAACTCAAGTGATCCACGATCCACCCGCCTCTGCCTCCTAAAGTGCCGGGATTCCAGGCGTGAGCCACCACGCCTGGCCTACTTTGTATGCATTTCTTTGACTCATTGTTATTGTTTCTGACTTTATTAGGGTAACTTTTATTAAAGCATAATGTAAGCTTTGGATCCAAATAGAAGTTCTTTATTGTGTTAAATAAATTGAAGCCTTCGTATCTGGCTGACTTGAAGCAGCACTTAGCTAGTTTTAAAAGATATGGAAGGCAATCAGAAAACAAAGATACATATCCCCACTCCCTTCTCTTCCCAATTCTAACCGCAGCTCACATTTTGAAGGGCCTCACACATGCATGTGTGAACATCTCAACATATTAGCGGTGGCAGTTATCTGTAAGGAGTCTGCAGCAACATTAATTCTTGCCTCCTCAGGAGAAGGAAAGAATTCGATTGAGGAGCATAATGCCGAAGGAGAGACCGAGGCAAGTCTTAGAGCAGGGGTGAAAAATTATTGAAAATATTTAGAGCACTAATGAAGGAAAGTACACTTGGAAGAGGGCCAAGCAGGCGACTTGAGAGACCAAGTGCACGGCTTGACCTCTAGACCTGGGGTCGTAAACGTTGGCATAGTTCCTAAATCTTGTGTTATTTCTCCCCACTCCTGAGATCTTATTGGGAAGTGACCGACCACCAGTTTCACGTGTTTTCTATCTGTTAAGAAACTGCCTTTCTCTGTCAGAGGAAGAATCAGTTTAAACTTTATAGATTTCTTTTAAAACGTATTTATTACAAGTCCCCAAGAGGGCTTTATTTTTGCTTTCACACATCCTGTTTTTCAGCTTCCTTGGCTCTTTTTGCCCATATGCCGAAGAGCCGAGCATTGCCGCCAAGCATTGGCACCGGCCATGCGGAGACTAGCGAAAGCTTTGCAATTCCTCTACTTCTCAGTGATGACTCGGGCTTTCTCCTTACATTCTTGATGGGCATGACCGGTCCTGTCAGCTGGGTGGCCAATTTCTGTTCTTCAGCAGAACTGTCTCCCTTCTTGGGGGCCGAGGGCTTTCTGGGGAAGAGGATGAGTTTGGAGCAATACTCATTCAGACGCTGCACATTGGCCTGCAGGGAATCGGTGGACTTGTTCTGCCGCCTCGGATCCACAGAGATGCCAGTGGTCCGGGTCACCTTCTTGTGAATGCCCGCCACCCTGAGCTCCAGGCTGAAGCCTCTGCCGGCGCGCACCTTGATGTGATAACGCACAGCAGGGCACAGCACAATGGGCCAGATGGGTCCCGACTCTCCGGGCGCGGGGCGATGCAGCGCCCTTTGGCTTGCCGGGCCTTGATTCTGCGGATCTTCTGGTTGAACCACGTGGCCACACGCTGCTGCCAGTCCTTGTGGAAGTGGGGCTTCAACATCATGCCATTCCTGCTGGGCGCCATGGCTGCCTACGGCCCTCCTACGAAGGAAACACTTTATAGATTTCTATAGCAGTGTTACATAGTAAGGTTTTATGGCGAGTTTTGTAGCATGGATCATACTACCTTAGGACTGATGGTAAAGTTTTAGTCTAAGGAAAGCTCTGAAAATTTGAAAATGTGTAACCACCCAATGAGTTCAGCTTGCCCACTGCCTAGACAGAACCATTTATCAAGACGGGCATGCAAAGCCGGCTGTGTGGGAGACCCGTTTTATTATTATTCAAATCAGTCTCCCCAAGTGGATTGCAGTTTTTAAGGATAATTTGGTGGGTAGGGGACCAGTGAGTTGGGAAAGTTGATTAGTCGGGTCGGAGATGAAATCAGAGGGAGTCGAAGCTGTCCTCTTGTGTTGGCTTAATTTCTGGATGGGGGCCACAAGACCAGATGAGCCAGTTTATCGTTATGGGTGGTGCTAGCTGATCCATAGAGTACAGGGGCTGCAAAATATCTCAAGAACTGATCTTCGGTTTTACAATAGTGATGTTATCCTGAGGAGCAATTGGGGGAGGTTTAGAATCTTGCAGCCTCCAGCTGCATGACTCCTAAACCATAATTTATAATCTTGTGGCTAATTTGTTAGTCCTGCGAAAGCAGTCTAGTCCCCAGGCAGGAAGCGGGTTTGTTTTGGAAAGGGCTGCTATTGTCTTTGTTTCAAAGCTAAACTATAAACTAAGTTCCTCCCAAAGTTAGGTCAGCCTACGACCAGGAATGAACAAGGACAGCTTGGAGGTTAGAAGCAAGATGGAATTGGTTAGGTTAGATCTCTCACTGTCTCAGTTGTAATTTTGCGATGGTGTTTTCAAATGTTGATTTAAAGAAGACCATAAATTTGTGTTGCTTTCTCAGATTTTGAGAATAAGGACAAAAAGTGTATGTTTTAATGGGAGAATCTTAAGAATTTCACTACTGAAGTGGATTTCTCTGTCCATTAACAGTGCTAAATGTTTTGTATTTCCCAGTTGGAAAAACAAAATCTGCAAGCTTTGAATGATACTTGTTATTAGGTTTTGGTAACAGCTGTTGTACTATTCCCATTTCAATGCTCAATAGCCACACGTGGCATGTCATACCTACCAGGTGGACAGCACAGATATAGAACATTTTCATCATTGTAAAAAGCCCTATTTGACAACACTAACTTAAAGTATTAATCTTTTAGAAGAGAAAGCTTCAGTCCAACCCAAATTACACAATTTTACTTTTGAAAATATTGTTGAAACAACGTTCAATTTTTTAAAATTTTGGAAAACTGAATGAAATCCATTTGTAAATGCGCAAATGGTACTGGAGGTGGAAAACTGAAGCCTTGCTATAGTTTTAGTTTTTTGGAGGGTTATGATCAACACAGAGAAGAAAAGATTCATCTACCCATAGAGCTTCTTGAGAAAAATTTTCTAACAATAATTTTGAAAATTTGTAGTGAATTTGTTCTTGCCATTATTTATGGGTGCTTTCATGTGCGAGGCACATCAAAGTTCTGGGGAATGACTTAGGCACAACCAAATGGCTATCTTGGGAAGACCAAAGTCCTTTGCTATATATGAGAGTTTTGAGATGGCGACTACCTTTCTGTATGGTAGATTCTTGTTTTTGAATATGCCCTCTGGGTTTTCAAAACAAATTGTTTTTACAATACCTATAGTAGTTATCTAGGGCATATTCTTTAGCTTCAAAAATTCTATCTTTAGAATGGGCTTCAATATTCATAACTGAGTTATTTTCCTCTAATAAATCATTAACATTTTCCCATGTTTTATTGTGGTGTTCATGGTAGTTTAAAATACCTTATAATAGCATATAATATGTATGAACAACCTGAAAATATATGTATGTGAACAACCTGAAGCCACATGTACTCTCAGTATACAGGTTAATTCTTAAACCTTCAACAAGATGTCATGCTCAAATTGGAACTACATTTGTGCTTCACACAAAGACCTTTCCGTCAATGACTGACTACATGTACGACCATGGTTTTATAAGACTATAATACCATATTTTTACTGTATCTTTCCTGTGTTTAAGTACACAAATACGTATCTGTGTGTTCCATTGCCCTACAGTATTCAATACAGTAACATGCTGTAGTGGTTTGTAGCCCAGCAGCAATGGACTACACCGTATAACCTAGGTGTGGAGTAGGCTATACCATCTAGGTTTGTGTTAAATACTCTCTAAAATGTTTGCACAGTGATGAAATGCCCTAATGACTAATTTTTCAGATCATATCCCTGAGGTTGATCTAGGCATGACTGTATTAGTCCAGTCATCTGAGTAGATGTTGGCAAAAGGATAGTTTCCGTTACAGAAAATTAAGATGGCATATCCAGTAGAAGAGCATACCTTGAATTTGTTTTATTTTTAATTTTTAAAAAAAGTTTTAGAGCAGTTTATAAGCAGTTTTTAAGTTTATAAGATCACATAAGTTCATTTACCATATTCTACCACCATAACTTGACGTAAGCCTGAATGAACATTTTATAAGCTCAGCCTTACTGTATACTAAGTTCAAGTTTACATCAAGTTACGGTGATAGTATATGGTAAGATGTTTTGCCCTGAAAGTCCTTATTTTAAAATATGTATAGTTAAACTGACACATAACAAAGCATGTGAGACAAAAGAAAAGAGGAGACAACCAGATGGATTCTAGTGAGTTTGAGCTGCCATCCTCTGACTTGCACGCAAGGGCAAAGATTCACTAATCCAACAAGTGCTTGCTAAAGATTTAGGGGAAATAACATTGCTTTTTTATTTCATTTTCCCCCAACAGTTCATTCCATTAATAGTGCTAGGAAGTTTTGACATGAGAATAGGAACACTTTTCTCGGGTTTTGAAGGGCCTTGTATAGTCATGCAAAGAAGAGCATCGTACAGTCATACAAAGTCTACGGTATGAGGGTGTAGCACAGATATAAGGTACTGGATTATATCTCTTTTTTTTTTTTTTTTTTTGAGATGGAGTTTCACTCTTGTTGCCCAGGCTGGAGTGCAATGTCGCGATCTCGGCTCACTGCAACCTCCGCCTCCCAGGTTCAAGCAATACTCCTGCCTCAGCCTCCCAAGTACCTGGGATTACAGGCATGCGCCACCATGCATGGCTAATTTTGTATTTTTAGTAGAGACGGGGTTTCTCCATGTTGGTCAGGCTTGTCTCAAACTCCCGACCTCAGGTGATCCGCCTGCCTCAGCCTACCAAGTGCTGGGATTACAGGCCTGAGCCACCGTGCCCGGCCATCTCTATTTTTTAAAAATATATTTGTGTGTAAATGTCTCAGTTATTTTAAAAACCTTGGTGCTATTTAATACTGTGGTTAACACTTTGGAAGAAAATGGCTAGGTTTGAGCCTGACCTTGTTGGTATAGGCTCACTCACACCTTCAGAATATGGGCATTGATGAAAGAAAAAATTCAGCTGAATTAAATTTAAAGGAGTTTAATTGAGCAATGAACGGTTTGCGAATCGGGCAGCCCCCAGAATCACAACAGATTCACAGAGACTCAGCGCAGTCACATGGTGGAAGAAGATTTATAGACCAAAAAAAAAAAAAAAAAAAAGGGAGGGCCGAGCGCAGTGGCCCACGCCTATAGTCCCAGCACTTTGGGAGGCCGAGGTGTGTGGCTCACGAGGTCAGGAGTTCAAGACAAGCCTGACCAACATGGTGAAACCCCGTCTCTACTAAAAATACAAAAAAATTAGCCGGCTGTGGTGGCATGCTCCTGTAATCCCAGCTACTCAGGAGGCTGAGCCAGGAGAATTGCTTGAACCCGGGAGGCAGAGGTTTCAGTGAGCTGAGATCGAGCCACTGCACTCCAGCCTGGGCAACAGAGCAAAACAGCAAAACTCCTTCTTAAAAAAAAAAAAAAAAGGAATGACATATGGAAATTGGAAGTGAGGTACAGAATGGCTGGATGGGTTACAGCTCAGTTTTTGCCTTATTTGAACACAATTTGAACACTCAGCAGTGTATGAATGGTTGAATTACAGCCACTGGGATTGGCCAAGACTCAGCTATTGTTATAGGCACATATTCCTAAGTTAGGTTTTCAATCTTGTCTACCCATTAAACTAGGTTGCAATTCCTCCACAAGGACCCAAATATAAAAGTATGGAATCTTTCTCAGGCCATATTTAGTTCGCTTTAACAGCATAATCCACAGATTATGGTGCAGTGGATTCCGCTGATATTCAGGGGTGCTGACTCTAGTTTTCAATTAAGACAAGTGAAGAGAGACAGAACTCTGTTCCAGATAATGGATGTCTAGGTAATTCAGATAATCCCCCTGGTAAAGACAACAATAAAGCCGGGTGATATATAAAAATAATTCTTTCTTAAAGCATTAAAAATATAATAAACTAGTAATCAATTACCTGCTGAGTGTCAGTAAAAGAAACAAACCCAGAGAAGTGAATCTAGCAGTTGGGACCCCTTTTGCCCTGGCAACATTTGTAATCTGGATGTAGAAGCCAAGAGACTTATCTATGTTTCTGATAGCCTCATAGGGTTAGAGGAACAAAAACAGAAACCTAGGGCTGCCCAAAGTGGCGACATTGGTGATCATGCACTCCCCCTGAGGCTGCTTTCTAGGAGTAAAGGGGAACTGTAAGTAAACCTGCTCACCCATAAACTGCAGCTTGGCTTACCATCATCTGGTAGCCCATAAGACCCCAAACCTTGACACTGGTTTAAGGTGGGCTGTATTTCAGCACATCTAGGTTTCTGAAGAAGCAAAAGAAAATCCTCTCTGAAGGAATAAAACTTTAACCTAGACTTCACATTATTTCTAGAAATATTTTTTTCAAATACAAAACCCAGCATACAAACGTGCATACACATGAACAAACAAGTCTCCGTGAAAATCAACAGAAACAACAGACTCAAAAAAAGAAAAGAAAGAAAAGAGAGAGAAAGAAAGAGAGAAAGAAAGAAAAAAGAAAAAGAGAAAAGAAAGGAAAGAAAGAAAAAGAAATGACAGATACCAGAAATAGAATCTACTAAACTTCAGATTTGGAAATTATCAGATAAGGGTGTAACAAAACTGCTTACTATATTCAAAGAAACAAAAGCTAATCTAAAAAATTTAAGGAGCAAATTGAAAAATATAAAAACTGACGAAGTAGATTTAAAAATAAAAACCAAAATTTATTTGTAATTGAAATATATAATAACCAAAATTAAGAACTTGAAGGATAAATTAACAACAAACTTGACACAACTGAAAAGAGTATTAGTAAAGTGGAAAATAATTTAGAAGAAATTATTCAGAACACGCTGGGCGTGGTGGCTCACATCTGTAAACCCAGCACTTTGGGAGGCTGAGGCAGGTGGTTCACGAGGTCAGGAGATCGAGACCATCATGATAACTCGGTGAAACCCCATCTCTACTAAAAATACAAAAAATTAGCCAGGTGTGGTGGCAGGCACCTGTAGTCCCAGCTACTTGGGAGTCTGAGGCAGGAAAATGGCATGAACCCAGAAAGCGGAGCTTGCAGTGAGCCGAGATTGTGCCACTTTACTCCAGCCTGGGCAACAGAGCGATACTCTGTCTCATAAAAAAACAAAAAGTAATTATTCAGAACAAAGTATGGAGATGCAAAATAATGGTATTAATAGAAGAGAGGATAAGGAGATCTAATATATATTTAATTAGAATTTTTAATGGATGAAAGACAATAGAGCAGAGGCAATATTTGAATAAATAATAACTGAGATATATAAGACATGGAGAAATGCCACCTACATTCCCTCTCAAAGAAGGACTCATTTCCCTTAGTTGTTTGGAGTGCTGCCAATGTTCTAGGGTTTATCTCAGGTGCAGAGAGTTGATTCTCCCAAAAGCACACCCTTCCTGGGATGATGCACCTTCAACAATTGATTGCAGTGGAGTAAAAAGATTTGTCGTTTTGGCACCACAGGAGTATAGGCCATATGTAATCCAGTGCTCCCTATGGTGTTGGTTGAGACTTTGGCAGGTCTGCATCTCAGCTTAACTCACTTTTCCAGTTTGACAGCCTCATTCACGGTGCTCAGACCATGGAAGTATTTTGTGTTAGAAAAAGGACAATTGGCTGGGCATGGTGGCTCATGCCTGTAATCCCAGCACTTTGGGAGGCCGAGGTGGGAGGATCACTTGAGGTCAGGAGTTTGAGACCAGCCTGGCCAATATGGCAAAACCCCTTCTCTACTAAAAATACAAAAAATTAGCCAGGCATAGTGACAGCCGCCTGTAATCCCAGCTACTTGAGAGTCTGAGACAGGATAATCACTGGAACCTGGGAGGTGGAGGTTGCAGTGAGCTGAGATTGCGCTGTTGCAATCCAGCCTGGGTGACAGAGCGAGCCTCAATCTCAAAAAAAAAAAAAGGACAATTGTCAAAAGTAAGAAGCTGTAGTAGGGGGTCAGAAATATAAATAAATACTATCAGGGCTCAGGTCTAAGGGGGGAAATATTTTATTCTCTTATTTTTTGTACTTTAAGTTCTAGGGTACATGTGCACAATGTGCAGGTTTGTTACATATGTATACACGTGCCATGTTGGTATCCTGCACCCATTAACTTGTTATTTACATTAGGTATTTCTCCTAATGCTATCCCTCCCCACTAACCCACTCCACGACAGGCCCTGGTGTGTGACATTCCCCTTCCTGTGTCCAAGTGTTCTTATTGTTCAATTCCCCCCATGAGTGAGAACATGAGGTGTTTTGTTTTCTGTCCTTGTTATGGTTTGCTGAGAATGATGGTTTCCAGCTTCATCCATGTCCCTACAAAGGACATGAACTCATCCTTTTTTATGGCTGCATAGTATTCCATGGTGTATATGTGCCACATTTTCCTAATCCAGTCTATCATTGATGGATATTTGGGTTGTTCCAAGTCTTTGCTATTGTGAATAGTGCCGCAATAAACATATGTGTGCATGTGTCTTTATAGTAGCATAATTTATAATCCTTTGGGTATATACCCAGTAATGGGATTGCTGAGTCAAATAGTATTTCTAGTTCTAGATCCTTGAGGAATTATCACACTGTCTTCCACGATGGCTGAACTAGTTTACAGTCCCACCAACAGTGTAAAAGCATTCCTATTTCTCCACATCCTCTCCAGCACCTGTTGTTTCCTGACTTTTTAATGATCACCATTCTAACTGGTGTGAGATGGTATCTCATTGTGGTTTTGATTTGCATTTCTCTGATGGCCAGTGATGATGAGCATTTTTTCATGTGTCTTTTGGCTGCATAAATGTCTTCTTTTGAGAAGTGTCTGTTCATATCCTTTGCCCACTTTTTGATGGGGTTGTTTGATTTTTTCTTGTAAATTTGTTTGAGTTCTTTGTAGATTCTGGATATTAGCCCTTTGTCAGATGGGTAGATTGCAAAAATTTACTCCCATTCTGTAGGTTGCCTGTTCACTCTGATGGTAGTTTCTTTTGCTGTGCAGAAGCTCTTTAGTTTAATTAGATCCCATTTGTTTATTTTGGCTTTTGTTGTCATTGCTTTTGGTGTTTTAGTCATGAAGTCCTTGTCCATACCTATGTCCTGAATGGTATTGCCTAGGTTTTGTTCTAGGGTTTTTATGGTTTTAGGTCTAACATTTAAGTCTTTCATCCATCTTGAATTAATTTTTGTATAAGGTTTAAGGGAGGGATCCAGTTTCAGCTTTCTACATATGGCTAGCCAGTTTTCTCAGCACCATTTATTAAATAGGGAATCCTTTCCCCATTTCTTGTTTTTGTCAGGTTTGTCAAAGATCAAATGGTTGTAGACGTGTGGTATTATTTCTGAGGGCTCTATTCTGTTCCATTGGTCTATATATCTATTTTGGTACCAGTACCATCTGTTTTGGTTACTGTAACCACGTAGTATAGTTTGAAGTCAGGTAGCGTGATGCCTCCAGCTTTGTTCTTTTGGCTTAGGATTGTCTTGGCAATGCAGGCTCTTTTTTGGTTCCATATGAACTTTAAAGTAGTCTTTTCCAATTCTGTGAAGAAAGTCATTGGTAGCTTGAGGGAGATGGCATTGAATCTATAAATTACCTTGGGCAGTAGGGCCATTTTCATGACATTGATTCTTCCTATCCATGAGCATGGAATGTTCTTCCATTTGTTTGTGTCCTCTTTTATTTTGTTGAGCAGTGGTTTGTAGTTCTTCTTGAGGAGGTCCTTCACATCCCTTGTAAGTTGGATTCCTAGGTATTTTATTCTCTTTGTAGCAATTGTGAATGGGAGTTCCCTCATGATTTGGCTCTCTGTCTGTTACTGATGTATAGGAATGCTTGTGATTTTTGCACATTGATTTTGTATCCTGAGACTTTGCTGAAGTTGCTTATCAGCTTAAGGAGATTTTGGACTGAGACGATGGGGTTTTCTAAATATACAATCATGTCATCTGCAAGCAGGGACAATTTGACTTCCTCTTTTCCTAATTGAATACCCTTTATTTGTTTCTCTTGCCTGATTGCCCTGGCCAGAACTTCCAACACTATGTTGAATAGAAGTGGTGAGAGAGGGCATCCCTGTCTTGTGCCAGCTTTAAAAGGGAATGCTTCCAGTTTTTGCCCATTCAATATGATATTGGCTGTGGGTTTGGCATAAACAGCTCTTATTATTTTGAGATACGTCCCGTCAATACCTAGTTTATTGAGAGTTTTTAGCATGAAGGGCTGTTGAATTTTGTCGAAGGCCTTTTCTGCATCTATTGAGATAATCACATGGTTTTTGGCTTTGGTTCTGTTTATGTGATGGATTACATTTATTGATTTTCATATGTTGAACAAGCCTTGTATCCCAGGGATGAAGCCAACTTGTTCTTGGTGGATAAGCTTTTTGATGTGCTGCTCGATTTGGTTTGCCTGTATTTTATTGAGGATTTTCGCATCGATGTTCATCAGGGATATTGGTCTAAAATTCTCTTTTTTTGTCATGTCTCTGCCAGGCTTTGGTATCAGGATAATGCTTGCCTCATAAAATGAGTTACGGATGAGTCCCTCTTTTTCTATTGTTTGGAATAGTTTCAGAAGAAATCGGACTAGCTCCTCTTTGTACCTGTGGTAGAATTCTGCTGTGAATCCGTCTGGTCCTGGACTTTTTTTGGTTGGTAGGCTATTAATTATTGCCTCAATTTCAGAGCCTGTTATTGGTCTATTCAGGGATTCAACTTCTTCCCAGTTTAATCTTAGGAGAGTGTATGTGTCCAGGAATTTATCCATTTCTTCTAGATTTTCTAGTTTATTTGCATAGAGGTGTTTATAGTATTCTCTGATGGTAGTTTGCATTTCTGTGGGATCGGTGGTGATATCCCCTTTATCATTTTTCATTGCATCTGTTTGATTAGTCTCTATTTTCTTCTTTATTAGTCTTGCTGGTGATGTATCAATTTTGTTGATCTTTTCAAAAAAGCCAGCGCCTGGATTCATTGATTTTTTGAATGGTTTTTTGTGTTTCTGTCTCCTTCAGTTCTGCTCTGATCTTAGTTATTTCTTGCCTTCTGCTAGCTTTTGAATGTGTTTGCTCTTGCTTCTCTAGTTCTTTTCATTGTGATGTTAGGATGTCGATTTTAGATCTTTCCTGCTTTCCCTTGTGGGCATTTAGTGCTATAAATTTCCCTCTACACACTGCTTTAAATGCGTCCCAGAGATTCTGGTATGTTGTGTCTTTGTTCTCATTGGTTTCAAAGAACATCTTTATTTCTGCCTTCATTTTGTTATTTACCCAGTAGTCATTCAGGAGTAAGTTGTTCAGTTTCCATGTAGTTGTGCAGTTTTGAATGAGGTTCTTAATCCTGAGTTCTAATTTGATTGCACTGTGGTCTGAGAGACAGTTTGTTGTGATTTCTGTTCTTTTACATTTGCTGAGGAGTGCTTTACTTCCAACTTTGTGGTCAATTTTGGAATAAGTGTGATGTGGTGCTGAGAAGAATGTATATTCTGTTTATTTGGGGTGGAGAGTTCTGTAGATGTCTATTAGGTCTGCTTGGTCCAGAGCTGAGTTCAAGTCCTGGATATCCTTGTTAACCTTCTGTCTCATTGATCTGTCTAATATTGACAGTGGGGTGTTAAAGTCTCCCATTATTATTGTGTGGGAGTCTAAGTCTCTTTGTAGGTCTCTAAGGACTTGCTTTATGAATCTGGGTGCTCCTGTATTGGGTGCATATATATTTAGGATAGTTAGCTCTTCTTGTTGAATTGACCCCTTTACCATTATGTAATGGCCTTCTTTGTCTTTGTTGATCTTTGTTGGTTTAAAGTCTGTTTTATCAGAGACTAGGATTGCAACTGCTGCTTTTTTTTTTGCTTTACATTTGCTTGGTAGATCTTCCTCCATCCCTTTATTTTGAGCCTGTGTGCGTCTCTGCATGTGAGATTGGTCTCCTGAATACAGCACACTTGATGGGTCTTGACTCTTTATCCAATTTGCCAGTCTGTGTCTAATTTAATTGGGGCATTTAGCCCATTTACATTTAAGGTTAATATTGTTATGTGTGAATTTGATCCTGTCATGATGTTAGCTGGTTATTTTGCCCATTAGTTGATGCAGTTTCTTCCTAGCATCGATGGTCTTTACAATTTGGCATGATTTTGCAGTGGCTGGTACCAGTTGTTCCTTTCCATGTTTAGCGCTTCCTTCAGGAGCTCTTGTAAGGCAGGCCTGGTGGTGACAAAATCTCTCAGCATTTGCTTGTCTGCAAAGGATTTTATTTCTCCTTCAATTATGAAGCTTAGTTTGGCTGGATATGAAATTCTAGGTTGAAAATTCTTTTCTTTAAGAATGATAAATATTGGCCCCCACTCTCTTCTGGCTTGTAGAGTTTCTGCCAAGAGATCTGCTGTTAGTCTGATGGGATTCCCTTTGCGGGTAACCCGACCTTTCTCTCTGGCTGCCCTTAACATTTTTTCCTTCATTTCAACCTTGGTGAATCTGACAATTATGTGTCTTGGGATTGTTTTTCTCGAGGAGTATCTTTGTGGTGTTCTCTGTATTTCCTGAATTTGAATGTTGGCCTGCCTTACTAGGTTGGGGAAGTTCTCCTGGATAATATCCTGAAGAGTGTTTTCCAACTTGGTTCCATTCTCCCCGTCAGTGTCAGGTACACCAATCAGACGTAGATTTGGTCTTTTCACATAGTCCCATATTTCTTGGAGGCTTTGTTTGTTTCTTTTTAGCCTTTTTTCTTTTATTTATTTATTTTTTTTTGAGACAGAGTCTCACTGTGTCACTGAGGCTGGAGGGCAGTGGTGCCATCTTGGCTCACTGCAAGCTCCACCTCCCGGGTTCACGCCATTCTCCTGCCTCAGCCTCCCGAGTGGCTGGGACTACAGGCGCCCGCCACCATGCCCAGCTAATGTTTTGTATTTTTAGTAGAGACGGGGTTTCACCGTGTTAGCCAGGATGGTCTCGATCTCCTGACGTTGTGATCCGCCCGCCTCGGCCTCCCAAAATGCTGGGATTACAGGCGTGAGCCACCGCGCCCGGCTTCTTTTTACCCTTTTTTCTCTAAATTCTCTTCTTGCTTCGTTTCATTAATTTGATCTTCAATCACTGATACCCTTTCTTCCACTTGATGGAATCGGCTACTGAAGCTTTTACATGTGTCACGTAGTTCTCGTGCCATGGTTTTCAGCTCCATCAGGTCCTTTGAGGTCTTCTCTACACTGTTTATTCTAGTTAGCCATTTGTCTAATCTTTTTTCAAGGTTTTTAGCTTCCTTATGATGGGTTCAAACCGCCTCCTTTAGCTCGGAGAAGTTTGTTATTACTGACCTTCTGAAGCCTACTTCTGTCAATTCATCAAAGTGATTCTCCATCCAGCTTTGTTCCATTGCTGGTGAGGAGCTGCGATCCTTTGGAGGAGAAGAGGTGCTCTGGTGTTTAGGATTTTCAGCTTTTCTGCTCTGGTTTCTCTCCATCTTTGTGGTTTTATCTGCCTTTGGTCTTTGATGATGGTGACCTACAGATGGGCTTTTGGTGTGGATGTCCTTGTTGTTGATGTTGATGCTATTTCTTTCTGTTTGTTAGTTTTCCTCCTAACAGGTCTCTGAGCTGCAGGTCTGTTGGAGTTTGCTAGAGGTCCACTCCAGACCCTGTTTGCCTGGGTATCACCAGCAGAGGCTGCAGAACAGCAGATATTGCAGAACAGCAAATATTACTGCCTGATCCTTCTTCTGGAAGCTTCGTCTCAGAGGGGCACCTGGCTGTATGAGGTGTTAGTCGGCCCCTACTGGGAGGTGTCTCCCAGTTAGGCTACACAGGGGTCAGGGACCCACTTGAGGAGGCAGTCTGTCCCTTCTTAGGACTCAAACTCCGTGCTGGGAGAACCACTGCTCTCTTCAGAGCTGTCAGACAGGGACGTTTAAGTCTGCAGAAGTTTCTGCTGCCTTTTGTTCAGCTATGCCCTGCCCCCCAGAGGTGGAGTCTACAAAGGCAGGCAGGCCTCCTTGAGCTGTGGTGGACTCCACCCAATAAGAGCTTCTGGGCCACTTTGTTTGCCTACTCAAGCCTCAGCAATGGAGGACCCCCTCCCCCAGCCAGGCTGCCACCTCGCTGTTCGATCTCGGACTGCTGCTCTAGCAGTGAGCAAGGCTCCGTGGGCGTAGGACCCTCTGAGCCAGGCTCTGGGTATAATCTCCTGGTGTGCCATTTGCTAAGACCATTGGAAAAGTGCAGTATTAGGGCAGGAGTGTCCCGATTTTCCAGGTACACTCTGTCACAGTTTCCCTTGGCTGGGAAAGGGAAATCCCCTGAACCTTGCACTTCCCAGGTGAGGCGATGCTCCGCCCTGCTTCAGCTCACCCTCCATGGGCTGTACCCACTGTCCAACCAGTCCCAGTGAGATGAACCAGTTACCTTAGTTGGAAATGCAGAAATCACCTATCTTCTGTGGCAATCACGCTGGGAGCTGCAGACCAGAGCTGTTCCTATTTGGCCATCTTGTTTTCACTCTATTTTATTCTCTTCTAACAGGGGATTTCTTTTTTGTTTTTTGTTTTTTTTTCCGAGATGCAGTCTCACTCTGTCCCTCAGGCTGGAGTGCAGTGGCACAATCTCGGCTCCCAGGTTCAAGTGATTCTTCTGCCTCAGCTTCCTGAGTAGTTGGGACTATAGGTGGGTACCACCATACCTACCTAATTTTTGTATTTTTAGTAGAAATGGGGTTTCACCATGTTGGCCAGGCTGGTCCCAAACTCCTGACCTCGTGATGCACACACCTTGGTCTCCGAAAGTGCTGGGATTTCAGGTGTGAGCCACTGCGCCCCACAGTAATGTTTCCATTTCAATTCTGATTTTAGTGACTTGAATCATCTCTCCCTTATCTTGGTCAATCTAGTTTAGGGTTTGACAATTTTGTTTACCTTTTTAAGAAATAAATATTTTATTTTATTTATTTATTTATTGTTTTTCTATTTCATTAGTTTCCACTCTAATCTTTATTTCTTTCCTTCCTGTTGCGTTAGCTTTAGTTTGCTCGTCTTTTTTCAGTGTCTTACAATGTAAGGGCTATTGATTTAAGATCTTTTGTCTTTCCTAACATAAACATTCCCAGCTATAAATTTACTTCTTAGCACTGTTTTAGCTGTATCCAGTACATTTTGATATGTTGTGCTGTTGTGTACTTTTTTTTTTTTTTGAGACCTAGTCTCACCCTGTCACCCAGGCTGGAGTGCAGTGGCACATTCTCAGCTCACTGCAACCTCACCTTCCCAGGTTCAAACGATTCTCATGCCTCAGCCTCCCCAGTAGCTGGGATTACAGACATGTGCCACCACACCCAGCTAATTTTTTATATTTTCTTGTAGAGACATGGTTTTGTGACTAGGCTGGCCTCCAACTCCTAGCGTCAAGTGATTCGCCCGCCTTGGCCTCTCAAAGTGCTGGGATTACAGGCATGAGCCACCGCGCCTGACTGAACTCATTTTTATTTATCTGAACGTATTTAAATTGTTTTAAATCAAAGTAAAACACATAACATTAAATTTATCATCCTAACCATTTTTAAGTATACAGTTTAGTAGTATTAAGTATATTCACATTGTTATGCAACAGATCTCTGGAACACTTTCATCTTTCAACACTGAAACTCTATGCCCAACAAACGCTAATTCTCCTCTCCCTTCCAGCCAGTCCTTGGCAACCACCTTTCTACCTTCTGTTTCTATAATTGTGTCTACTTTAGATACTTCTTATTAGTGGAATCATACAGTGTCTGTTCTTTTGTGACTGGCTTACTTCACTTGCCATAATGTCCTCAAGATTTATCTATTATTGTAGTATGTGATAGGATTTCCTTTTTTAAGGCTACATAATATTCTGTTGTATGTATATACCACATTTGGTATATCCATTCATCTGTCAATTGACATTTGTTTTGCTTTTACCTCTTGGCTAGTGTGAATAATGCTACAGTTATCTCTTTAGGATCCTACTTTGAATGCTTTTGAATTCTTTTGAAACCCCTGCAGAAGTAGGTTTGCTGGATTATATGGGAATCATAATTTTAATTTTGTGAAGAAACCCTGTGTTGGGAAAACTCTCACCAACCATTTTCCTCTAGTCTTACACCACAATAATCATCAACATAGAAGACTACTGTGGCCAAATGTGTGAAGGTTTTTCCCCACACATCAAGCAGCAGACACCAGCTAGGTGTCCTCCAATTCAGTTCTGACACTGTCTACCTGAAGGTAATGTCAGTTCCTGCAGGTTGGGGGCTCAGTCCACAAGACTTCCCCCTATAGCCTCAGATACCAGTTGCAAGTCTGGGTCTCTGGGACTTCTTGACTGACTGGTTTCAATTTGGGGTTCCTACAACCTCCTCTTTGGGTTAAGTTAATTTGCTGGAGTGGCTCACAGAACTCAGGGAAACATTTACATTCACCAGTTTATTATAAAGGACACAGATGAATAGACTGGCAGGGCAAGGTATGGTGGAAGGGGTATGGAGCTTCCATGCCCTCCCTGGGCATGCCACCCTCCAGCAACCTTCACGGGTTCAGCTATCTGGAGGTCTTTGAACCCAGTCTTCTTGGGTTTGTATGGAAGCATTCCTTCCTCCAGGGTATGAGACTGGACCCTCCCAGGGGAGGGTCTTAAGACCCATAATGAAAAAGATGGGGTAATATTAGAGTTCTGCCTTGGGGCAGGTGAAAGGAAGGCAGGAGGTAGATTCTGTTCCTTGAGGCCTGCCCCTGAGGCCTAACACACACAACATTATAACAAAAGACTGTAACAAGGGAGATGGAAGTTATGAACCAGTAACTGTGGATGAAAACCTATAACTTATATATATACATGTATATATATATGTATATAGACCACGAACTCCACACTGTTTTTCATAATGGCTGCACCATTTTACATTCCCGCCAACAGTGCACACATTTCCAATTTCTGCATATCCTCTCCAACACTTGTTATTTTCTATTCTTTTCATAGGGCCATCCTAACAGATGTGAGATTATATTTCATTATGATTTTGATTTGTATTTCTCTAATGATTAGTAATGTTGAACATTTTTTCATATGCTTATTGGCTATTTGTATATCTTTTTTCAAGAAATGTTTATTAAAGTCTGTTGCCCATTTTAAAATCAGGTTATTTGTTTTTTGTTGTTGTTGAGTTGTACAAGTTCCTTATATACGCTGGATATTAACCCTTTATCAGTTGCAAACATTTTCCTCCTGTTCCATAGGTTGTGTTTTCACTTTTTTGATTGTTTCCTTTGATGTGCGGAAATTTTTAAGTTTGGTGTGGTCCCATTTGTCTATTTTTGCTTTTGTTGTCTGTGTTCTTGGTGGCTTGTCCAAGAAATCACTGTCAA
This sequence comes from Homo sapiens, assembly GCF_000001405.40. Lineage (NCBI taxonomy): Eukaryota > Metazoa > Chordata > Mammalia > Primates > Hominidae > Homo > Homo sapiens. The sequence goes on along the minus strand of NT_167249.2, from coordinate 154,814 downwards.
ATCCAATGTCCTGAAGCTTTTCCTCCATGTTTTCTTCGAGGAGTTGTATAGTTTTTGGTCTTATGTTTAGGTCTTTAACCCATTTTGAATTTTTTTTGTATATGTATAAAGATAAGGTCCAATTCATTATTTTGCATGTAGATAACCACTTTTTCCAATACTGTTTACTGAAGGCTCTGTCCTTTCTCCATTGTGTAGTCTTGGCATCATTGTCAAAATTATTCATCCATATATGCAAGGATTTATTTCTGGGCTCTCTGTTCCATTAGTCTGTATACCTGTCTTTATGTCAGTAATACAACCATCTTTTTTGTTTGAGACAGAGTCTTGCTCTGTCACCTGTCACCCAGGCTAGGGTGCATTGGCATGATCTCAGCTCACTGCAACCTCTGCCTGCCGGGTTCAAGCAATTCTCCTGCCTCAGCCTCCCAAGTAGCTGGGACTATAGGCACGTGCCACCATGCCCAGCTAATCTTTTGTATTTTTAGTAGAGACGGGGTTTTACCATGCTGGCCAGGCTGGCCTTGAACTCCTGACCTCGTCATCCACCCACCTTGGTCTCCCAAAGTGCTGGGATTACAGGCATGAGCCACTGCGCCTGGCCCCTACAACCATCTTCATTAGCGTTGCTTTCTAGTATGGTTCAAAATCAGGAAGAATGAGTTCTACAGCTTTGTTCTTTTTCAAGATTGTTTTGGCTGTTCAGGTTCCCTGGAGATTCCATATGAGTCTTAGGATGATTTTTTTCTATATTTTCCTATTTCTGCAAAATTGCCATTGAGTTTTTGATAAGAATGCCATTGAATCTGTAGATCACGTTGGATAATATGTACTTATTCACAGTATTAAAGTCTTCCACTCCACAAGCACAGGATGCCTTTCCATTTATTTGTATCTTGTCTGATTTCTTTTAGCAATGTTTTGTAGTTTTTCCCGCACAAGTCTTTTACCTCCTTGGTTCAGTTTATGCCTAAATATTTTATTCTTTTTGGTGCTATAGTAAATGGGATTGTTTTCTTAATTTTCTTTTCAGGTTGGTCATTGCTAGTTTGTAGAAATGCAACTGATTTTTGTGTGTTCATTTTATACCCTGCTACTTTTCTAAAGTTGTTTATTAGTTGTAACAGGTTTTTTTGTGTGTGTGTGGGAAGGTCTTCAGGGTTTCCACATATAAGATCATGTCATCTGTAAACAGATAATTTTAGTTTTCTTTTCCAGTTTGGATGACTTTTGTTTCTTTCTTTCGTTCTTTCCTTCCTTTTCTTTTCTTTCAAGACGGGGTCTGGCTTTGTCCCCATGCTGGAGTACAATGGTGTGATCTCGGCTCATTGCAACCTCCACCTCCCGGGTTCAAGTGAACCCTGCCTCAGCCTCCCAAGTAGCTGGGATTACAGGTGCATGCCATCATGCCCGGCTAGTTTTTGTAGATTTTTATGGTTATGGGGTTTCACCATGTTGCCTAGGCTGGTCTTGAACACCTGGGCTCAAGCAGTGCACCCTCTCGGCCTCCCAAAGTGCTGGGATTACAGGCTGTAGCCAGCGCACTGGGGCTTTTTTTCTTGTCTAATTGCTCTGAGTAGGACTTCTAGTGCTATGTTGAACAGTAGTGGTGAGAGTAAGCATCCTTGCCTTGTTCTAGATCTTAGAGGAAAAGCTAAGGCCACTGAATATATTACCTGTGGGCTTTTCATGTATGGCTTTTATTAAGTTGAGGTAGTTTCATTCTATTCCTAGTTTGCTGAGTACTTTTTTCTTTTTTCTTTTCTTTTTTCTTTTTTTGAGTCGGAGTTTTGCTCCCTTGACCAGGCTGCAGTGCAGTGGCGCCATCTCTGCTCACTGCAAAGTCTGCCTCCCGGGTTCACGCCATTCTCCTGCCTCAGTCTCCCGAGTAGCTGGGACTACAGGCGTCTGCCACCATGCCCGGCTAATTTTTTTCATTTTTTTTAGTAGAGACGGGGTTTCACCGTGTTAGCCACGATGGTCTCGATCTCCTGAACTCGTGATCCGCCCGCCTCGGCCTCCCAAAGTGCTGGGATTACAGGCGTGAGCCATCGCGCCTGGCCGCTGAGTGCTTTTTTCATAAAAGTGTGTTGAATTTTGTTGAATCCTTTCTGTATCTCAATTGAGATGATATTTGATTATTGCCATTCATTTTATTAACATGGAGTATTATATAACCCTGGATATTTCACTCCCAAGAGTGCTAATCCTCTGACATTAGTCTTCGTGGTGATGCAGTTTTTGGTATGCCCCCAGTCACCCTGGGATGACAGTGGTGCTGGCAATGTTCTTTTTCACTCTTTTTCTGACCACACCCTACTGTTGTGTTTCAGTTATTGCTGACCAGTTGTTGTATTGTTTTCAACAATGCCTTGAGGTATAAATTCCTCTATGAACAAATCCAATCAAAATGTAGCTCCTTAAATGGAATAGTTTCTGATGTAAGTATTTGATATTTGTCCTGACTCCAAAAGGGTTCCTCCTACCTGTCTTATTTCCTGATTCTCTCCTGCATACTAGCCAGACTACAGTTTAAGATCTATCTTTCTTAGATTCACAAATTTCCTCCCAATTACCTTTCATCAAAATCTCCACCATTCTTGAGAATGCCCTTAGCTTTCCACTTCTCTATTCTATGTTACAAATTAAATCAGTTATTTTGGGAAAGGATTGGAAGCTATCTACTTTTTGGCTCATTTATTTCTTCTTCTTCTTTTTTTTTTTTTTTTTTTTGAGATGGAGTCTTGCTCTGTCGCCCAGGCTGGAGTGCAGTGGTACAATCTCAGCTCACTGCAACCTCCACCTCCTGGGTTCAAGCGATTCTCCTTCCTCAGCCTCCATAGTAGCTGGAATTATAGGCACACACCACCAGGCCCAGCTATTTTTTTTGTATTTTTAGTAGAGATGGGTTTTCGCCATGTTGGCCAGGCTGGTCTCAAACTCCTGACCTCAGGTGATCTGCCCGCCTTGGCCTCCCAAAGTGCTGGGATTACAGACATGAGCCACCATGCCCGGCTGGCTCATTTCTTTCTATAGGAAAAATCTCTGAGCTAGGACTCTGGAGCTAGAGGTGGTAACAATTGCATGTTTCTCTTTGTGGAAGAAAAGTTCTAGATGCTGAACACTCAGTGGATGAAGTGCAGTAGTCTGAAATCCTCTTGGCTTGTATTTCCTGTTTTGAAGCCACTGCCTCACAAGCCGCAGTAAGAGCTATTAGCACCTTAGTATTCTCTGTGTGCCATGCTCAAGGTAGAGTATTAACTATGTAGGGGTGGCGGAAAAGCTTCCTCTCTGCCCACTGAAATTTGCTGAAAATGAAGTGACAAAGGCAGATTAATAAAAGAAAAAGACATACAAAATTTATTTAACATACATAAGCATGGGGTAATTGTAGGAGAGTGATTACCCAGTGTCCCAGTGAAGTTCAAATACATATATGCCCTTCTTCATAGGGGAAGGAGAGATTGAAGCTGATCATTTAGTATTCCTTTTTACAGTGACATTATATTGATGTACCATAGTTTTCTCAAATTGACCCTTTTGTCAGACATTTGGATTGTTTCCTTTTTTTTGTTTTTTTTTTTTTGAGATGGAGTCTCGCTCTGTCTCCCAGGCTAGAGTGCAGTGGCATGATCTTGGCCCCAGCCTCCCTAGTAGCTGGGGCTACAGGCACGTGCCGCCACACCCAGCTAATTTTTTGTATTTTAATAGAGACGGGGTTTCATCATGTTAGCCAGGATGGTCTCAATCTCCTGACCTGGTGATCCACCTGCCTCAGCCTCCCAAAGTGCTGGGATTACAGGCATGAGCCACCGCACCCGGCCTGGATTGTTTCCTTCTTTTGCTTTACAAATAGAGTTGTGATGAATAGTCATGCATCTGTTTTCCTTTTTATTTATTTAGTATTTATTATTATTATTATTATTTGAGATGGAGTTTTGCTCTCTCACCCAGGCTGGAGTGCTGTGGTGACATCTTGGCTCACTGCAACCTCTGCCTCCTGGGATTCAAGCAATTCTCCTGCCTCAGCCTCTTGAGGAGCTGCAATTACAAGTGCCCGCCACTACACCTGACTACTTTTTGTATTTTTAGTAGAGGCAGGGTTTCACTGTGTTGACCAGGCTGGTCTCAAACTTTTGGCCTCAAGTGATTTGCCGGCCTTGGCCTTCCAAAGTGTTGAGATTACAGGCGTAAGCCACTGTGCCTGGCCCTTTTTATTTTGATAGTATATATTAGGGATAGCTTTTTAGAAGTGGAATTTGTGGGTTAAAGGGTAAATAATTATACATTTTTTCTAGATACTGCAAATTTTCTGCCCTTGGAATTATACCATTTTCCATTCCCACCAGTACTCTATGAAAAGACTAATTTCTCGGCAACCTTGACAACAAAGTATGCTATCCAATCTAATTTAGTATGTCTTTCACTTATTATGAGTAAAGTCAGGGTATTTGGGGTATCCATCACTTTGAGTATTTATCATTTCTATGTGTTGGTTTCAGGTTATCTCTTCTAGCTACTTTGAAATATACAATACATTGTTGCTAACTATAGTCACCCTACTCTACTATCAACATTAGAGGCTGGCTGTGGTGGCAGGCACCTGTAATCCCAGCTGCTCAGGAGACTGAGGCAGGAGAATCACTTGAACCTGGGAGGTGGAGGTTGCAGTGAGCTGGGATGGTGCCACTGCACTCCAGCCTGGGCAAGACAGCCAGACTCCAACTCAAAAAAAAAAAAAAAAAAAGAACCTATACCTTCTATCTAATTATATGTTTGTACACATTGACCAACCTGCCTTTGTACGCAGCTCCAATGCACACACCCTTCCCTGACCCTGGTATCTATGATTCTACTCTCTACCTCCATGAGATCAACTTTTTAAACTCCCACATATGACTGAAAAGATGTGAAATTTGTCTTTCTGTTTCTCGCTTACTTTATTTAACATAATGACCTCCAGTTCCAATTACAATGGATTATATTAATATCTTTCCTAATAATGAGTGATCTTTACACTCCTGGAATAAACCCTACTTGGACATCCTGTATTACTGTTTTAAATGTGCTATTGTATTCTGTTTGCTATAAATTTTATTTAAGATTTAGGCATTACATTTCATATATTTCATATGTGAAATTGACCTGTAGTTTTCATTTTTAGTGCAAACTGAAATGTTATACTAACTTTATAAAGTGCTAGTGTCTATGCTTCGAATAATTTAAGTAGCATCATGATTTTTTGATATTTGACAGTTTGGTAGGATTTCTTTATGAAAGTATTTGAGCTTGGTGCCCTTTTTATTGAGTATGCCTGTTAAACTATTTTTCTTAACTGGTCTGTTTAGACTTTCTGTCTCTACAAGGGTTAGTTTGAGTATGCTACATTTGTCTAAAAAATCCACTAAGTTTGCCAGTTATTTGCTAGTTGTGTTATGTTATCTCTGATGATTTCAAAAAAGGTCTTCTGTGTTGATGATTATTTCCTCCAGTTCTAATTTTGTGTATTTGCACTAATTTTCTCTTTGTTGGCTAGAGGTTTGTCTATTTTGTTGACTTTCAAATATCCACCTTTTTTGTATCTTTATTAGTTATACTTTGTTTCTAACTCATTCTCTGAATTTGTCCTTACAACCCTTCCTTCCTCATTCTTTTGGTTTATTTTGTTGTTCATTTAGTAGCATCTTGAGCTGTGTTTGATTCATTTGTTATTTTTTGTTATCGATATAGGTATGTGAGGAAATAAATTTCCTTCTGATAAATGCTTTAGCTCTATCTCACAGATTCTATGTCACATTTGCACTTTTGTCCCTTTCAAGAAATTATGTAATTAAAATTTGTATTTCCTTCTTGACTCGAGTTGTATTATAGCATGCTTTAAAATTTTCAGGTGGAAGTGACTTTTATTTTTTATTTTATCAATTTCTAGTTTTATTGCATGATGGTCAGAGAATGATGTTTGTGTTATTTCTATACTTTGGAACTTACTGAGGTTTTCTTCTGTGGTCCGTTTTCATGAATGTTTCACAGGTACTACAAAAGAATGTGGTGCGGAGAGAGAGGTATACCGGACCCGAACTCTCTCGCCACACTCTTCCTCGTTCCTTGATTATTTCCGGTAATGCTCCTGAATCCACATTTTTATGAAAAAAAAAAAACCACTTTATTCTTCTTGTATGCGACCCTCTGCAAACTGTTTTTTTTAAATAAAGTATTCAAGTATGATTGACGTCCCTTTAATCTCAGATGGGCTGATAATAGGATTGGATAATTCTGTTATTCACCACATCCCCTTATCTTGTCTTTCTGCCCATTTAAGCTACTCTCCCAGTGTTGGCTGAGACCCTGTGGGTTCCTTGGGCTGGGAGGCAGAAGCCCGGAGCTCAGAGGATGAGGTTGGTGAGCCAGACCCGGCACACGGAGGGCTTGATGAATCGTTCATGCGCGTGTTGAGTGTATACCGCCCTCGTATCGTTTTCTGCCAATCGGGACCGGACCGGGAGCGGATTCTGCCCGAAAGGGGGCGCGATCTGGCGGGTGCTCCTCTTCCTCGCTCCCCAGTCCGCGCCTCGCTGGGCTCAGCACCCCGGCCCCCGGCGGGACGGAGGCTCGGGTCCAAAGCAGTGGCTGCACCGACACGAACCCGTCTGCGTTTCTCCACCTGTCTTCCCTCGCCACCTGCATCTACTATGGTCTCTAAATGCCTCGCTTTGTACTTTGTGGCTTTCTGGCAGCCCTTTAAAGCAGCGGTGAAAGAAAGGAGAGAGTCAAGACACGGGAGAAAATGTTTCATCCCGGGTTCTTCTAGTGGTGCCCGGTAAGTGACTCCGGACTGACGAGCAGAAAAATCCCAGGGCCATCAATAGAGGGCCTTCGGTGTAGAATGCGGTTTGCTCAGCTGTCAGCAAAGAGGGACGCAAAACCTAAATTTGAGATATCAGAAATAACTAAATAAAATAGACCTTGGCTGATTACAACTAATGGTTCTGAAACCTAGCAAAAGGGTCAGGTTCTGATCTTGAATATACTCTCGAGAGAACCGTTTCAGTACGGGGGTGTAGCTCAGTGGTAGAGCGCGTGCTTAGCATGCACGAGGCCCCGGGTTCAATCCCCGGCACCTCCATTTCTTTTGCTTTTAATTTTTTTCCCATTGCTTTACTTTATTTTCCTTGCTTAAACAGAAAGTAACCCTATTTCACAACGGTTTTGCCATTAATATTAGTGCTGTTCCATTTCTACTCCTCAGCCTTGACACGACTCGGGGGACTGCCTAAGCAAAAGGTGGAAAAGATGGAGCTGGAAGACAAAGACGGCTCCGGATTCCAAAACTTCAATGGCGTCGCCAAATTGACGAGCTCATTAACCTTTGGAGTATTGTTATTTAAAAAGTAGGAAATAAAAGATAAATGTGGAAATATTTAATAAAAGAAAAACGTAAGCTCTCAATTTTCTTTATTACTTTTTTTTTTTTGAGACGGAGTCTCTCGCTCTGTCGCCCAGTGGCACGATCTTGGCTCACTGCAAGCTCCGCCTCCCGGGTTTACGCCATTCTTCTGCCTCAGCCTCCCGAGTAGCCGGGACTACAGGCGCCCGTCACCACGCCCGGCTAATTTTTTCTATTTTTTTGGTAGAGACAGGGTTTCACCGTGTTAGCCAGGATGGTCGCGATCTCCTGACCTCGTGATCCTCCCGCCTCGGCCTCCCAAAGTGCTGGGATTACAGGAGTAAGCCACCACCGCTCCCAGCCGATTTCCTTTATTTTTTTTCTGGTCCTTGTTTAGCCATGATCCATCGCAGGCTGAGCCCTGACAAACGCAAAGCCTTCCAAACTGGGAAATTGAGAAAGTTATTTTCATCAATGAATGTAGAGGCGTCACACTTCTGCCGAAATAGCTCCACTGGGAAGCATGCTCTGCTGAAGATCTCAAAGTTCACGGACTGATTTCCAGTTTTATTCTGTCTTCACTCCTGCCGGATAATTTGACTTCCCTTAGATGACGTTACAGAAGTAATTTTACCTAAGACAGGTGCGCCCTCTATCGTAAGGATATCTTTCAGACTCTTGGTCCACACAAGAGTTGGTGGCACCGGAGAGCTTGTTAGAAGAGCGAAATCTCAGCTTCACCTCAGACGTACTGAACCAGAAGTAGCAATTTAACAAGATCCACAAGAGATTCTTTTGCACATTTAAGAAGCAATATGACGTGCTTTGACGTGGATGGAGTAAGGGTGTATAGTATAAATACGCGGCTGTGTTTTTTCCCCCAATTTTCTATTCTAACAGAAAACATAATTGCAAAAAATATATATTTCTATTGCTGAATCATTTTTGTGTTCTAATCATTGACTCTGTTCCTTGCCTCTCTGGCAATATTGTACTTAGTAATATTTTTTGAATCACTATTCATGATTGAATATGATGTGAAGTTTTCATTTTCTTTTTTTTTTTTCTTGAGACGGAGTCTCACTCTGTCGTCCAGGTTGGAGTGCAGTGGCGCGATCTCGACTCACTGCAACCTCCGCCTCCCGGGTTCAAGCGATTCTCCTGCCTCAGCATCCCGAGTAACTGGGACAACAAGCGCGCGCCACCGCGCCCGGCTAATTTTTTATATTTTTTTTAGGGACGGGGTTTCACCATATTGGCCAGGCTGGTCTCGAACTCCTGACCTCATGATCCGCCCGCCTCGCAAAGTGCTGGGATTACAGGCATGAGCCACCACTCCCGGCCTTTATTTTCTTTTTCGCAAGTTTTGCAATAAAGGCTGTGCTAACTTCTAATGTAAACTGGGAAGTTTGTATCCTTGCTCTGAAACATTTTAAATAGAATAAGACCTTGTAATCATTCCAGAATACACAGCCCTCTTCTCATCAGCTACCACCAAATCTTCAAGAACTTTTGTATTAACACCACTTTGTATTCTAAGCCCTGTGATAGATTTTAAAGATCCAAAACCCTTTGCTAACCCTAATGAAAGTGTGAGCTGAAGGATATCTCAAGAATTGGGAAATCCTTGGTTTCCGATATAATATCAGGCCACCTCTGTCCCTGTGAAGTGATTAGGAAATTTTCAATGGAGAAAATAAGTTCCAAAAGTCATTCTTTCTCAGATTAAGATGTCTTGGGTTTCAGTTTACTTCTTTAAAGAAAGATTCAGAGCTAGTACTGAGGACCCAGACTTTCTTGATGTGGGAAATAGATAATTTTCTGTTCTGTTGACATTTTTTCTCTCTCTTCTCTCATTTTCAAAGTACAGTTCCACAATGTCTCTTTGCCACTTATACTCACTGTGGCAGAAAAAAATTATTCACAGGCTTCAATCATGGGAATCAATTTGCAAAGGAATATAGTAAAAGCATGAGGAAAATTATCATGAATTATTACCATTGCTTTATGCTAGGGCTCAGGCCCAAATGGAAATATTTTTTTCTGCTCCCCACAATAGACTTCTTTAAGGAAGTCCACCTCTGTAATTTAGGGTAGAAATGGATAGGATGCAAAAACCAAGAGTTTAATATAAGAAAGCTATAGAAAATATAGGATGGAGATTTCAAAAACATCTTGGGACAATGAAAACAAATGACATATGACAGATAGAAGTACTTCTTTGAGAGCAAACAGTGCCTATCTTTGGCCTAGGACAATAGTGAATCATTTTAAGGTACATTGTAGATGAATTTTGGAAATTCAACTATATTTTATTTTGGGGTTGTATACTTCAATGAGATCATATTTTAAAAAAATTTTTCTCCACAGAGAAATTAAGGACCTCTTTCAAAAATCAGCTGGGCATGGTGGCGACCACCTGTAATCACTGCTACTTGGGAGGCTGAGGCAGGAGAATTGCTTGAACCTCGGAGGCGGAGGTTGCAGTGAGCCAAGATCATGCCACTGCACTCCAGCCTGGGTGACACAATGAGACTCCATCTCAAAAAAAAAAAAAAAAATTAAGGACTTCTGAGAGGAATGAGGACGTGGCCATGCGTGAGACCCTGGGTGAATGTGTGGGAAGCGGCAGGTGGGCAGGACCATTGGCTGCACAGTGATATGGAAGCAGACACAATCCATCAGGCCATGTAGTCAATCTGACTCAAAAGGTAGAGTTTTATTCTTTTCAAAGACATATTTAATTGAAGAAAAAAGATTATTTAACCCTTTACTGTCTAGTTCAGGAATTCTTTTTTAATATTCAATCAAGGTGGGAGACTTACAACAGTGTAATCAAACCTCCCTCTCCCTGTTAACAAATCAAGATGTAAATCCCAAAGAATATAGAGTGAATTCAATTTCTAGATTATCATATAAGAGCTCCTTACATGAAAACTATTACTCCACCTTTTTGTCAACTTTAAGAAAACAGTACTCAACCAGTTACAATCTTCTCTCTGGTTGTAGATTGTCTAGAGATGTCATTCGCATGTCTGCAGGCTCCCTGAGCAGAGTAATTGAGTATGAATGAGTTCTATCTCCTGAGATAAATGGTTGGTTCATCAGAAAAATCTCATATATTTGGAACTCATCCTATGTCTCCCCATGCATAGATATTTCTGAATGCTTACAGAAACTTAAACAATTCTCACAGTGTTCTCTGTACTTTGGGGCAAACAGAAAAAAAAAAAAAAAGAAACACCTCCTTGTGGGGAACTTCTGGTAATCTAACTGGTATCTTGGTTTCTTCAGGTGCAAGTTAGAGAATAATTACATGATGACTCTGGAAACAACTTTCACACCATCAAACAGTCTAGATAATTTTCTTTCTTTCTTTCTTTCTTTCTTTTTTTTTTTTTTTTTTTGAGACAGAGTCTTGCTCTGTCGCCCAGGCTGGAGTGCAGTAGCGCGATCTCGGCTCACTGCAAGCACCGCCTCCTGGGTTCACGCCATTCTCCTGCCTCAGCCTCCCGAGTAGCTGGCACTACAGGCGCCCTCCACTACACCTGGCTAATTTTTTGTTTTTTGTTTTTTTTTTTAAGTAGAGACGGGGTTTCACCGTGTTAGCCAGGATGGTCTCGGTCTCCTGACCTCGTGATCCGCCCGCCTCGGCCTCCCAAAGTGTTGGGATTACAGCCATGAGCCACCGCGCCCGGCCAAAACAGCCTAGATAATTTTTCTCACATCCTCCCAGCACTTTCACGCGCGCGCGCGCGCACAAACACACACACACCAGAGCTTGTAGAGTTTTGTGGGTGACACTTAAATACCCAATTTCAGTGAAACCTGCCATTATGTTTCCTCTTACCTATTCCGCTATCCCTATGAGCCAACAGAGAGAAATTCTGCCAAACCATAAGGTGTTCCCAACCTCGAAAGGGGCTCAGCAATATGCTTACCAATATAGGTAAAGTCATACATAAGGAGAATGAGAATGAAGATGAATGAGAAAAGATAACACCTACTGGGAAACTAGCCAGGAAATGAGACTTTCTGGGTCTTTTGTGAAAGTTTCAAGGCCATGGTGACAACCAGTGTGAATTCCAGGGTTGAAGATCAGCTAGGAAGAAGTTCATTTTTTTGCTTTTCACAACTATCAGTAAGTAAGTTTCTGATCTTCATATCTCAAAGGACACTTTGAGTTCTCATTGTACTCACACTGTATTGGTGCCTTCTACTCACTCCCACCTCCACGTATTCAGATCAGAGCACTGGGCTAAGTTCACTGTGTTTCACCAATGGGCAGGATCCTACGGAAGAATATGGTAAGTTCAACACGTTCCCAAACAAACTCACCTCCTCCTCCTAATATCTTGTCCATTCCTTCAAAGAACAATAAGCATCTCTATTCTGCTTTTTTTCCTCCTGTTTGTTGAGGCTCTCTTTTATGGATTCCCCACTTTCTGGCTTGCTCTATAAATCCAATAAGTCTTTGAATCCTGTGTCTAGCTACCTATGAATGTGCTTTCAAAATTTCAAAGTTTTTCTCCATCCTTGAATCTGCTATTTATTTCATGTCTTGAACATTATTCTGGACTACTCCATGAACCTCCTCAGTTGCCTTCATGCTGTAGTACAATCAAGAACCCCTTGGCAATGAATAACAGGTTGCATGTGGTTTTCATTCTCACCTGGGGTTTTCTCATCAAAGTTTTGCTCTTACCATTCCTGTGAAGCAAACAGCAATAGCAGAAGTGCTTTATTCAGGAAAAAGCTGGTCAGTTTTCTAACGCAAGTTTCCAGTATTCTGCGTTCCATTTCAAGCTTTATTTGCCAAAACTTCAATATCCCCCACAGCTGGGGGTCTTCCAACTTAAAATGGTCACAAATCCTGCTTCTAAACCCAACACTTAGTGCTAAAACAATGAACACAGGAATGGAGACCCACAGAATATAACGAGATATTCCTTTATTTTTCATTTTATTTAATTTTTTACATCTTTAGATTGGAGAAATACCTTTTTAGGGTTTTTGGGTTTTTGTTTGTTTGTTTTTTGAGACAGAGTCTCACTCTGTCCCCAAGGCTGGAGTGCAGTGGCGCCATCTCCGCTCACTGCAGCCTCCACCTCCCAGGTTCAAGAGATTCTCCTGCCTCAACCTCTGAGCAGCTGGGGTTACAGGCACGTGCCATCACGCCCGGCTAATTTTTGTATTTTTAGTAGAGACAGGGTTTCACCTTGTTGGCTCGGCTGGCCTCGAACTTCTGACCTTAAATGATCTGACCGCCTCCAACTTCCAAACTGCTGCGATTACAAGCGTGAGCTACCGTGCCCGGCCACCTTTTTAATTTTTAAGTTATTTTTTATTTCCATATTTTTATTGTTTTCATATACTGCAATAGTACTTGGAGGACGACACAAATATCTCTTGGCATGAGGAGATGTAGTTCAGTGATAGAACGTGTGCCTTACATATAGGAGGCCTCAGGTTCAGCTCCCGAGAACCTTCAACGGTCAGTTTCCGAGTTCTTAATACCACTCCTTAGTACAAAGCACATTCAGGTGTCCTACTCTCTTTTCGTTGCCTGTCACATGAGAAGTAAACACGTGACCCCAAGACGTTAATTTCTGTTTTTTTTTTTTTTTTTTTAGAGATGGAGTCTCACTCAGTCGCCCAGGCTGGAGTGCAGTGGCGTGATCTCGGCTCACTGCAAGCTCCGCCTCCTGGGTTCACACCATTCTCCAGCCTCAGCCTCCTGAGTAGCTGGGACTACAGGCGCCTGCCACTATGCCTGGCTAATTTTTTTTTTTTTTTTTTGTATTTTTAGTAGAGACCGGGTTTCACCGTGTTAGCCAGGATGGTCTCGATCTCCTGACCTCGTGATCCGCCTGTCTTGACCTCCCAAAGTGCTGGGATTACAGGCTTGAGCCACCGCGCCCGGCCTCTTTTTTTTTTAAGATTTTTTTTTTTAATCATTATACTTTAAGTTCTAGGGTACCTGTGCACAACGTGCAGGTTTGTTACATATGTATACATGTGCCATGTTGGTGTGCTGCACCCATTAACTCCTCATTTACATTAGGTATTTCTCCTAATGCTATCCCTCCCCTATCACCCCACCCCGCGACAGGCCCCGGTGTGTGATGTTCCCCACCCTGTGTCCAAATGTTCTCATTGTTCAATTCCCACCTATGAGTGAGAACGTGCAGTGTTTGGTTTTCTGTCCTTGTGATAGTTTGTTCAGAATGATGGTTCCCAGCTTCATCCATGTCCCTACAAAGGACATGAACTCATCCTTTTTTATGGCTGCATAGTATTCCATGGTGTATATGTGCCACGTTTGTTAAATTCAGTCTATCATTGATGGACATGTGCCTTACATATAGAAGGCACATTTGGGTTGGTTCCAAGTCTTTGCTATTGTGAATAGTGCCACAATAAACATACGTGTGCATGTGTCTTTATAGCAGCATGATTTATAATCCTTTGGGTATATACCCAGTAATGGGATGGCTGGGTCAAATGGTATTTCTAGTTCTAGATCCTTGAGGAATCGCCACACTGTCTTCCACAATGGTTGAACTAGTTTACAGTCCCACCAACAGTGTAAAAGTGTTCCTATTTCTCCACATCCTCTCCAGCACCTGTTGTTTCCTGACTTTTTAATGATTGCCATCCTAACTGGTGTGAGATGGAATCTCATTGTGGTTTTGATTTGCATTTCTCTGATGGCCAGTGATGATGAGCATTTTTTCATGTGTCCATTGGCTGCATAAATGTCTTCTTTTGAGAAGTGTCTGTTCATATCCTTTGCCCACTTTTTGTTGGGGTTTGATGGGGTTGTTTGATTTTTTCTTGTAAATTTGTTTAAGTTCTTTGTAGATTCTAGATATTAGCCCTTTGTCAGATGGGTAGGTTGCAAAAATTTTCTCCCATTCTGTAGGTTGCCTGTTCGCTCTGATGGTGGTTTCTTTTGCTGTGCAGAAGCTCTTTGGTTTAATTAGATCCCATTTGTCTATTTTGGCTTTTGTTGCCATTGCTTTTGGTGTTTTAGACATGAAGTCCTTGCCCATGCCTATGTCCTGAATGGTATTGCCTAGGTTTTGTTCTAGGGTTTTTATGGTTTTAGGTCTAACATTTAAGTCTTTCATCCATCTTGAATTAATTTTTGTATAAGGTGTAAGGAAGGGATCCAGTTTCAGCTTTCTACATATGGCTAGCCAGTTTTCTCAGCACCATTTATTAAATAGGGAATCCTTTCCCCATTTCTTGTTTTTGTCAGGTTTGTCAAAGATCAAATGGTTGTAGACGTGTGGTATTATTTCTGAGTGCTCTATTCTGTTCCATTGGTCTATATCTCTGTTTTGGTGCCAGTACCATGCTGTTTCAGTTACTGTAGCCATATAGTATAGTTTGAAGTCAGGTAGCATGATGCCTCCAGCTTTGTTCTTTTGGCTTAGGATTGTCTTGGCAATGCAGGCTCTTTTTTGGTTCCATATGAACTTTAAAATAGTTTTTCTCCAATTCTGTGAAGAAAGTCATTGGTAGCTTGATGGGGATCGCACCGAATCTTTAAATTACCTTGGGCAGTAGGGCCATTTTCATGATATTGATTCTTCCTATCCATGAGCATGAAATGTTCTTCCATTTGTTTGTGTCCTCATTTATTTTGTTAAGCAGTGGTTTGTAATTCTCCTTGAGGAGGTCCTTCACATCCCTTGTAAGTTGGATTCCCAGGTATTTTATTCTCTTTGTAGCAATTGTGAATGGGAGTTCCCTCATGATTTGGCTCTCTGTCTGTTACTGGTGTATAGGAATGCTTGTGATTTTTGCACATTGATTTTGTATCCTGAGACTTTGCTGAAGTTGCTTATCAGCTTAAGGAGATTTTGGGCTGAGATGATGAGGTTTTCTAAATATACAATCATGTCATCTGCAAACAGGGACAATTTGACTTCCTCTTTTCCTAACTGAATACCCTTTATTTGTTTCTCTTGCCTGATTGCCCTGGCCAGAACTTCCAACACTATGTTGAATAGGAGTGATGAGAGAGGGCATCCCTGTCTTGTGCCAGTTTTCAAAGGGAATGCTTCCAGTTTTTGCCCATTCAATATGATATTGGCTGTGGGTTTTTCATAAATAGCTCTTATTATTTTGAGATACATCACATCAATACCTAGTTTATTGAGAGTTTTTAGCATGAAGGGCTGTTGAATTTTGCCAAGATGTTAATTTCAATATTACGTTATTTAGACTTCATGAGCCTCAAAACCACTCAAGGCAGTTGGCAGAGTAGAATAAGCTTGTCATTGATTAGTTTCCTATGGCTGCTGTAACAAATTATCTCAAATTAGATGGCTTATAACAACAGAAATTTATTCTTTCACACTTCTGGAGGCCAAAAATCTGATATGAGTGCAGTAATGTGCTACATGTTGACATTTTAGTAAACCACAGACCACATATCCTACGGTGGTCTTATAAGATTATAAAGGAGTTGGCTGCGCACAGTGGCTCACGCCTGTAATCCCAACACTTTGGGAGGCCGAGGCGGGCAGATCACCTCAGGTTGGGGGTTTGAGACCATCCTGACCAACATGGTGAAACCCCCATCTCTACTAAAAATACAAAATTAGTCGGGAGTGGTGGCACACACCTGTAATCCCAGGTACTTGGGAGTCTGAGGCAGGAGAATTGCTTGAACCCAGGTGGCAGAGTTTGCAGTGAGCCAAGATCCTCCCATCGCACTCCAGCCTGGGCAACAAGAGCAAAACTCTGTCTCAAAACAAAACAAAATAAACTACCTGCTAAATTCTAATATAAATTGGGGAATTTGTATCTTTGTCTCAGCCTAGCAACATTTAAAATGGAATGGGAACCATTTGAGAAACACATATCGTCCAAATCTTGACATTATTTCAGAACACGGTCTTGCCTCTTCCTCACCTCAACAACCAATCAGCAACAGTGGAATATATATGTGTGTGTGTGTATGTGTGTGTGTATATATATGTATATGTACATATGACAAAAATTATTTCTCTAAACTATTTGATAATGATTTTCAGACATTATATCTTTTTATTCCTAAATACTTCAATGTGTATTTCCTAAGAACAAGGTCAATTTCTTACCACAGCACAATTATCAAATTTAGAGAACTTAACATTGATAAAATAGTATTCTCTAATATACAGTCTATAAAAATTTTAATTGTATCAATAAAATCTTTTATAGGAATTTCTCTCCCAAACTAGGTGCCATTTCAGAATCACATATGAATCTAGTTGTCTTGACTTTTCAGTCTCCTTCACTTTGGAACAGATTCTTAATCTTCTTGTCTTTCATGAATATGTTTTTGAAGAGCATATGCCAGTGGTTTTGTTGAATGTTTCTTAATTTGTGTAGTCATGGTTACATTCAGGTCATGGAAATGTCACAGAAATCATGTTACCCTCTATCACACCAAGAGGCATGTGATGTCAGTTTTTCTCATTATTTATTATTATTATTATTATTTTTTTTGAGATAGAATTTCGCTCTTCTTGCCCAGGCTGGAGTGCAATGGTGTGATCTCGGCTCACCACAGTTTTGTATTTTTAGTAGAGACGGGGTTTCTCCATGTTGGTCAGGCTGGTCTCGAACTCCCAACCTCAGGTGATCCCCCTGCCTCGGCCTCCCAAAGTGCTGGAATTACAGACGTGAGCCACCACGCCCAGCCCAAATGAGGATTTTCTAATTTTATCCTTACTTCCACATTTATCACTTGGCACACAACTGTAAGGAAAATCTTCCCATCTTCCATATTTATGTGTTTAAGTTCCCAAGATTGATAATCACTTATTGTCATCATTAATGCTCAAAATGTGTCAGATTTGGCCATTGAGATCCCTTTCAAGCTGGCTTCTCTGTCCTTTCAAATCATACCCATCAATTCTGAGCACCTACATTCTGGCACAGCAAGATATCTTAGGTTCATCTTGTAGTTTCCCTGGCACAGTCCCGGAGTCAGTGTAGTTGACACCAGTAGCTACTTTCTATCAGTATCGCTGGTTCCTTTTAGTAGGGAGTGGTATTTGAAAATCAATATATAGAATTATCTTTGCTCATTGCATCTGAGGTATCATTTCTTCTAGGCCCAATTAGCAGAGAGATCTGTGGAGAAATTTTACAATTAAGTGTATAATTTCATACTGATGCCTCTAATTCCCATCATCACCAATAGGACTATTCTTTACCTTCCTCCTTTCCCACAGTGAGAGCCTGGTTCCAACAACATACAGGCGCACACATGCTCATTTTTCCAATCCTAAAATTCACACAAAATATCAGAATTGCTATTGCCTTAGCATTACAGAAAATATTCCTGATACATAGAGTTTAAGATATGCTTGCTGTTCTTTTTCTTTTTACAATGAGAACAATGTATAAACCATTTTCTTAGGTCAATTCTTTCCTGAATTTTCAATGTGGTTATGTTATACTTTTGAAATGCTCTATTTGGAAATAGATTTGCTGATCCCAAATCAGGAACAGTGTTTTTCTTTTTACTGTTAACGTACCTTTTCTTGATGTAACCGTGCCTAAGAGAGGGGGCACTTAGATATAGGGAAATCATAAACAGTGGAATTGGAAACACATGGTAATTGTCTTTATGACATAGAGCACATACTCAGATAATGGTGGTCACCAGTTTTCCAAATACACAGGAGGTATGAGGGGGTATAGCTCAGTGGTAGAGAGTGTACTTATCATGCACGAGGTCTTGGGCTGATTCCCCAGTACCTCCAGAGGTCCATTTTCTTCCCTGTGGCACTGTAAGAAGAGCTCCATGACCTTCCCCAGCTGTCCAGAATGTCCTGCCTTGTCAAGATATTTGGGTTGACCTCTACATCTCTCTCTCATACAGAGAGGTAATTCGTGTTCATTCACTTAAGGTTATTTGCTGCTTACGATTATCCATCTATTCTTTCTAAGCAGTCCCAGCAGTCACTAAGGTGAACCACGCACTATGGAAGCAAGTACTACTCCTGGCCCTCCAGCCTATTTCTAGTTGTAAATGAAATAATCAGAAACCATAGAACCACGTGGCGCAAGTCCTTTCCTGTGTGTGGTGTTTGTTTGTTTGTTTGTTTGTTTATTTGTTTGAGACAGAGTTTCACTCTTGTTGCCCAGGCTGGAGTGCAATAGCACAATCTTGGCTCACCACAACCTCTGCCTCCCGGATTCAAGTGATTCTCCTGCCTCAGCCTCCTGAGTAGCTGGGATTACAACCATGCACCACCATGCCTGGCTAATTTTGTATTTTTAGTAGAGATGGGGGTTTCTCCCTGTTGGTCAGGCTAGTCTAGAACTCCCGACCTCAGGTGATCTGCCCACCTCAGACTTCCAAAGTGCTGGGATTACAGGCGTGTGCTACCATGCTTGGCCTTGTATTTCTTCTTCTAACCCAGGTTGCAGAAGCCCTACAAGCTTTCACTAAAAGATTTCACTGCCAGTGGCTGAGGACCTGATGTGCTGGTGGTCACTTTTTCCATTAGAAACCCACAAACTCTAAAACTTAATGTAAACTATTTAACTACAAGAATACAATAAATGGCAAATATAATGACAAATGAGAAAAAGATCACAGTCACTTCAGCTGACATTTGGTAGGGGGAACATATTTCTCTGGGTCCTCTAAGGAAGTTTCTGCCCTGAGATGCAAGCACTCGGAACTCCAGGAACCAAGATCAGTATAGGGTAAAGCTCATTTCTTTGTTTTCCATCAATAAAAATAATGAATGAACTTTTATTCTCCCAATCCCAATGGATCCTTTTCTACCTGCTGCACTTATTCTCCAGGAATAACCTCTTTCTAAGCTACTGAACAACCCACACCTCCAGATTAGAGCTCTTTGCACAGTTTCTGATGCTGGTATCACAGAGCTAAGCAGAATCCACGCGGGGATACTCTGCAAGCATCTCAATACTATCTCGTTAAAAGGAAATCGCCTTCTATTTTCAGCTCTATTTCATTTAAACAAAAGATAAAAAATTAAGTTACTCAACACCCAGAAGGCAGAAAAACGACCTCTCTCTGCATCTGCAGAAGCCAAGCAAGCTAGTGGGGCTTCCGTATGCATCCTTTCTTTTACTCATTTTCCAAACGCTGTAATGGTCCACCACCTACCAGGTGGTCACAAGCCATCGCTAAAGTCAATTTTGAGGTCAACCCACTCAACTTGTGAGGGATTCACCTATATTACCTCTGCACCTGTAATAAGACTAAGAAGACGGTGGCTGCACATGTAGTTAACACCGATTGTACCGCGACTTCGCCTTTCCGCAGCCTTTGTACCAACCTGCAGAGCCCTTTTGAGCCAAGAGCTGGACTTGAGGAGTAAAGAAGCTCATTGTAAACGCCAGGAGGAATTTCTTCAGGGTGAAGTTGACTTCCAATCGGCTTCATTCTAAAGGAAACATGTGGAGCAAACAAACGGGAACTTTCTTTCTCATCTTCTGCATTTCAAGCCTAATAAAATTAGACGTTTCCACTGTCCTGCTCAGTCTCGAAGCTGTCGGCAGATTCCGCTTTTAACTCTCAACACAGACACTCAGGAAATCGGGAAATCCCTGCAGCTCCCTCAGAAGCTATCAGTATCAGCGGTTCCCGAACCCGCAAACAAAAAACGCAACATCACGTGCTCCTCCAAAGAGCCTAGCCTGTCTATCGAGCGATGGAAAGAGCGGCGAGGCGCTCTCGCAGCCGTGGCAGTCTGGACGAAAAGAACCAGGTCCCTTTCCTGGTCTAGCCTACCTCCCTACCTCTCTTCCCTCATATCCAGAAGAAGCGACGGAGAGGTGAGTGCTTAGACTCACTCTAACATCCCGTCCATCCAAATCCTAATAATCTTGAGGATGCTTTTCCTTGTCCTCTACCCCTCTCCCTTTTTATGTTTCTTTCTCCACTTCACCGCACCCCGCCTCTTCCCTCTCTCCGCCAGCTGGCCCTCGGCTCCTCTCCACCTTCCCTCCCGTTTACTTCTGAATGAACTTTTCACAATAGTGCAGTGCACTCCTAGAACCATTTACACACATTCTAAGCACTGTGCTGAGATTTATATGTAGCCACTGTTTTAATTTCCACATCACTTTCCTTTTTTTTTTTTTCCTTCTCTATATGCTCAACTTCAAACGTTTTCTGCAGCATAGGCTGAGGCTGCGTCCAGATGGGGAGAGACGTCAGGCGGCGGGGATAAACCTGGAGGAATGTTGTTTCCTGTCTGGGGAGGTTCGGGCCTTACAAGAGGGAGAGAAAAAAAGAAAAAAGCCTGTAAGAGAATCTAAAATTTTTGAGGAAATTATTCAAAAAATATTTTAATTGACCCTCCCAACAAATTTTGGCTAAAAACAGAAAGCCTGGACTCTCTCGGAATAGGAGACTGAGTTTGAAAACTGTCCAGACATAGGGACGGTTTTATTAAAATTCAATTTGCAAGTCGTTGTTGGCTGTAGCTATTTCCTCATTCCAGAGAGGATTGTTTCTGAAATTCGGTAAACTCTGAAATTGTTTCTAAGTTATTTAACAAGAGGAGTCCAATGTTTTCACACTTTTGAAGTGATATAAGAATTTCTAGGCTGAGGTGGGAGAACGGATTGAGCCGGGAGGCGAAAGTTGCAATGAGAGGAGATTGCCACTGCACTCCAGGCTGGCAGAGTGGGACCCTGTCTCTCTCTCTCTCTCTCTCACTCGCTGGAATCTTCTCTCTCTCTCTCTCTCTATATATATATATAGAGAGAGATACATGTATATTTTATATTATATATAATATCTATATCAACAATATATTTACATTTTTAATTTATATATATTTCATATTTATATGTGTGTGTGTATATATATATATATATATATATATATATATATATATATATATATATAACGTGGTCACACTAAAATAAACATATGCTTGCCTTTTCCACCCCTGGCTCTCTGTACCACCTAAGGTGGATGTGTTAGCACTAGATCAGTAAAAGGAAGGAAACAGAGAAAAAGAATTGGCTCGCTCAGGATTTCTTCAGTCGGAAGCTATAAACCTACTACCAGGTTAACGTGTTCAATAATCTTCTGTTCCTTTTTGCCATGTCATTGAAGAGCAAGACAGAAAACAAAACAAAAAAGAGCCAAAAGGAGAGAAAAGGAAAAGTCTAGATAATTTCATTTTAGTTTTAGATAGTTTCCTTTAGTTTTCTGAGCGGTGTTTCCAAGGTGACCAAGCATGGGAGCATCTATCTTGCTGATTTGACCTATTCCTCGCCTTTTTTTTTTTTTTTTTTTTTTTAGAGACAGAGTCTCGCTGTCGCCCAGGCTGGAGTGCAGTGGCGCGATCTCGGCTCACTGCAGCCTCGAACTCCCTGGTTCAAGCGATTCTCCTGCCTCAGCCTCCGAAGTAGCTGAAACTACAGGCGTGCGCCACCTCTCCTGGCTAATTTTTATATTTCTTGTAAAGAAGGGATTTCACCATGTTGGCCAGGCTGGTCTTGAACTCCTGACCTCAAGTGATCCACCCTCCACGGCTTCGCAAAATGCTGAGATTACAGGCGTGAGCCACCGTGCCCGGCCGTCTCGTCTTTTCTTTCCCGTCTTTTGCCGGGGAAAATTGGATCCTATTTTCATACATAAATTACAGCAGAATTTATATTTTTGGATTGGGGGGAGGTGAGTGAATGACGGGTGATATTGAAGACAACCGAATTAGGCGTTGGAAGATACACTGACCTTACAAATTGCAGTTTTTATAATTTGAAGAAATGACCAACGGGACAGCTCCAGAGTAGCCGAAATAGCTCAGTGGGGAGAGCGTTAGACTGAAGATCTTAAAGGTCCCTGGTTCAATCCCGGGTTTCGGCAGATACCTTTTGGTTGTTGCATAATTGTCTTTCCTTTATACAACACTTGCACACCAATCCCAGAGGTCTATATATAAGTCCCATTTTTTGCTTTTTGAAAATTCCATAAAGGTAATGTATATATATATGTATGTATATTTGTATCACTCTCTCCACTGAAGTCTTCCATGAAGTGTTAACTGATGGTATGTAAATTATTTAAAATCTTAAATCTAGAAAGTTACTAATTTTAAAACCTAAGAAATTCCAATATGCTATAGACTGTGGCAATTACAATTCATTTCTGATTTGATGTTATTTATGTGTGTTGGGCAGGGGTGTTTTAAATCACAAGAACTATGAAGAAACCTGTAGAAGAACTATTATGCTGTATGAGTGTATATATGTGGTAGTGGTATATTCAAGAAACATTTTGCAATTCCAAAAACCTCGGTTTGGCCGGGCGCAGTGGCTCAGGCCTGTAATCCCAGCACTTTGGGAGGCCGAAGCGGGTGGATCACGAGGTCAGGAGATCGAGACCACGGTGAAACCCCCGTCTCTACTAAAAGTACAAAAAAATTAGTGGGGCGCGGTGGCGGGCGCCTGTAGTCTCAGCTACTCAGGAGGCTGAGGCAGGAGAATGGCGTGAACCCGGGAGGCGGAGCTTGCAGTGAGCTGAGATCGCACCACTGCAATCCAGCCTGGGTGACAGAGCGAGACTCCGTCTCAAAAAAAAAAAAAGAAAGAAACACCTCGGTTTGTATCTTGAGTCAACTCCATAGCTCTGCAGTTAAACTGCTGGGAAAATAACTTTCTTTTTTTTGAGACGGAGTCTCGCTCTGTCGCCCAGGCTGTAGTGCAGTGGCACGATCTCGGCTTACTGCAAGCGCCGCCTCCCGGGTCCACGCCATTCTCCTGCCTCAGGCTCCCGAGTAGCTGGGACTACAGGCGCCCACCACCACGCCCAGCTAATTTTTTGTATTTTTAGTAGAGACGGGGTTTCACCATGTTAGCTGGGATGGTCTCGATCTACTGACCTCGTGATCCACCCACCTCGGCCTCCCAAAGTGCTGGGATTACAGTGTGAACCACCGCGCCCGGCCCTGTTTTGTTTTTTTGAGGCAGGGTCTCACTCTGTCACCCATGCTGGAGTGCAGTGGTATGATCACAGCTCACTGCAGCCTCAGCCTCCCTGGACTCAAGCGATCCTCCCATGTCAGCCTCCTGGGTAGCTGAGACTACAGAAATGCAACAACAAGCCTGGCTTTCTCTCTCTCTCTTTTGTACTTTTTTTTTGTAGAAACTGGGTTTCACCATGTTCCCCCAGCTGTTCTTGAAATCCTGGGCTCAAGCAACCTGCCCGCTTCTGCCTCCCTACGTGCTGGGATTACAGGTGGGAACCACCGCACCAGTCCTAATTACAGGAATATTTTTAAGTTTCTTACTGACAGGACATTTCTTTAGCCTGGAAACCTTGCCTAGAATTTCCAAATCTTAAGTTATTTCCTCATTGGTATCCAGGAAAGAACAAAAATAAGTCTTTCTTTCTTTTTTCTTTTTTTTTTTTTTTTTGAGACAGAATCTTGCTATGTTACCCATGCTAGAGTGCAGTGGAACGATCTCAGCTCACTGCAACCTCCGCCTCCCCGGCACAAGCAATTCTCCTGCTGCAGCCTCCCAAGCAGCTGGGATTACAGGCGTCCACCACCATGCCTGACTAATTTTTGTATTTTTAGTAAAGACGGGATTTCACCATGTTGGCCAGCCTGGTCTCCAACTCCTGACCTCGTGATCTACCTGCCTCGGCCTCCCAAAGTGCTGGGATTATAGATGTGAGCCACTGCGTCCAGTCAAAAATAAGTATTTCTAAATTAATTATTCTGTCAAGACTCAGGTGGATGTGCCCCATTTTCCTTTTTTTTACTTCAACTCCTCTCTTGAAATTTTGTGTTGGGATAATGGGCCTTTTTTGTCCTGTTTTTTTTTTTTTTTGTCTGATTTTTTTTGGTCATTTTTAATATCTTTTCTTCTTTCAAATTGGTGTTTCATTTTCAGTGTTATTTTCCCCTAACACCTGCATACTGTGTGAGGAGACAATAAACTACAGTACTCCAACATCAGAACTGCATCAAATTGTGAAAGGAAAATTGGTACCAAATGAGAGACCAACCTCAGGGTGGGGACATTGACTGTACAGGAACTAGGAATCAGATACTTTACCCTTTAAGTCACTGAGGCTTTCTCAACTCAGAAGCCTGTGTTTTATTTCATTAAGAAATATTTGATAGGCTGGGCGTGGTGGCTCACGCCTGTAATCTCAGCACTTTGGGAGGCTGAGGCGGGTAGATCACCTGAGATCAGAAGTTTAAGACCTGCCTGGCCAACATGGTGATACCCTGTCACTACTAAAAATACAAAATAATAATAATAACAATAATAATAATAATAATAATAAATTAGCTGGGTGTGGTGGTGGATGCCTGTAATCCCAGCTACTCGAGAGGCTGAGGCAGGAGAATCCCTTGAACCCGGGAAGCGGAGGTTGCAGTGAGCCAAGATCGCAACATTGCACTCCACCCTAGGCAACAAGAGCAAGACTCTGTCTTAAAAAAAGAAAAAAAAAAGGAAACATTTGATTAGACAAATGGCAGGATTGAATGTTTTCTTGCCTAGCACAGTAGTGATTCCTTTACATTTTGTTGAAATGAAACGCCTAGGGTAATTCTAAGCATGATTCGTCTCTCATTCAATACCTTAAAAATGAGGCTAATAATGATTATGTAAAATGGGATGTTGCAAAGGTCTAAGGAGATCATGCATGGAAATGCATTTAGTCAAGTCCACTCGCGGCATGAAACCTAATTACTGGCAGACCATGCTCCATGTCCTTTGGCTCTGGGATTCTCCCAGAACAGCACCTAAATAGATAACATCGTCTCTAGACAATGCTGTCCAATCAAAAGATACTACAAGTCTTCTGCTTTAGCTTCTGGGATAAAAAGAATTTTTAAAAAAGTTAATACAAATCTTAAATGAGAGCCACTTCTGTAGTTTTAAATTTTCTAGTAGTCACATTTAAAAAATAAACAGGCAATACTTATTTTATATAATTTTTTAACAATTTCAACTTTTAGATAGGCAAGGTGGGTCATACCTGTAATCCCAGCCCTTTGGGAGGCCGAGGTGCGCGGAACACCTGAGGTCAGGGGTTCAAGACCAACCTGACCAATATGGTGAAACCCTGTCTCTAATAAAAATACAAAAATTAGCTGGGTGTGGTGGTGCATGCCTGTAATTTCAGCTACTTGGGAGTCTGAGATAGGAGAATCACTTGAAACCTGGAGGAGGAGTTTGCAGTGAGCCCAGATAGCGCCACTGTACTCTAGCCTGAGAGACAGAGCAAGACTCTGTCTCAAAATAATAATACTAATAATAATAATTTCAACTTTTATTTTAGATTCAGGGGGTACATGTCCAGGTTTGTTACATGGGTATAGTGCATGATGCTGGGGTTGGGGTGAGATTAATCCCATCACCTGGGTGGTGAACATAGTATCCAATAGTTAGCTTTTCAAGCCTTTCCCCTTCTCGCCTCCCCCTCTAGTAGTCCCCAGTGTCTATTGTTTCCATCTTTTATGTCCAGTTTTACTAATATATGTAAATCACCTTGCATGTCCAAAATATTATTTTAACAAGTAATCAATCTTAAAATTATCAGTGAGACATTTTATGTTTAAAAAATGATATTACATCTGGCCAGGTGCGGCGGCCCATGCCTGTAATCCCAGCACTTTGGGAGGCCGAGGAGGGCAGATGACAAGGTCAGGAGTTTGGGACCAGCCTGGCCAGCATGGTGAAACCCTGTCTCTACTAAAAAAAAAAAAAAAGAAAAAGAAAAATTGCCAGGCATGGTGGTGCGCGCCTGTAGTCCCAGTTACTCAGGAGGCTGAGGCAGGAGAATGGATTGAACCCAACAGGTGGAGGTTGCTGTGAGCCAAGATTGCACCACTGCACTCCAGGTTAGGTGGCAGAGCGAGACTCCATGAAAAAAAAATTACATCTTTGAAATCTGGTATATATTTCTCACTTTCAACACATCTTAACTTAGACTAGGCAATTTTCAGTACTCAATACCCAATGTGGCTAATGGTAACCATATTGGACAGTGCAGATTTAAACATATACTTTATATATTTTTAGGTTTTCGAAATTGAGTGTGTATGACAGGGTGTTCTGTCTTCAAAATTAAATGTTTAATTTCTCAGAAGAATGCTATGTTAAATGAGCTCATCCTACAGATTTCACACAAAAAACATGTTTCAATCGTGTTGCTGGTAGATAGTCTGAAGATAGCTACAGATATTTAATTATTTAAAATTCTCCCATTTTTATGAGGCAACCTTCTTATTATGAATTCCCAAGAATCCAATAGACAGCCAAGTTTCTCTGGGTGTAACACAACATAAAGATGAAGGAGAGTTTCTGCAAACTGTCCTAATATTGCTTTTACAGCATCAAAGAGCCAAGATAATCCTTCCCATCATTTACATGCACACACACAGACACAGTCAGGCAGGCAAACACACATGAATACACATCAATTTTGTCTATAACAATTCTCTAGTTTCTCCTTCAGTGAAGTCTATCACTCAGTGTTTCCTATTTTTATTCTAGAAATCCCATCAGCCAACTGAAAAGCCAAGTCTGACATACAACTTGCAATTTGGCAATTTTGAAAGCCATCAATGTTACTTTATTAACATTGGCAAAGGCTCTTATATAGGCAAACCAGAATGAGAAAGAGTTAATAGTCACTAGAAATTTGGTGCTGAGAAATAGGTTTTCTTCTCATCTTCTTATGTAATTCAAAGGACACACGATAAGTCCCAAGATTCAAGAACTTTTGAATTCAAGAACAAACAAACTTGTTTGTTCACTACAAATATCACGAATAGGTTTGTAATTTCCATATCTCAAAGTACACTTTTTTAGTCTTTATCCATCCTCCATGTAATGTGTCTACTACTATTAATGCTTACAAATCCCAGGCTAGAGACAGAGTTAATTGCCTGAATTCTCTGAGAAACATCCTCACAAGTGTGCCCCACAGATACTTTAAATTGAGTATGAGCCAAACTAACTCATCTTCTCCATCTTCCAGTCTATCTCTCATTCCTAAAAGAGCTGTTAAAACCTCTCCCCTTTTCTGCACCTACTGTGTTTGTTTTTCTAAAGCATTCTTCAACCCTGTTTGTATTTATCTTCGGTCTTATTCTCATAATTCAACCCTTCTCTCCATCCCCATAGCTGTTTTTCATTCACGCCTTATGAATCCCTTCCCCTCCCCTCCCCTCTTCTCCCCTCGTCTCCCCTCTTCTCCCCCTTTCCCTCCCCTCCCCTTCCCTTCTCTCTCTGTTGCCCAGGCTGGAGGACAGTGGCACAGTCATAGCTCCCTACAACAACTAACTCCCGAGCTCAAGCGATCCTCGTGCCTCAGCCTCTAGAGTAGCTGGGAGTACAGGCGTAAGACACCACGCCAGCTAAGGACCCTTATGAAAAAATGCTAAGTGCATCGCTGTCAGGTTTTCTTCTGATTGTGGCTTTCCTCCATCAAATCTTATCTTTAATATTCCGATTGAGCAAACAACAATTATGAAGCGTTTTAGGCAGGAAAAGGCTGAATTTCAATGGCTTTGTGTCGTATCTGGGAGAAATTAAAAGAAACGAAAACCTGAACTTGATTCTTGCCAAGCATAATAGAAGGAGACCCTAAGAACTCAACGTCTTGAGGCCACAATGGAAACTTCTTGTGGTTATTATCTGACACTTTTCTAATCTTTCGTTTTTCGTTTCAAGTCCTACACAGTATTCTAAAGAATCTGTATCCCCCATTAGTACCAAGTATCTCCTGCTCAGAACAGCTCTCCGCACTCCATAATACTGACCACTACTACCAGCATGCTCACGGAGTCTCAGGAAATGAAAGTTACCTCCTGAAAATTATTACAAAGAGACCTTATAGTAAGGGGGTGTAGCTCAGTGGTAGAGCGCATGCTTTGCATGTATGAGGCCTCGGGTTCGATCCCCGACACCTCCAAGCGATGGTTTTGCTCTGGTAGTTTTCAAGCGACAGACTTCTGCCTCCTCACGTTTTTCTATCCTATTTCTGCACATATAGACAGTAAAAGTGTAGCCCAATGTTCAGCCTTGAACTATCTCCACTGGTTATGCTGTGAACCTCGACATCACCAAAGGCGATTGCCACAGCAGAAGGGAGACAAACAAGAAATGAGGGGGAAAGAAGAACGGGATCGCAACACGGTCTCTTGAACCCAAACAAAAGCGTGCACATTCACAGGCGGCTCGCGTTCACTCCCATTTTGTACTATGATTAATGAGACGCAAAGACAAAGGAGAAGGGAGAAAAGCGCCCTGAAGGCATCTATTTTTTTTTAAGTTATTTTTGTTTTCTGGGCCAAAGAACAGAGCGAAAGCCTCTGTTCACTGATTTCTCCACCAGTCTCTCCCTGTCTACCTGCGCGGAGAACACAGCTACCAGTGTGATCCAGTACTGAGACAAGGGCTGTGGCTCTCCAGTCGCTTGAGATGGGAGTGGCAGGGCGCTGGATAACCACACGAAGACTGTCGGGGAATTAGAGGCCTTCAACGTGCGAGAAGCAGAAACCAATACGGATCAACATTCCCTACTGATATTCCATAAGACTGATTTGTATTCCTGTATTTCCTCAGTCACTCCATTTTCCTCTTTACAATAAAATATTGCCTGGGAACTTCTGGTAAGAGCAAACGGAGGCCCCATATGAAAAACTAGGAAAAGGTTTTCTGTCACAATGCAAAATACATGCAGACTAAAAGATAAGTAGATCGCAGGTGTGTTGGGCACTTCCTGCCTTGGGAAAAAACAAACAAACATTTCATGTTCTTTCTCGATCCACCTGATTACATCGCTTTTTTTGGAGAGGGAACTCCCAAGAAATCCTATGCACTCATGAAACCTTTTATGGTTTCCAACGGTGTATGGTTTCAAAACTGCTGTTCTCTCTGTACATATTTCCTATTGAATTAAAGTGTCTTTGAGAGGCAAGAGAGTATGATGTTTGTTCCTAGTCCACCAGCCTATCAGGCTGGCATGATAGATACACTCTATGAGGCTAACATGACCTTACTTGATTCTTTTGTCCAGTGAGAATATCTATAACCAGCATCCAGGAGGGATACTGTCTGATGAAACCTGCTTAGCTGAGGACTGGCTGTGTGTGTGCCTCCAGACCAATCATATGTTTGTTTTGAGACACATTTTTTGGAGGAAGGTAATACACACATGCCATGTATTTTCTTTTTGTTTCATACTTCTTCTTCTTTAATTTCCTGGTATCCATTGGTTCTCTCCAGGCAAACAGTGGCATGTTAGCCACAGTGGACACTGCATAGGAGAGCAAGGGGTGGAGGATTAGGGTGCTGCAATCAGAATAATAAATTTCAGGCCCAACCTTAGGTCTATTGAATCAGAACTGCTGAGTATGGATGGGGCTCAGCCTCCTGTGTTTGAATAAGCCTTCAAGTGACTCTGATGCTAAAGTTTGTGAAGCACTGCTCTAGAAGTTTCAGGAAGTCCCAGGGTCAGGCACCTGCTGAGGAGGAAGAGTTGGTCCTGGGGTTCCCTGCCTATTCTCAATCAAAAACACAAACCTAGGAAAGCCAGTGAGGTTTGTATTCGTCTTATGTCAGGGATGGGGTTGAATTTACCATTTCTTTGACCCTTTGAATATTTATGCAACTTTTCAGGTCACACACAACAGACTGATTTTCCTGTGGAGGAACTCACAGGAATTCTCTTGAACCAGGAGACTCTTTTGAGCTGAAATACCTGGAGCTCTCTCAAGCTATTTGGGCCTTGCAATTTGAAACCCAGGCTTGGACGATTCTAAGCCCTGTGGCAGAGAGTAATCATTTTCTCTCCACCCTCAGGGTGAGGACTCATCCTCAGGGTTGGGAGTGACTGCTGTCTCTCCAGCCCCCACCAAGTCTACCAATGTTCTGGTTGTTAAAATCCAGCATATGCATGAAATGTAATAAAAGTATCTTTGCAACAGTAAGTAGAGAGTTCCTCGTTGTGAGCAGACCATTCCTCTTCCTCCTTGGAAAAAATTCTGTATCCACTTTCTACATTTTCACGTTTGTCTCTTCCTCTACACACACCTCAGCTGCTGCTTTATTTACACTTGTCTCATGTAAGGATCTTCTTTTATGTGGTAACCTTGGCTTTTCCCACTGTTCTTGCTTCCACGAGTTAAATGCAGGCAATATAGGAGCCGACTGCAAAATGTAGGTGATATTGTCCAGAAAGAAACCCGAATTTCAGAGGCTTGCTGATGTGGAAGAAAGCCAAGATATTAGACTCATAGAGCTTCACTCTGCTAGGTAGGTTGAAATCTGGACACCCTGAATTCCATAAAAACAAGGTAGTACTCCTTCTGAAAACCCTCGTAAGTTTAAAATATACTGGGACTGCCTTACCTTTCTTGTTTTTCATGCCTTGTATTCCAAGCTTGACAAGCTATAACAAAAACAAAAGCAAAGAACACTCTTCCTATCTATAACAAAGGACCCTATGCTTCAGCGGGAGGGTCTCTCTTCCCGGTTAAACACTCTCCCCCTCGCTAACAGTAGGGATTGGAAATAGGCGGCTTCTCTGTCGTTTCCTTGGAAGCCACTAATACCACCCGCCTGTACCAAAACTCAAGGGTACCCGTTCTCCCCAGTGCCCCAGCCAGTAAAGGAGCTGCGAGGCGTTCTCAACGCCGCGACTGCCTTGAGCAAAACGAGGGAGATCTTGCGAGGAAAGTGTTTTCAGCTCACTTCTCCAACAGGGAATGAGCCCTCTCGCTTATCGCGGACAGCGAGGAAAAGCAGCGGAGATGGGCTTCCGGGCTGCACTCCGCCTTCCGGCCCACCCAGATCCTCTGGCAGCCTCGGGCGCTCGCCCACTTCGCTTCTCCTCCGCCTTTGCCGCCGCCGCCGCAGGTGCGCACCCCACCGCGTCCCTGCTTCCCTCTCGAACTCTTTTCGAAGGTGGTCCTCGTTCTCCTCTCCATCCATCGTTTCTTGAGTGTCAGAACTGGAGCCATAGCGTCCCCAAGACGAAATCCATGCTGGGTTTCGCGACCATGGTGCTGGCCCAGGCGCTGGCAGGGTAAGGACGGGCAGCGACCCACGCTCCTGGGTCTTCGTTTCTAAGAGCTGGGAATTCCACTTTCTCACCTCCTCACCTGCACCTAAATCCCCCGAGACGGTACTGACCCTTCTGTTTTAGTATCCATCTACGTTACTCTTGATAGAAGAGTACAGCCCTTGAAGGAAGAGGGAAAAGAAATTTGAGAAGGGAGAATTTAGAAAAACCTTTTTAGTTTGAAATTATTTCAAACCTACAGAAAAGTTGCAAAAATGATACAAAGAACTGCCACACACAAGTTACTCATATTTACCAATTCCCGATATTTTGCCACAATGATTCTCCTCTCTCTTTACGGCTAAACACACACACACACTATTATTTTTCTCATGTACTTTATTATTTATTTATTTATTGAGACAGGTCTTGCCCTGTCGTCCAGGCTGGAGTGCAGTGGTGCGATCTCGGCTCACTGCAACCTCCGCCTCCCGGGTTCATGCGATTCTCCTACCTCTGCTTCCCAAGTAGTTGGGATTAGAGGCATGAGCCACCATGCCAGGCCATTTTTTGTATTTTTAGTAGAGACGGGACTTCACCATGTTGGCCAGGCGGGTCTGGAACTCCTAACCTCTGGTGATCCGCCCGCCTCGGTCTCCCAAAGTGCTGGGTTTACAGGCGTGAGCCACCCCGGAGCTTCTGTGTTCTTTTAAATCATCCCCATCATTCTGGCACAGCAAGATATTTTAGGTTCATCTTGTAGTTTCCCTGGCACAGTCCTGGAGTCAGTG
The DNA here is from genome assembly GCF_000001405.40 of Homo sapiens. Lineage (NCBI taxonomy): Eukaryota > Metazoa > Chordata > Mammalia > Primates > Hominidae > Homo > Homo sapiens. Next base: position 122,596 of record NT_167249.2, on the reverse strand, counting down.
TAGTTGACACTAGTAGCTACTTTCTATTAGTATCTCTGGTTCCTTTTAGTAGAGAATGGTATTTGAAAATCAAAATATAGAGTCATCTTGCTCATTGTTTCTAAGGTATTTCTTCCAGGCTCAGTTAGCAGACAGATCTGTAGGGAAAATGTACTATTTTTATTTTTTGAGACAGAGTCTTAGTCGCCCAGGCTGGAGTGCGGTGGTGCGATCTTGGCTCGCTGCAACGTCCGCCTCCCGAATTCAAGCGATTATCCTGCCTCAGCCTCCCGAATAGCTGGGACTACAGGGGCGGCCACCACACCCGTCAAATTTTTGTATTTTTAGGAGAAACGGCGTTTTGCCATGTTGGCCAGGCTGTTCTCGATTTCTGACCTGAAGCGATCCACACGTCTCAACCTCCCAAAGTGCTGAGACTACAAGCGTGAGCCACCGCGCCCGGCCTATACAATTACGTATGTATAATTTCATACTGATGCCTCCAATTCCCATCAACACCAACAGGACTATTCTTTACCTGCTTTCTCTTACAGTGACAGCCTGTTTCCAACAACACACGCGCTCACACACACTCATTTTCCCAATCCTAAAATTCACACAAAATCTCAGAATTCCTGCAGCCTTAGCTCTAAAAAAAAAACCCTCATACATAGAGTTTAAGATTTGTTTCCTCTTCTTTTTGTACTTACAATTAGAACAACGAACTTTGTCAAGCATTTTCTTAAATCAGTTATTTCAATGGGGTTATGTTATTCTTTCACAATGCAGTTTTAATTTGCCTCTATTTGTGTTGAATTTTAGGGTATTTTCACACACACTTGAGTCAGTTTTATTTTTTGACCATGTGAGACTAACACGCTTCCAAGAGTCAAAAGAATACAGAACATTATAATCAGAAAATTTGCAAGAGAATGTTGTATGCCAGGACACACTCAAATGATTGAATGCAAGTATGCTCCAGGAAATCTAACGCGATGGGGAGCCCACCGTGGGGTGAGTTGATCTTGGACTGACCACAAATCAGGAACAGTGCCTTTATTTGTACTATTAAGCTACCTTTCTTTTGGTGTAGCAGGGCCTAAGAGAGGAAACACTTCCTGTAGGAAATTGAGAGTGGAATTGAAAACATAAAGATTATCATGACACAGAGCCCAGACTCAGACAATAATAGTCATCAAAATATTCTCTAAAAGGTAAGTCTTCCAGAGGGGGTATAGCTCAGCGGTAGAGCGCGTGCTTAGCATGCACGAGGTCCTGGGTTCAATCCCCAATACCTCCAGGTTTTGTTTTCTTCCCCGGGCACTAGTGAGAAGCGGTCCATGATATTCCCCAACTTTAAATTTTTCTGTCTGTCAAGGTGAATTGTGTTGGTCTCTGCATTTCTCTCTCATACACAGAGGTGACTCGTGTTTATTCCTTTGAATCTATTTGCTGCTTAGGATTATCCACTTATATTTTCTAAGCAGTCCACCAATCACTAACATGAACCACGCACGAGGGAAGCAAGCAGTATTCCTGGCCATGCAACCAATTTCTAGTTGTAAATGAAATCATCAGAAACCATAGAACTGTGTGGCCCAAGTCTGATTTCAGATCAGAAGCTAAAAAGGCTCACGTCCTTTTCTGTTTCTTCTTCTAACTCCCTCTAACCAGGTTGAGAAGCCCTACAAGCTTTCACTAAAAGATTACACTGCCGGTGGTTGATGATTTGATGTGCTGGTGGTCACTTTTTCCATTAGAGACCCACATAGTTTGAAACTTAAACTATTTAACTACAAACACAAGGCAAATGATGAAAAGATAGCAGTCACCTCAGCTGAAATTTGGTGGAAGTAAAAAGTACTTCTCTGGGTCCTCAAGGAAGTTTCTGGTCTGAGATGCAAATACTCTGAACTCCAGGAAACAAGATCAGTATAGGAGAAAGCTCATTTTGTTGTTTTTCATAAATAAAAGTAATGAACGTTTATTCTCCCAAGCCCAACGGATCCTTTTCTACCTGATTGTACTTACTCTCCAGAAATAACCTCCTTCTAAGCTAGGGAACAACCCATACCTCCAGATTAGAGAGCTCTTTGTAGAGTTTCTGATTCTGGTATTACAGTACTAAGCAGAAATCCACAGGGAAATACTCTGCAAGCATGTTAATACTAACTTGTTAAAAGAAAATCTGCTTTTATTTTCATCTTTATTTCATGCCAACAAAGCAAAAAAAAAAAAATAAGTTACTAAACACCCAGAAGGCAGAAAAGTGACCTCTATCCATCTGCAGGAGCCAAGCAAGCGTGTGGGCTTCCGTATGCATCCTTTCTTTTACTCACTTTCTAAATGCTGTAACGGTCCACCATCTACCAGGTGGTCACAAGTCATCGCTAAACTCAATCTGAGGTCAGCCCACACGACTTGTGAGTGGTTCACTTATATTGCCTCTGCACCTGTAACAGGACTAAGAAGACGGTGGCTGCACACGTAGTTAACACCGATTGTACCTCGACTTCGCCTTTCTGCAACAGCTGTGACGCTCTGCAGGTCCTGAGCCAAGAGCTGGACGTTAGGAGTAAAGGAGCTCGTTGCAAACGCCAGGAAGAGTTTCTTTAGGGTGAAGTTGGCTTTCGATTGGCTTTATTCTAGGAGATATATATGGAGCAAAGAAACGGGAACTTTTTCTCATCTTTTGCATTTTAAGCAAAAACTAATAAAATTAGATGTTTCCACCGTCATGCTCAGTCTCTTAGCTGCCGGCAGATCCCGCTTCTAACTCTCAACACGGGCACTTAGGAAGCCAGGCAATCCCTGAAGCTCCCTCAGAAGCTACGGTATCAGCGGTTCCTGAGGCGCAAACCAAAACCCAACATCACTCCAAAGAGCTCAGCCCGTCTGTCGAGCGACGGAAATAGCGGAGAGGCGCTCTTGAAGCCGTGACAGCCTGGGCGAAACGAACCAGGTCTCCTTCCTGGTCCAGCCTACCTCCCTAGGGACACCTCTCTTCCCTCACGGCCAGAGGAAGCGACGGAGAGATGTGGCGCTTAGATTCACTCTACGGTCCCGTCCATCCAAGTCCGAATCATCTTAAGGATGCTTTTCCTTGCCCTCTATCTCTCTCCCATTTGTGTTTTTCTTCCTCCACTTCACGGCACCCCTCCTTTTCCCTCTCTCCGCCAGCTGGCGCTCAGCTCCTCTCCACCTTCCCTCCCATTTACTTCTGAATGAACTTTTCACAATAGTGCAGCGCAGTCCTAGAACCATTTACACACATTTTAAGCACTGTGTTGAGATTTATATGTAGCTGCTGTTTTAATTTCCGCATCACGTTCCATTTTTTTCCTCTCTGTATGTTCAACTTTTAACATTTCTGCAGCATAGGCTGAGGCTGCGCCCAGCTGGGGAGAGACGTGAGGCGGAGGGGATAAACCCAGAGGAATGTTGTTTCCTGTCTGAGAAGGCTCGGACCTTACAAGCGGGAGGACAAGACAAAGACTGAAAGCGAACATAATTTTATAAATTTTATTTATTTAATTTTTAGGAAATCATCTAATCATCCAGAAACAATTTTTTGGGGGGGAAACGAAGTTTCGCTCTTGTTGCCCAGGCTGGAGCGCAGTGGTGCGATCTCGGGTCACTGCAACCTCTGCTTCCCGGGTTCAAGCGATTCTCCTGCCTCAGCCTCCTGAGTAGCTGGGATTATAGGCGCCCGCCACCATGCCTGGCTAATTTATGTGCATTTAGTAGAGACGGGGTTTCACCATGTTGACTAGGCTGGTCTCGAACTTCTGACCTCAGGTGATCCACCCGCCTCTGCCTCCCAAAGTGCTGGGATTACAGGCGTGAGCCACCACTCCTGGCTTCAAGAACAATTTCTTATCGACCCTTCCATCAAATTTTGGCTAAAACTGAAAGCCTTGACTCTTTCAGAATAGGAGACTCAGTTTGAAAACTGTCCAGACATAGAGAGGGTTTTATTAAAATTCAGTTTGCAAGTAATTATTGGCCATAGCAATTCCCTCATTCCAGAGAGAACTGTTTCTGAAATTCTGTAAACGTCTTAAATTGTTCTTAAGTTATTTATCAAGAGGAGTCCAATGTCTTGACACTTTTGAATTGATATAAAACTTCTAGGCTGAGGTGGAAGAACTGATTGAGCCAGGAGGTGAAAGTTGCAGTGAGAGGAGATTGCCACTGCACTCCAGTCTGGCAGAGTGGGACACTGTCAAAATAAAAATAAATAAATACAATCTCATGATTACAGATGTGTATGTAAAAAGCAATTTTTTTTTTTTTTTTTTTGAGATGGAGTCTTGCTCTGTCACCCAGGCTGGAGTGTAGTGGTGTGATCTCGGCTCACTGCAACCTCTGCCTCCTGGGTTCAAGAGATTCTGTAGCTGGGACTACAGGGGCGCGCCTCGACGCGGGGCTAATTTTTGTGTTTTCAGTAGAGACAACATGGGGTTTCACTATGTTGGACAGGCTGGTCTCCAACTCCTGACCTCAGGCGATCTGCTCGCCTTGGCCTCCCAAAGTGCTGGGATTACAGGCGTGAGCCACTGCACCCAGCTGGAAAAAAAAAAACAATTCTTATGCATCAATGTGCAGACCACAATTCTCTGAACTCCAAGGAATAGGCCGGGAACGGTGGCTCAAGCCTGTAATCCTAGCACTTTGGGAGGCCGAGGCGAGACCAGACTGATCAACATGGTGAAACTTCGTCTCTACTAATAATACAAAAAAATTAGCTGGGCGTGGTGGGGCGCGCCTGTAATCCCACCTACTGGAAGAGCCTGAGTCAGGAGAATCGCTTGAACCTGAAAGACGGAGGTTGCACTAAGTCCAGATCGTGCCACTGCACTCCAGCCTGGGAGACAGAGCGGGACTCCATCTCAAAACAAAGAAACAAAGAAACAAACAAACAAACATATTATACTTTCCATTTTCACTCCCTGGGTCTCCGTACCACCCAAGGTGGATGTGTGAGCACAAGACTGGTAAAAGGAAGAAAATAGAAAAAAAGAACTACCTCGCTCAGGATGTCTTTTTTCGGAAGCTATAAGCCCACTACCGTGTTAAAGTGTCCACTAATCTTCTGTTCCTTTATGACATGCCATTGAAGAGCAAGCCAGAAAAAGAAAATCCGAAAAAAGAGAAAAGGAAATGCCTAGATAATTTCATTTTGAATTCCTTAGTTTTCTGAGCAGTGTTTTATACGGTGACCAAGCATGGGAGTATCTTCCTCATTTGACCTATTCCTCGCCTTTTCTTTCCCATCTTTTGCTGGGGAAAATTGGATCCTATTTCACACATAAATTGCAGCAGAACTTATATTTCTTGGGTGGAGGGGAGGTGAGTGAATGACGGGTGATATTGAAGACAACAGAATTAGGCGTTGGAAGATACACTGACCCTACAAATGGCAGTTTCTGTATTTTGAAGAAATGACAAAAGCAGTAGGATCACGGTGGCCGAGATAGCTCAGTTGAGAGAGCGTTAGACTGAAGATCTAAAGGTCCCTGGTTCAATCCCGGGTTTCGGCAGTTGCATTTTGGTTTTAGCATAATTGTCACTCCTTCAACACAGCGCTTGCGCACCAATCCCAGAGGTCTATATATAACTCCAGGTGTTTGTGGTTTTTTTGTTTCTTTTTTCTTTTTTCTTTTTTTTGGCTGTTTTCTGAAAATTCCATAAAGGTAATGTATACACACACACACACACACACACACACACACATCTATATATATATATTTACACACAAACACATATATATATATATATTTGTAACACTCTCTCCACTGAAGACTTCCATGAAGTGTTAACTGACAGGACGTAAATTATTTAAAGTCTTAAACCTAGCAAGTTATTACTTTTAAAACCTAAGAAATTCCAATATGCTATATGCTGCGGCACTTACAATTCATTTCTGATCTGATGTTATTTATGTGTGTTGGGCGGGGGTGTTTTTAAATCACAAGAAATGTGAAGAAACCTGTAGAAGAAGAACTATTATACTGTATGAGTGTATATATGTGGTGGTGGTATATTCAAGAAACATTTTGCAATTAGAAAAAACCGGGTTTGTACCTTGAGTCAACTCCATAGCTCCGCAGTTAAACTGCTGGAAAAATAACTTTTGCTTTGTTTTGTTTTTCTGAGGCAGGGTCTCACTCTGTCACCCATGCTGGAATGCAGTGGTATGATCACAGCTCACTGCAGCCTCAGCCTCCCTGGACTCAAGCGATCCTCCTATGTCAACCTCCTGAGTAGCTGAGACTACAGAAATGCAACAACAAGCCTGGCTTTTTGTTTGTTTGTTTGTTTTTTGGTTTTGTTTTTTTTTTTAATTTTTTTGGTAGAGACTGGGTTTCACCATGTTGCCCTGGCTCTTCTGGAAATCCTGGCTCACCTCTGCCTCTCACCATGCTGGGATTACAGGCTTGAGCCACCACACCAGGCCTAATTACAGGAATATTCTAAGTTTTCTTACTGACAGGAAGCCTGGCACCCTTGTCCAGAATTTCCAAATCTTAACTAATTTCTGTGTTGGAATCCAAGAAAGAACAAAAATAAGTACTTGTATATGAATTATTCTGTCAGACATTCATGAGGGGCCTTAGAATACTGAAAATGAAAGCAAATGGGCAGCAAAGTCATCAAGATTCAGGTGCATGTGCCTCATTTTCCCTTTTCCACTTCAACTTCTCTGTTGAAATACTGTGTTGGGGGTAATGGGTCTTTTTTTCCCTCCTTTTTTCTTTCAAATTGCTGTTTCATTTTGAGAGTTATTTTCCCCTAACTCCTGCATACTGTGTGAGGAGACTAAACAATCTACAGTACTTCAACATCAGAACTGCAGCAAGTTGAAAAAGGAAAATTAGTACCAAATGAGAAGAAACCTCAGGGTGAGGACACTGACTCTACAGAAACTGTAAATCAGATACTTTATCCTTTAGGTCACTGAGGCTTTCTCAACTCAGAAGCTTGTGTTTCATTTCATTAAGAAATATTTGATTAGTCAAATGGTAGCACTGAATGTTTTCTTGCCTAACACGGTAATGATTCCTTTACATTCTGTTGAAAGGGAAGGTCTAGGGTAATTCCAAGCATGATTTGTCTTCTATTCAATAGCTTAAAAATGTAGCTAATAATAATTATGTTAAATGGGATGTTGTAAAGATCTAAGGAGATTATGCATAGAAATGCATTCTGTCGAGAACACTCAAGGCATGAAACTTAATTACTGGGAGACCATGCTCCATGTTCTCTGGCTCTGGGAATCTCCCAGAACAGCATTTAAAGAGATAACATCATCTCTAGACAATGCTGTCCAATTAAAAGATAATACAAGTCTTCTACTTTATCTTCCGGAATAAAAATAATTAAAAAAACACAAGTCATAAATGCGAGTCACTTTTGTAGTTCTAAATTTTCTAGTAGTCACATTAAAAAAAACAGGCAATATTTATTCTATATCTTTTTTTTTTTTTTTTTTTTTTTTTTGGAGATGGAGTTTCGCTCTTGTTGCCCAGGCTGGAGTGCAATGGCGCGATCTCGGCTCACCGCAACCTCTGCCTCCAGGGTTCAAGCGATTCTCCTGCCGCCTCAGCTTCCCGAGTAGCTGGGATTACAGGCACGCGCCACCACCCCAGCTAATTTTTTTTGTGTGTGTGTGACGGAGTCTCGCTCTGTCGCCCAGGCTGGAGTGCAGTGGCGCGCGCTGCAAGCTCCGCCTCCCGGGTTCACGCCATTCTCCTGCCTCAGCCTCCCGAGTAGCTGGGACTACAGGCGCCTGCCACCACGCCTGGCTAATTTTTTGTATTTTTTAGTAGAATTGGGGTTTCACCGTGTTAACCAGGATGGTCTCGATCTCCTGACCCCGTGATACGCCCGCCTCGGCCTCCCAAAGTGCTGGGATTACATGCGTGAGACCCCGCGCCCGGCCCCAATTTTGTACTTTTAGTAGATACGAGGTTTCTCCATGTTGGTCAGGCTGGTCTTGAACTCCCGATCTCAGGTGATCCGCCCACCTCGGTCTCCCAAAGTGCTGGTATTACAGGCGTGAGCCACCGAGCCCGGTCTCTATATTATTTTAAAAATAATTTCAACTTTTATGTTAGATTCAGGGGGTACATGTGCAGGATTCTTACATGGGTATATTGCATGATGCTGGGGTTGGGGTGGGATTAATCCTGTCACCCGGGTAGTGAGCATAGTATCCAATAGTTAGCTTTTCAAGCCTTTCCCCTTCCCAGCTACTCCCTAGTAGTCCCCGATGTTTACTGTTTCCGTCTTTTATGTCCAGTTTTAATAATATACGTAAATGGCCTTGTATAACAACATTATTTTAAGTAATCCATCTTAAAATTATAAGTGAGTTATTTTATATTAAAAATGATATTGCATCTTTGAAATCTGGTATATATTTTATACTTACAACACATCTTACCTTGGACTGGGCAATTTCAAGCATTCAATAGCCAATGTGGCTAATGGTAACCATATTGGAAAGTGCAGATTTAAACAGGTACTTTATATATTTTTAGGTTTTCAGAACTGAGTATGTATGACGTGAGGGTGTTCTGTCTTCAAAATTAAATGTTTAATTCCTCAGAAGAATGCTGTGATAAATAAGCTCATCCTACACATTATACGCAAAAAAAAAAGTGTTTCAATCATGTTGTTGGTAGATAGCCTGAAGATAGATATGGATATTTAATTATTTTAAATTCCCCCCTTTCATGTGGCAAACAAAAAAGCATATCTTCTTATTATGAATTCCCAAGAATCTGATAGTCAGCCAGGTTTCTCTGGCTGTGACATGACATAAGGATGAAGGAGTGTTTCTGCAAACTGTCCTAATATTGCTTTTACAGCATCAAAGAGTCAAGATAATCCTCCCAAGCATTTACATGCACACACAAACAGACACAGACAGGCAGACACGCACACACATGAATACATATGAATTTTGTGTGTAACGCTTCTCTAGTCTCTCATTCAGTGAAACCTATTACTCAGTTTCCTATTTTTATTCTAGAAATCCCGTCAGCCAACTGAAAAGCCAAGTCTGCCATACAACTTGCAATCTGCCAATTTTAAAATGGATCAATGTTATTTTATTAACATTGGCAAAGGCTCATATATGGGCAAACCAGAATGAGAAAGAGTTAATCGTCACCAGAAATTTGGTTCCGAGAAATGGGTTTTCTTCTCATCTTCTTATATAGTTCAAAGAATCCAGTCTCACCGTGATAAGTCCCAAGATTCGAGAACTAGTTAGAAGAAAACTTGTTTGTTGCCTACAAATATCACGAATAGGTTTGTAATTTCCATATCTCAAAGTACACTTTTTAGTCTTTATCCACCTCCATGTAATGTGTCTACTACTACTAATGCTTACAAACCCCAGGCTGGAGACGGAGTTAATTGCCTGAGTTCTCTGTGTAATATCCTCACAGGCGTGCCCCACAGATATTTTAAATTTAGCATGAGCCAAACTAACTCATCTTCTCCATCTTTCAATCTTTCTCCCATTCCTGAAAGAGTTGTTAAAACCTCCCCTTTTCTGTGCCTGCTTGTCTTTGGCAATAGCATGTTTGTTTTTCTGAACTACTCTTCAATCCTGTTTCTATTTATCTTTCGTCTTACTCTCATAATTCAACCCTCATCTCCACCCCCAAAGCTGGTTTTCATTTATGCCTTATGAATTCCCTCCCCTCACCTCCCGTCGTCTTCTCTCTCTCTCTCCTTTCCTTCCTTCCCTTCCTCCCTCTTTCTCCTTCCTTCCTTCCTTTCTCCCTTCCTTCCCCCCTTCCTTCCCTCTTTCCCTCCCTCCGTCCCTCACTCCCACTTTCTCTTGCTTGCTTGCTTGCTTGCTTTTCTCACTCCATTGTCCGGGCTCGAGGGTAGTGGTGCAATCATAGCTCCCTACAATCGCTAACTCCCGAGTTCAAGCGATCCTCGTGCCTCAGCCTCTGGAGTTGTGAGTACAGGAGTAAGACACCACGCCAGCTAAGGACCCCTGTGAAAAAATGTTGAGTGCACCGCTCTCAGGTTTTCTTCTGATCATGGCTTTCCTCTATCAAATCTTACCTTTGATATTCCGACTGAGCAAACAACAATTATGAAGCGTTTTAGGCAGGAAAAGGCTGAATTTCAATGGCTTTGTGTTATATCTGGAAGAAATCAAAAGAAACGAAAATCAGAACTTGATTCTTGCCAAGCATAATAGAAGCGGACCCTAAGAACTCAACGTCTTCAGGCCACAAAGGAAACTTCTTGTGGTTATTATCTGACACTTTTCTAATCTTTCGTTTTTCGTTTCAAGTCCTACACAGTATTCTAAAGAATCTGTATCCCCCATTAGTACCAAGTATCTCCTGCTCAGAGTAGCTCTCCACGCTCTATGGTACTGACCACTATTACCAGCATGCTCACGGAGTCTCAGGAAATGAAAGTTACCTCCTGAAAATTATTACAAATGGGTGTTATAGTAAGGGGGTGTAGCTCAGTGGTAGAGCGCATGCTTTGCATGTATGAGGCCTCGGGTTCGATCCCCGACACCTCCAAGTGATGGTTTCCCTCTGGCAGTTCTCAAGCGACAGACCTCTGCCTCCTCACATTTTTCTATTCTATTTCTGCACATATAGTAAGTAAAAATGTACTCCAATGCATTGCCTTGAACTATCTCCAACCTCTATGCTGTGAGCCTCAACATCACATAAGGCGATTGCGACAGCAGAAGGAAGACAAAAAAGTAACGAGGGGGAAAGAACAGGATCGCAACAGTGGTCTCTTGACCCAAACAAAAGCATGAACATTCACAGGCGGCTTGCGTTCGCTCCCATTTTGTTTTGTTTTGTTTTGTTTTTGTTTGTTTGTTTTGTTTTTTGAGACGGAGTTTTGCTCTCGTTGCCCAGGCTAGAGTGCAGTCGCACCACCTCGGCTCACTGCAACCTCCGCCTTCCGGTTTCAAGAGATTCTCCTGCCTCAGCCTCCCAAGTAGCTGGGATTACAGGCGCCCGCCACCACGCCCAGCTAATTTTTTTGTATTTTTAGTAGAGACGGGGTTTCACCATGTTAGTCAGGCTGGTCTTGAACTGCCGACCTCGTGAGCCACCCGCCTCGGCCTCCCAAAGTGCTGGGATTACAGGCGTGAGCCACCGCGCCCGGCCTTCCATTTTGTACTATGATTAAAGAGACGCAAAGACCAAGAAGAGAGAAAAATGCCAGTGGGCATCTTTTTTTTTTTAAGTTATTTTTGTTTTCTGGGCCAAAGAACAGAGCGAAAGCATCTGTCCACTCATTTCTACACCAGTCTCTCCCTGTCAACCTACATAGGGACATAAGTGCGATCCAATACTGAGACAAGGACTGCTGTGGCTCTCTAGCCACTTGAGATAGGAGTGGCAGGACGCTGGACGGCCAAACGAAGACTGTCCGGGAATTAGAGGCCTTCAACATGCAAGAAGCAAAAACTAATACGGATCAACATTCCCTACTGATATTCCATAAGACTGATTCATATTCATATTCCTGCATTTCCTCAGTCACTGTAATATTGCCTGGGAACTTCTGGTAACAGCAAACAGAGGCCCATAAGAAAAAACCAGGGAAAGGTTTTCTGTCACAATGGAAAATACATGCAGAGTAAAAGGTAAGTAGATCGCAATTGTGTGGGCGCTTTCTGCCTTGGAAAAAACCAAACAAACATTTCATGTTCTTTCTCGATCCATCTGATTACAACTGCTTTTTTTGAAAAGGGAACTCCCAAGAAATTCTATGCACTCATGGTACCTGTTAAAGGTTTCCAATGGTATACAGTTTCAAAACTGCTGTTCTCTCTGTACATATTTATTTATTTATTGTTGAATTAAAGTGTCTTTGAGAGACAAGAAACTACAATGTTTATTCCCAGTCCACCAGCCTAACACTCTATCAGGCTGGCATGTCTTTACTTCTTGATTCTTTTGTCCAGTGAAAGTATCTATAACTAGCATCCAGGAGGGATACGGTCTAGTGAAACCTGCTTAGCTGAGGACTGGCTGTGTGTGTGCCCCCAGGCCAATCACATGTTTGTTTTGAGATACATTTTTTGGAGGAAGGTAATACCCACGTGTCATGTATTTTCTTTTTGTTTCATACTTTTTCTTTTTTAATTTCCTGGCATCTATTGGTTCTCTCCAGGCAAACAGCGGCATGTCAGCCACAGCGGACACTGCACAGGAGAGCAAGGGGTGGGGAATTAGGGTGCTGCAAGCAGAATGCTAAATTCCAGGCCTAACCTCAGATCTATTGAATCAGAACTGCTGAGCATGGGGCTCAGCCTCTTGTGTTTGAATAAGCCCTCAAGTGACTCTGATGCTAAAGTTTGAGAAGCACTGTTCTAGAAGTTTAAGAAGGAGGTCCCAGGATCAGGTGGCTGCTGAGGGGGAAGATTTTTTCCTGGGGTTCCTTGCCTATTCTCAATCAAAAACTTAAACCACGTAGGACAGCCAGTGGGGTTTGTAGTTGCATTATGTCAGGGGTGGGGTTGGATTTACCATTTCTTTTTTGTTTGTTTTTGTTTTGTTTTGTTCTGTTTTTGTGAGAGGGAGTCTTGCTCTGTCACCCAGGCTGAAGTGCAGTGGTGCAATCTTGGCTCACTGCAACCTCCGCCTATTGAGTTCAAGCGATTCTCCTGCCTCAGTCTCCTGAGTAGCTGGGATCACAGGCGCCTGCCACCATGCCCAGCTAATTTTTGTTTTTTAGTAGAGACGGGGTTTTGACATATTGGTCAGGCTGGTCTCAAACTCCTGACCTCAAGTGATCTACCCACCTCGGCCTCCCAAAGTGCTGGGATTACAGGCGTGGGCCACCATTCCCAGCCTCCTTCATCCTTTTGATGTCAGCTGAGTCTACAGTGATGTCCTCTTTTTATTCCTGATGTTGGTAAACTGTGTCATCTCTCTGCTGAAAATTTCTATCTTGCTAGAGTTCTTCTTTTATTGATCCTTGAAAGGAACTAGCTTTTTGTTTGTTTTTCTATTTGTGTGTGTGTGTGTGTGCGTGTGTTCCATTTCACTGATTTCTGCTTTTATTTTTTATTATTTCCTTTCTTCTATTTGCTTTGGGTTATTTTGCTCTTTTTCCCACCTGATTTCTACAAGTAAGAGCTTAGAGGACTGATTTGGGACTTTTTTCTTTTCTAATGTATGCACTTAGTGCTGTATATTTCTCTCTCAGCACTCCTTTAGGATATCTTGGAATTTTTAATATATTGTATTTTCATTTTTATTCATGCTACCTTATTTTTTGATATCTACTAAGGTTTTCTCTTTGTTGTATGAACTGTTTAGTAGTGTGTTGTTCATTTTCCAAGCGTTTGGACATTTTTCTGTCTTTTTGTGACTGATTTTTACTTTAATTTCATTTTGGTCAGGGATTATACCATATTAGTTAATTCTTTTAAATTTGTTGAGGTTTGTTTTATGGCCCAGGATATGTTTTACCTTTACCTATATTCAGTGTGGATTTGACTAGTGTGTTCTGCTCTTCCTGTGTGGACTGTTTTATAAATGTTAACTGAATTCTGGTGGCTGAAGATGTTTGAGTTCTTCAACACTCTTTTTTTTTTTTGAAGCAGAGTCTTGCTCTGTTGCCCAGGCTGGAGTGCAGTGGCGCGATCTCGGCTCACTGCAAGCTCAGCCTCCCGGGTTCACGCCATTCTCCTGCCTCAGCCTCCAGAGTAGCTGGGACTACAGGCACCCGCCACCACGCCCGGCTAATTTTTTTGTATTTTTTAGTAGAGATGGGGTTTCACCGTGTTAGCCAGGGTGGTCTTGATCTCCTGACCTCATGATTCGCCCGCCTCGGCCTCCCAAAGTGCTGGGATTACAGGTGTGAGCCACCACGCCCGGCCTAGTTCTTCAACATTCTTGCTGATTTTCTGTTTAGTTGTTCTATCAATCATTATGAGAGAAGTTTTGAAGTCTCCAAAGTAATTGTGGATTTGTCTATTTTTTTTTAAATTTCTGTTTTTTTATCTTTACATATGTTGCAGCTCTCCTGTTTGGTGGATACATATTTAGGATTGTTATGTCTTCTATTTCTTTCCCTGCCTCCCTCTCTTCTTTCTTTTTCTTCTTTATTTAACCAAGAAAGAACAAATTTACTATTACTTTCCCTACCAAAGCAGTCTCTCATCACCTCCTGACTCTGAGAATTAAATTCTGTTTCCTTCAGATGTCCTTAGTTGATTGACTCCCAAACAGGGAGTGTGAACAGGAAAATAGAATAAAACACCTGTTAGATTTGAATACAAATTGAGAAATTTGTATCTTTGTTTCTGCCTGGAAACATTTAAAATGGAATGGGAACCACATGAGAAGCACATATTGTCCACATCTTGGGATCATTTCAGACCATCTTGCCTCTTCAACCAAACAATCAGCAACAATGGAATATATATATATATACTCCATATATATATATATATACTCCATATATATATATATATATACTCCATATATATATATACTCCATATATATATATACATATATACTCCATATATATATATATACTCCATATATATATATACTCCATATATATATATACTCCATATATATATATACTCCATATATATATATATATACTCCATATATATATATATATATATATATACTCCATATATATATATATATATATATATATACACTCCATATATATATATGGAGAGAGACACAGAGAGAGATCTCAAAGATTATTTCTCTAAACTATTTGATGATTTTCAGACATTATATCTTTTTAATCCCTAAATTCATCAATGTGTATTTCTTAAAACAAGATCAGTTCTTTAACACAGCACAATTATCAAATTCAGTAAACTTAACATTGATAAAATAGCATTATCTAATATACAATCTATAAAAATTTAACTAATTGTATCAATACAATCTTTTATAGAAATTTCTCTCCCAAGCTAGGATCCATTTCACAGACACATATGAATCTAATTGTCTTGACTCTTTAGTCTCCTTTAATTTAGAACAGTTGCTCAATTGTGTCTTTCACAACTTTGATAATGTTTTTGAAGAGTATATGCCAGTGGTTTGTGGAATATTTCTTAATTTGTCCTACTCATGGTAAGATTAAGTTTATGGAAATTGGAAGAAATGTCACAAAAAATCATATTATCCTCTATCACACCAAGAAGCATGTGATGCCAATTTTCCCCATTATTAGTGAAGTTAGCTTTCATCATTTGGTTAAGTTTGTAACTACTATTTCTTCCCTGCAAAAGTATCATCTTCCTCATTGTAATCAATAAGTAAGCTCTAGAGAAATACTCTGAGACTATATAAATATCCTGATCCTCATCAAAATTTTACCTATACTTTTAGCATTGACTTATAATTTTGCCTGCACCTATCAGCATTCTGATGGTGTCCAGATTTTCTAATTTTCTAATGGGGATTTGCAAATTTTATCCTTCTTTCCACATTTATTAGCTGGCATACCACTGTAAAGAAAATCTTCCCATCTTCCATATTTATTTATTTATTTGAGACAGAGTCTCGCTTTGTCGCCCAGGCTGTAGTGCAGTGGCATGAGTCCTGGAGTCAGTGTAGTTGACACTAGTAGCTACTTTCTATTAGTATCTCTGGTGCCTTTTAGTAGGGAATGGTATTTGTGAATCAAAATATTGTTATCTTTGCTTATTGTTTCTGAGGTATTTCTTCCAGGCCCAGTTAGCAGACAGATCTGCAGGGAAATTTTACTTTTTTTTTTTTTTGAGACAAAGTCTAAGTCACCCAGGCCAGAGTGCGGTGGCAGGATCTTGGCTCACTGCAACGTCTGCCTCCTGAGTTCAAGCGATTCTCCTGCCTCAGACTTCCGAGTAGCTGGGACTACAGGCACGCACAACCACATCCGGCTAATTTTTGTATTTTTAGTAGAGACGGGGGTTTCACCATGTTGGCCAGGCTGTTCTCGAACTCCTGACCTCAAGTGAGCTGCCCGTCTTGGCCTGCCAAAGTGTTGAGATTACAAACGTGAGCCACTGCGCCCAGCCTATAAAATTACATATGTATAATTTCATACTGACGCCTCCAATTCTCATCAACACCAACAGGACTATTCTTTACCTTCTTTCTCTTACAGTGACAGCCTGGTTCCAACACACCCGGTCACACACACTCATTTTCCCAATCCTAAAATTCACACAAAATCTCAGAATTCTTACAGCCCTAGCTCTACAAAAATAACCCTGATATAGAGTTCAAGATTTGTTTGCAATTCTTTTTAATCTTACAATTAGAACAACAAACTGTATAAACCATTTTCATAGATCAGTTCTTTCCTTTTCAAGTAGGAGTATGTTATTGTTTCACAATGCAATTTTACACTTGATCTTAGCCAAAAGGCCGAGAAGCGATAGACAACGCCATTTGAATTTGCCTCTATTCGTATTGAATTTTAAGGTATTTTCACACGCACTTGAGTCAGTTTTATTTTTTGACTATGTGAAACACCAACATGCTTCCAAGAGTCAAAAGAATACAGAAAGTTATAATCAGAAAATTTGCAAGAGAATGTTGTATACCGGGACACACTCAAATGATAGAATGCAAGTATGCTCCAGGAAGTCTAACGTGATGGAGAGTCCACCTTGGGGTGAGTTGATCTTGGGTTGACCACAAATCAGGAACAGTGCCTTTATTTTTACCACTAAGCTACTTTCCTTTCTTTTCTCTTTCTTTCTTTCTCTTTATTTCTCTCTTTCTTTCTTTGTTTCTGTCTCTCTCTCTCTCTCTCTCTTTCTTCTTTCTTTCTTTTTTTGAGACGGAGTCTCGCTCTGTCGCTCAAGCTGGAGTGCAGTGGCCCGATCTCGGCTCACTGCAACCTCTGCCTCCCGGGTTCAAGCAATTCTCTACTTCAGAGTAGCTGGGATTACAGGCGCCTGTCACCACGCCCGGCTAATTTTTCTATTTTTAGTAGAGACAGGGTTTCACTATCTTGCCCAGGCTGGTCTTGAACTCCTGACCTCGTGATCCACCCGCCTCAGCCTCCCAAAGTGCTGGGATTACAGGCATAAGCCACTGCACCCGGCTAAGCTACTCTTCTTTTGGCCCAGCCGTGCCTAAAAGAGGAAGCGCTTCATGTAGGGAATTAACAATGGAATTGGAAACATATAGTGATTATCCTGACACAGAGGGCAGGCTCACATATTGGCCGTCACCAAAGCGTTTTCCGAAGGCCCTGAGTCCAGAGGGGGTATAGCTCAGTGGTAGAGCGCGTGCTTAGCATGCACGAGGTCCTGGGTTCGATCCCCAGTACCTCCAGGCCGTGTTTTCTTCCCCGGGACACCAGTAAGAAGCGGTCCATGATATTCCCCAACTTTAAATTTTTCTGTCTGTCAAGGTGAATTGTGTTGGCCTCTGCATTTCTCTCTCATACAGAGGGTGATGCGTGTTCATTCACTTGAGGTTATTTGCTGCCTAGGATTATCCGCCTATTCTTTCTAAGCAGTCCCATCAATCATTAACATGGACCACGCACGGGGGAAGCAAGTAGTATTCCTGGCCATCCAGCCAATTTCTAGCTGTAAATGAAATCATCAGAAACCATAGACCTGTGTGGCCCAAGTCTGATTTCAGATCAGAAGCTAAAAGGCTCAAGTCTTTTTCTGTTTCTTTTTCTAACTCCTCCTAACCAGGTTGCAGAAGCCCTACAAGCTTTCACTAAAAGATTACACTGCCAGGGGTTGATGGTTTGATGTGTGGTGGTAACCTTTTCCATTGGAGACCCACAAACTCTGAAACTTAAACTACTTAACTACAAACACACAACAAATGACGAAAAGACAGCATTCACCTCAGCTGAAATTTGGTGGAAGTAAAAAGCACTTCTCTGGGTCCTCTGAGGAAGCTTCTGGTCTGAGATGCAAACACTCTGAACTCCAGGGACCAAGATCAGTATAGGAGAAAGCTCATTTTGCTGTTTTACATAAATAAAAGTAATGAACGTTTATTTTTCCAATCCCAAAGGATCCTTTTGTACCTCACAGTACTTACTCTCCAGGATTGACCTCCTTCTAAGCTAGGGAACAACCCATACCTCCAGATTAGAGCTCTTTGTGGTATCACAGTGCCAAGCAGAAATCCACAGAGAAATACTCTGCAAGCATCTTAATACTATCTTGTTAAAAGAAAATCTGCTTTTATTTTCAGCTCTATTTCATGCCAACAAAGGAAATAAAAAATAAGTTACTAAACATCCAGAAGGCAGAAAAGCGACCTCTCTCCATCTGCAGAAGCCAAGCAAACTTGTGGGCTTCCCTATGCATCCTTTCTTTTACTCACTTTCTAAACGCTGTAACGGCCACTATCTATCAGGTGGTCACAAGCCATCGCTAAAGTCAATCTGAGGTCAACCCACTCGACTTGTGAGGGATTCAGCTATACTGCCTCTGCGCCTCTAATAGGACTAAGGAGGCGGTGGTTGCACAAGTAGTTAACACCGATTGTACCGTGACTCCGCCTTTCCGCAGCCGCTCTCCAGCTCTTTAGAGTCCTTTTGAGTCAAGCTGGACGTGAGACATACAGGAGATCGTTGCAAACGCCAGGAGGAGTTTCTTCAGGGTGAAGTTAACTTTCAATCGGCTTCATTCTAAGAGAAATATGTGGAGCAAACAAACGGAAACTTTCTTTCTCATCTTTTGCATTTCAAGCAAAAACTAATAAAATTAGATGTTTCCACCGTCATGCTCAGTTTCGAAGCTGCCAGCAGATCCCGCTTCTAACTTTTAACACAGGCACGCAGGAAATCGGGAAATCCCTGCAGCTCCCTCAGAAGCTACAGTATCAGCGGTTCCTGAAGGGCAAACCAAAACCCAGTATCACTCTCTCCTCCAAAGAGTTCAGCCGGTCTGCTGAGCGACGGAAATAGCGGAGAGGCGCTCTTGAAGCCGAAACGAACCAGGTCCCCTTCCTGGTCGAGTCTTCCTCCCTAAGGACAAAAAAAGTACCTTTCTTCCCTCATATCCAGAGGAAGCGACGGAGGGATGTGGCGCTTAGACTCACTGTACCATCCCGTCCATCCAAGTCCTAATAATCATGAGGATGCGACAGAGCGAGACTCCGTCTCAACAAAACAAAACAAAACAACCCTAAGGAAGAGAGAGAATGTACTGGAGGATAGGAAGTACTTAGGAAAACCTTTTTTTTTTCTTGTATTTAAATTTAAGCCTTCATTTATATAAAATAAAACACATGAAACCTATTCAGCTTACGGCTTATTATATATAACCAAAATTCAGGCCAAGATACTGAATTTTTCAGCAACCAACAGCTGCCTTTTGCCTCATTTCAATTATCCTAACTCTCTGACCTCCACCTCCACAGATTATTTTTCTTATGTTTTAAATAATATAAATGGGATCATATAATATCATCGTAGTCTATTTTGGGCTGCTACAAAATCACTCAAGACTGGTAATTTGTAACGAACAGAACCCTTCCCTTCCCTTCCCTTCCCTTCCCTTCACTTCCTGACAGAGTTTCACTCTTGTTGCCCAGGTTGGAGTGCAGTGGCTCAGTCTTGGCTCACTGCAACCTCTGCCTCCCGGATTCAAGCAATTCTCCTGTCTCAGCTTCCTGGGTAGCTGGGATTACAGGCGAATGCTACCACGCCCAGCTAATTTTTCTGTATTTTTAGTAGAGATGGGGTTTCACCATGTTTGCCAGGCTGGTCTCGAACTCCTGACCTCAGGTGATCCATCCACCTTGGCCTCCCAAAACCCTGGGATTACAGGAGACAGCCACTGCACCAGGCCCAGAAACATTTTCTCACAGTTCTGGAGGCTGGGAAGTTCAAGATCAAGTCACTGGCTCTCATGTCTGGTGATGGCCTTTTTGTTGTGTTCTCACATGGCAGAAAACTGAAGGCAATAGAGAGATGAACTTCCTTTGTCAACTCTTATTATAAGGGTACCTAATATTATTCATGAGGAAGGAACCCTCATGGCTTAATCTTCTTAAAGGCCCTATGTCTTGATAATTATCACATGGTGACACCTAAGCTTTGGAGGGGACACTTTCAAACCACAGCAAATCTGTACTCATTTGAGTATGGATTCTTTCACTTAATTTTTGTTAAAAAAAATTAGATTCATTTTCTTTTCTTTTTTCTTCTTTTTTTTTTTTTCAAGGTGGAGACTTGCTCTGTCGCCCAGGCTGGAGTGCAGTGGCGCGATCTTGGCTTACTGCAAGCTCTGCCTACCAGGTTCACGCCATTCTCCTGCCTCAGCCTCCCGAGTAGCTGGGACTACAGGTGCCATCCACCACGCCCAGCTAATTTTTTGTATTTTTAGTAGAGACAGGGTTTCACTGTTTTAGCCAGGATGGTCTCGATCTCCTGACTTCGTGATCTGCCCGCCTCAGCTTTCCAAAGTGCTGGGATTACAGGCGTGAGCCTCCGTGCCCAGCCTTCATTTTCTATATATTGTTGCTAGTAACAGTAGTTATTTTCTGTTGCTCTCGAGTATTCTATTGTCTGAATACTGTACATCATGATTTATTAATTCATTTTACTGTCCAAGTACATTTGCAGCACCCCTCGTTTTTGGTTGAAATGTCTAATGCTGCTGTAAACATTCTGATACATGTCCTTCAAGGGAGATGCTCATGCACTTCTCTTGGGTATAAATGTAACCGTCTAGTTTTGGGGTCATAGCATATATATATATATATATATATATATATATATATATATATATATATATTTAGTTGATATTTTCAGATAGTTTCCCAGTGTAGATATAGCAGTTTACAGTCTCATCAGCCATGTATGCACGTTCCAATTGCTTCACATACTCAGCAACACTTGATATTATCCACTTTTTGGGTTAAATGATTCCAATGAAGAGCAATATTATTTTGTGTTTTTTTTTTCGACAGTGTCTTGCTGTGCTGCCCAGGCTGGAGTGCAGCGGCACAATCTTGGCTCACTGTAGCCTTTGCCTCCCAGGATCAAGAGATTCTCATGCCTCAGCCTCCTGAGTAGTTGGGACTACAGGGGCATGTGGCCGTCTAAATTTTTGTATTTGTAGTAGAGACCGGGTTTCGCCATGTTGGCCAGCTGGTCTTGAACTCCTAACCTCAAGTGATCCACCCGCCTCGACCTCCCAAACTGCTGGGAGTATAGGCGTGAGCCACTGTGTCCAGCATTGTTGTGTTTTTAATTTGCATTTCCTTTATAGCAAAAGATGTCGAGCATATTTTATTTTACTCAATAGCGATTTTTTGTGAAGTTCATATTAATTTGCTCTTTCTTATTGAAGTTTTAGTCTTTTTCTTAGTGCTTTGTAGAAGTTCTTAACATATTCCAGATAAAGATCCTTAGTAAAATATAAGTATTGGAATATCTTCTCCTAGACTGTGGCTCATCATCTTTTCTTAAGGAGGATGGGGCTTGAAAAACTTTGTAAGCAGATGAAAGAGAAGAAATGGAGACAGACAGGTTGAAGACCCCAGAGGAAGTTCCATCTGGACATCTTACCTGTTGGCTGTGGGAGAAAATGCCCCCAGGCAGTTTGCTGGAGAGGAAACCTCAGAATAAACTGATGGGATGAAATGTTCCAAAAGCAGAAACTGTGTTCTGGTCTGTGATTCTCTTACATTTCTCCTAGCAGCTTCAGGGGATATAGTTTAGAGGTAAGAAATAGTGAGATATGAGACAGTGGATTTTCTATCCGGCCAACTTACCATATTTTTGAAGACCTCTCAGAAATATGACTAATGCGTCAAAAAAGATCTTCACGATGTTTCTGTAGCGAGAGAGGTGTGGCTCAGTGGTAGTGTGTCCTTGCCTTGCACAGAGTTCAAAAGCATACATGTTCATCTGTTTTTCACAATTCTCGCCACTCTGTACTTTTCTCCTTTTAAAAACATGCCTTGCGTGGTCACACTAAAATAAACATATTATACTTTCCATTTCCACTCCCTGGGTCTCTGTACCACCCAAGGTGGATGTGTCAGCACAAGACGAGTGAAAGGAAGGGAATAGCGAAAATGAATTTTCTCGCTCAGGATTTCCTTAGTCAGAAGCTATAAACCTGCCACCACATTAACGTGCCCAATAATCCTCTGTTCCTTTTTGCCATATCGTTGAAGAGCAAGACAGAAAAACAAGAGCCCAGAGAAAAGGAAAAGCCTAGAAAATTTTCTTTTGAATTCCCTTGGTATTCTGAGCAGTGAGCATGTAGGGGAGCATGTTCTTACTTTGCTCTATTCTTCATTTTTGCCTTTTCTTTCCCTGGCTTTTGCTAACCCATTCATTGTCCTTAAAATTGGGTCCTGTTTTCAGACATAAATTGGGGAAGAATCTATATTTTGGGGGTGAAGGGGTGAGTGAATGACAGGTGATATTGAAGACAACAGAATTGGAAGATATACTGACCCTACAAATGAGTTTTTATATTTTGAAGAAACACCTAAAACAAATTCGGGAAGCCGAAATAGCTCAGTTGGGAGAGCGTTAGACTGAAGATCTAAAGGTCCCTGGTTCGATCCCGGGTTTCGGCAGGGTTTTTTTTTTTTCTTTCTTTCTTTCAGTTTTGCCTAATAGAACCCTTATTTTGTTTATTTATTTATTTTTTGACGGAGTTTCACTCTTGTTGCCCAGGCTGAGTGCAATGGAGCGAACTCGGCTCACCGCAACCTCCGCCTCCTGAGTTCAAGCGATTCTCCTGCCTCAGCCTCCCGAGTAGCTGGGATTACAGGCATGCGCCACCACGCCTGGCTAATTTTGTATTTTTAGTAGAGACGGAGTTTCTCCATGTTGGTCAGGCTGGTCTCGAACTCCCGACCTCAGGTGATCGGCCCGCCTCGGCCTCCCAAAGTGCTGGGATTACAGGCGTAAGACACAGCGCTCGGCTGATACAACCCTTATACAACACTTGCATGCCAATCCCAGAAAGGTGTATAGAACTCCAATTTTTTGCTGTTGAAAATCCGATAAAGGTAATACACACACACACACACACACACACACACACGCATATATATATATATATGCATCACTCTCTGCTTTGGTTGCATATTCCAGTGAAGTCTTCCATGAAGCGCTGACATTAAATAAATTATTTACAGTCTGAAACCTAGGAAGTGATTTTTTTTTTTTTGAGATTGAGTTTCGCTCCGATGCCCAGGCTGGAGTGCAGTGGCGCGATGTCGGCTCAGTGCAATCTCCGCCTCCCGGGTTCAAGGATTCTCCTGGCTCAGCCTCCCCAGTAGCTGGGATTACAGGCGCCTTCCATTTCAAGTCGTATACTGTATTCTAAATAATTTGTATCCCCCGTTAGTACCTAGTATCTTCTACTCACAGCAGCTGCAGACGCTCCACAATACTCAGAAAAAGAAAGTTACCTCCTGGAAATTATTACAAGAAGGATTTTTTTCAGGAAGGGGGTGTAGCTCAGTGGTAGAGCGCATGCTTTGCATGTATGAGGTCCCGGGTTCGATCCCCGGCACCTCCAAACGGTGACTTTTTGCTCTGGTAGTGCTCAAACCTAATTCTCAAGCAACATAGACTTACTTCTGCCTCCGCACCTTTTTCTGTCCTATTTCTGCACATATAGAGAGTAAAGACGTAACCCAATGGGTTGCCTCCATTTATAACCCATTTCTATGCCGTGAGCTTCGACATCACTGAAGGCGATTGTGACGGCAGAAGGAAGGTGAAAAAGAAATGAGGAAGAAAGAAGAATGGGATCCCAACAGGGTCTCTTGAACCCAAACAAAAGTGTGCACATCCACGGGAGGTTCACATTTGCTCTCATTTTGTGCTATGATTAAAGAGAAGGAAAGACAAAGAAGAAGGGAGAAAAGCGCCCCGCGGCCATTCTTTTTTTTTTTTTTTTTTTTTTTTTGGAGACAGAGTCTCGCTCTGTAGCCCAGGCTGGAGTGCAGTGGCTTAATCTTGGCTCATTACAACCGCTGCCTCCCGGGTTCAAGCGATTCTTCTGCCTCGGCAGGTGGGTTTACAGGTGCGTGCCATCAGGCCCGGGTAATTTTTGTATTTTTAGTAGAGACGGGGTTTCACCATGTTGGCCACACTGGTCTCGAACCCCAGACCTCAGGTGATCCACCCGCCACAGTTTCCCAAAGTGCTGGGATTACAGGCGTGAGCCACCGCTCCCAGCATCATCTTTTTTGTTTGTTTGTTTTTTGTTTTTTTTTACTTTAGTTTTGTTTTCTGGGCCAAAGAACAGAGCGAAAGCATCTGTCCACTGATTTCTCCTCCAGTCTCTCCCTGTCAACCTGCGCAGAAAGCACAGCCACAAGTGTAATCCAATACTGAGACAAGGACTGCTGTGGCTCTCCAGCCGCTTGAGATGGGAGTGGAAGGACGCTGGATGACCGAACAAAGACTGTCAGGGAATAAGAGACCTTCAACATGAGAGGAGCAGAAACCAATACGGATCAACATTCCCTACTGATACAATTGATTCATTTTCCTGTATTTCCTCAGCCATTCCATTTTCCTTGTTAAAATAAAACATTGCCTGGAAACCTCTGTTAACAGCCAACGGAGGACTCGTGTGAAAAAGTAGGAAAAGTTTTTCTGTCACAATGGAAAATAGACGCAAAGTAAAAGGTGAGTGGATCGCAGGTGTGCTGAGCACTTCCTCAGGTAAAAACAAAAGAAAACAAATTTTTTTTGTTCTTTCTCTGTCAATCCCATCACAATTGCATTGCATGACCAGGGAACTCCCAGGAAATCCTATTCACTGATGATACCTTTTAGGGGTTTCCAATGTTGTATGTTTCAAAATTGCTGTCCTCTGTACATGTTTGCTGTTGAATCAAAGCATCTTTGAGAGGCAACAGAGTATGATGTTTGTCACCATCCACCAGTCTAACACTCTATCAGGCTGGGATGTCCTCACTTCTTGATTCTTTTATCCGGTGAAAATATCCATAACCAGTATCCAGGAGGGATACTGTCTGGTGAAACCTGCTTAGCTGAGGATTGGCTGTGTGCCCCCAGGCCAATCATATGTTTGTTTCAAGATGCATTTTTTGGAGACAGGTAACGAAGAGATGCCATATATTTTCTTTTCATTTCTTAATATTTCCCCCCTACTATCTACTGGTTCTCTCCAGGCACTTTAAGGAAATAGTGTCATGTTTGCCACAAAGGATGCTGCACAGGAGAGCAAGGCATGAGGGATTAGGGTGCTACTAGTGGAATGTCAAATTCCAGGCCCAACCTCAGATCTACAGAATCAGAATTGATGAGAGTGGGACCCAGCCACCTGTGTTGAATAAGCCCTCAAGTGACTCTGATGCTAAAGTTTGAGAAGCACTGCTCTAGAAGTTTCAGAAGGAGTTCAGGGCCAGATGCTTGCTAAGGAGAAAGAGTTGCTCCCGGGGTTCCCTGCCTATTTTCAATAAAAAACTCAAACCACGTAGGAAAGCCAGTGACGTATTTGCATTACATCAGGATGAGAGTGGATTTATTACCTCTTTGAGACCTTCAATATTTTAGATGACTAGAGATCACACACAAGAGCCTCTGATTTTCCTGTAGAAGAACTCACAGGGGTTCTTTAGAGCCAGGAGACTCTTTCCAGCCAAAATACCTGGAGCCATCTCAAGCTATTTTGGCCTTTCAATTTGAAACCTAAGGCCTTTCCTTAGAGCTTGGAAGTTTCTAAGCTCTGAGGAAGACACTGTAATCATTCTTGCTCCACCCTCAGGGTTGGAATTCACCCTGCTCTCTGTCAAGCCCCCACCAATTCTGCCAATATTCTGGTCTAAGATCCAGTTGTTAAAAACCCAGTCTATGTGGCTGGGGGCGGTGGCTCATGCTTGTAATCCCAGCACTTTGGGAGGCCAAGTCGGGTGAATCACGAGGTCAAGAGATCGAGACATTCCTGGCCAACATGGTGAAACCCGTCTCTACCAAAAATACAAAAATTAGCTGGGCATGGTGGCCGGGGAGGCTGAGGCAGGAGAATAAAAAATTAGCTGGGCATGATGGCCATGCCTGTAGTCCCAGCTACGGGGAGGCTGAGGCAGGAGAATCCCTTGAACCTGGGAAGCGGAGATTGCAGTGAGCCGAGATGGCACCACTGCACTCAAGCTTGGTGACACAACGAGACTCCATCAAAAACAAAAAACAAAAACAAACAAAAAAAGCAATCTAATGCATAAAATGTAATTAAAATATCTTCGCAGCATTAAGTAGAGAGTTCCTTGTGGTTAGGAGACTCTTCCTCCTTGGAAGATGTTCTCTGTCTGTCTACCTTCTGCGTTTTCACATTTGTCTCTTCCTCTCCACACCTAAGCCAGTGCTTTATTTCCACTTATCTCGTGTAGGGATATACTTTTGTGTGGTGACCTTGGTTTTGCCCACTCTTCTTGCTTCCAAGAGTTGGATGTAGGCAATGTAGGAGCCCACTGCCAAAGTGTGGGTGATATTCTCCAGAAAGAAACCTAAATTTCAGAGGCTTGCTGATATGGAAGAAAGCCTAGGATATTCGACTCATAGAGCTTCACACTGCTAGGCAGGTTGAAATCTGGACACCCTGAATTCCTTAGGAACAAGGTATAAGTACTTCTGAAAACCAATTTAAGTTTAAAATATACTGAGACTCCCTGATCTTTCTTGTATTTCATGACATATTCCAAGCTCAAGAAGCTAAACACACACACACACACTCAAATACCAAAACAGAACACACTCTCCTACCTATAACAAAGGGGCTTAAGCAGGAGGGTCTAGAGAGACCTGGTTCAACACTCTCCCCCTGACGAACAGTAGGGATTGGAAATAGGCGGCTTCTCTGTCCTTTCCTCGGAAGCCACCAATACCACCCGCCTGTACCAAAACTCAAGGGTACCCCTGCTCCCCAGTACCCCAGCCAGTAAAGGAGCTGCGAGGCGTTCTCAACGCCGCGACTACCTTGAGTAAAACGAGGGAGATCTTGCGGGGAAAGTGTTTTCAGCTCACTTCTCCTACAGGGAATGAGCCCTCTCACCTATCGTGGACACCGAGGAAACGCAGCAGAGATGGGCACCCAGGCTGCCCAGATCCTCTGGCAGCCTCGGGTGCTCGTCCACTTCGCTCCTCCTCCGCCTTTGCTGCCGCAGCCGCAGGTGCGCACCCCACCGCGTCCCTGCTTCCCTCCTCGAGCTCTTGTGGTCGAGCTCAGGTGGTCCTTGTTCTCCTCTCCATCCATCGTTACTTGAGTCTCAAAACTGGAGCCACAACGTCCCCAAGATGAAATCCATGCTGGGTTTCAGCCACGGTGCCGGCCCAGGGGCTGGCGAGGGTAAGGACAGGCAGCGACCCACTTCCTGGGTCTTCATTTCTAAGAGCTGGGAATTCCACCTTCTCACCTCCTCACCTGGACCTAAATCCCCCAGGCGGTACTGACCATTCTGTTTTTTTATCCACCTACGCTACTCTTCGTGTGACAGCCCTTGAAGGCAGAAGGAAAAGAAGATGTAAGAAGGGAGAATTTAAAAAACACTTTAAAAATTAATTAATCTGAATACTCAAAGTATCCCCAGGTCATGTATCCTTTTAAGATATGCCTACATTGGCATAGGCGGTGGCTCATGCCTGCAATCCCAGCACTTTGAGAGGCCGGGGCAGGCGGATCACCTGAGGCCAGGAGTTGGAAACCAGCCTGGCCAACATGGTGAAACCCCATCTCTACTAAAAATACAAAAATTAGCCGGGCGTGCTGGCACGTGCCTGTAATCCTAGCTACCTGGGAGGCTGAGGCAGGAGAATCGCTTGAACCTGGAAGGTGGAGGTTGCAGTGAGCCCAGATTGCACTACTGCATTCCAGCCTGGGCAACACAGCAAGACTCCTTCTGGGGGAGGGGGTGGAGGGCGGGGGCGACGAATTATACAGTGAAACTTTCTTGAACCTGAAGAGTCTGTTTTTTTTTTAAAGTTTTTATATCACAAATTTAATTTCCTTAGTAGTTACAAGGTTATAGAAAAATATATTTCATATTGAGTGAGTTGTGATAGTTTGTGATTTTCAAGGAATTAGTCCATCTCATCTAAGTTTTCAAATTTGTGTGTAAAGTGTTGTTCATAGTATTCATTTACCCTTTTGATGTCAGCAGAGTCTATAGTGATATACTCTTCTTTTTATTCTTGATATTGGCAATTTGTGTCATCTCTCTTCTTAAAAAATTATCAGTCCTCCTAGAGGTCTTCTTTTATTGATCTTTTAAAGGAACTAGCTTTTTGTTTGTTTTTCTATTTTGTGCGTGTGTGTTCAGTTCCGTTTATTTCTGCTCATTTCCTTTCTTCTATTTGCTTTGGGTTATTTTCCCCCACCTGAGTTCTTCAAGTAAGAGCTTAAAGGACTGATTTGAGACTTTTTTCTTTTCTTTCTTTTTTTTTTTTTTTTTTTTTTTTTTTTTTGGCCGGGCTGGTCTCCAACTCCTGACCTTGTAATCCACGCGCCTCGGCCTCCCAAAGTGCTGGGATTACAGGCGTGAGCCACGCGCCTGGCCGACTTTTTTCTTTTCTAATGTATGCACTTAGTGCTGTAAATTTCTCTCTCAGAGATTAAGTTGTCTTGGAAATTTTGATACATTGTGTTTTCATTTTTATTCAGGTTAATTTATTTTTTTGATCTCTACTAAGGCTTTCTCTTTGTCCTATGGAATATTTAGTAGTGTGTTGTTCATTTTCCAAGTGTTTGGATATTTTTGTTGTCTTTCTGTGACTGATTTTTAGTTTGATTTCATTGTGGTTAGGGATCATACTATGTCAGTCAATTCTTTTAAATTTGTTGAGGCCCAAGGTATGAGGTATGTTCTATCTTGATCTACGTTACGTATGAATTTGAAATGAATGCGTGTTCTGCTTTTCTTGTGTGGACTGTTCTATACATGGTGACTGAATTCTGTTGCCTGAAGATGATTTGGGGTTCTTCAATATCCTTGCAGATTTTCTGTGTAGTTTTTCTGTTATTATGAGAGAAATGGCGCGGGCGTGGTGGCTCACGTCTGTAATCCCAGCATTTTGGGAGGCCGAGGCGGGTGGATCACCAGGTCAGGAGATGGACACCACCCTGCCTAACATGGTGAAACGCCGTCTCTACTAAAAATACAAAAAATTAGCCGGGCGTGGTGGCGGGCGCCTGTAGTCCCAGCTACGCAGAGGCTGAGGCAGGAGAATGGCGTGAACCCGGGAGGCGGAGCTTGCAGTGAGCCAAGATTGCGCTACTGCACTCCAGACTGGGCGACAGAGCGTGTGAGGAGACGATTGAAAAACCCAAAAAGAAGAAAAAGCAAAAGCCCCAGGAGGTTCATCAGGAGAATGGAATGGAAGACCCATCTATCTCTTTCTCCAAACCCAAGAAAAAGAAATCTTTTTCCAAGGAGGAGTTGATGAGTAGCGATCTTGAAGAGACCGCTGGCAGCACCAGTCTTCCCAAGAGGAAGAAGTCTTCACCCAAGGAGGAAACAGTTAATGACACCGAAGAGTCAGGCCACAGAAGTGGCTCCAAGAAAACGAGGAAATTCTCCAAAGAGGAGCTGGTCAGCAGTGGGCCTGAAGAGGCGGCTGGCAAGAGCAGCTCCAAGAAGAAGAAAAAGTTCCATAAAGCATCCCAGGAAGATTAGAATGCAAATGGACATTCTCTGGGAGGTGGGGCATACCATAGCCCAAGGCGACATTTCCCACCCTGTGCCGTCTTCCCCAATAAGAACAAATTCACAAAAAAGAGAGAGAGAGAAGTGAAGTCTCTAATGTAACTGCATTTGTCGATTTTTTTAATTCTATCTTTTTTGTTTTTTAAAATATTTATTTATGTATTACATTTATTTATTTATTTATTTATGAGTCAGAGTCTCGCTCTGTCACCCAGGCTGGAGTGTAGTGGCACCATCTCGGCTCACTGCAACCTCCACCTCCCGGGTTCAAGCAATTCTCGAGCCTCAGCCTCCCTAGTAGCTGGGACTGCAGGTGCACGCCACTGCACCACCATGCCCGGCTAATGTATGTATTTTTAGTAGAGACGGGTTTCACCATGTTGGCCAGGCTACTTTCCAACTCCTGGCCTCAGGTGATCCGCCCACCTCGGCCTCCCAAAGTGCTGGGATTACAGGCGTGAGCCACTGCGCCCTGTCTGGGTGTTTTGTTTTGTTTTGTTTTGAGACGGAGCCTTACTTTGTTGCCCAGGCTGGAGTGCAGTGGCACGATCTTGGCTCACTGCAACCTCCGCCTCCCAGGTTCAAGCAATTCTCCTGCTTCAGCCTCCCGAGTAGCTGGGACTACAGGGCGCACGACCACGCCCAGCTTTTTTTTTTTTTTTTTTTTTTTTTTTTAGTAGAGACGGGGTTTCACCATGTTGGTCAGGATGGTCTCAATCTCCTGACTTTGTGATCCGCCCGCCTCGGCCTTCCAAAGTGCTGGGATTACAGTCGTGAGCCAGCGCGCCCGGTCCTGTTTTTTTTTTTTTTTTTTTTCTTTACATGTTGCAGCTCTGCTGTTTGGTGTATACATATTTAGGATTGTTATGCCTTCTTGGTGGATTTTCTTTGTTCTTAAGTTTATATTAATATAGTCACTTTTGCTTTCTTTTGATTAACTTTTGCATGTAATATATTTTATCCCCTTAATTTCAGCCTGCTTATATAATTATATTTGAAATGAGTTTCTTTTAGATAGTGTATAGTTGGATTATGTTTTCTAATCTGTTCTGTCAATCTCTCCCTCCCTCCATTCCTTTCTTCCTTTTGCCCTCTCTCCTTCCTTTCTTTCTCTCTCGCTCCTTCCTTCTTTCTTCCTTCCTTTCTTTTCTTTCTTCCTTTATTTTCTTTCTATTTTTAATAGACGGGATCTTGTTTTGATGACCAGACTAGAGTGCAGTGGCTATTCACCAGGGCAATCGTAGAGCACTGGGGCTTCCAACTCCTGACCTCAAGCTGTTTTCCTGCCTCCTCTTCAGCCTCCTGAGTAGGTGTAGCTGGGACTATAGATGCAGGCCACCACGCCTGGCTCATGGTTTGTTTTTGTTTTTTTGTTTTTTTTCTCATCCTTCTTTTAAAGTCGCTAAATAAAAATCATACCTGGATGTCTGGAAATGTCAGTTAACATCAAACATGTTGCTGCCATGAAGTGCCAGACAATTCTTTTTTAGTACCTAAAAAAGTGTCCCTCCTCTGAGAAGAGGACAAATAGTTCACAGATGTGTAAGACATTTTAACTGTAGTGAAACAGCAGCCATTTCCTCTGCTGTTTCCTGTCCGTCTAATCACTTCTGCTTTTACTTTCTTTCTTTTTTCTTTTTTTTTTTTAAGACGTAGTCTCGCTCTCTCTCCCAGGCTGGAGTGCAGTGGCGCGATCTCAGCTCACTGCAAGCTCCGCCTCTCGGGTTCACGCCATTCTCTGCCTCAGCCTCCTCGAGCAGCTGGGACCACAGGCGCCCGCCACCACGCCAGGCTAATTTTTTGCATTTCTAGCAGAGACGGGGTTTCACTGTGTTAGCCAGGATGGTCTCGATCTCCTGACCTCGTGATCCGCCCGCCTCGGCCTCCCAAAGTGCTGGGACTACAGGCGTGAGCCACCGCGCCCGGCTATGCTTTTATTTTCAAGGCACTAATCAAAATTTCTGGCCTACTGATGGCCCTATTTAAAGGGTTTCCTGGGCTATGATAGTTTCAAACTCTATATTTCCTGAAGACTAATAAAGAGGGAAGGGAGTTCTGTTTGTCAACTTTACTGTTTCTTTTCCTCCTTCCCTTCCTTCCATTCTTTCTTTCTTTTTCTCCTGTCACTCTCTTTTTTTTTTGCTGCTTTTCTCCAAAAAAGAACTTCACTATTTCTTTCCCTACCAGAGCAGCCCCTCATTACCTCCTGACTCTGAGAAAGAAACTCTGTCTCTTTCAGATGTCCTTAGTTGATTGACTCACAAGCAAGGAGTGTGACAAGGAAAATAGAATAAAACACCTTCTAAATTCTAATACAAATTGAGAAATTTGTACCTTTGTCTCTGCCTTGCAACATTTAAAATAAAGTGGGACCATCTGAGAAGCATATATTGTTCAAATCTTGGGATAATTTCAAAACATCTTTTCCTCAATGACAAATCAACAATACTGGAATACATATCATATATATGTAGTATGTATTATATATATATATCAGACAAAGATTATTTCTCTAAACTATTTGATAATGATTTTCAGACATCATATCTTTTTATTCTTAAATACTTCAATGTGTATTTCTTAAGAAAAAGGTCAATTCCTTAACACAACACAATTATCAAGTTCAGTAAATTTGACATTGATAAATGTGAATATAGTCTAATATAAAGTCTATTAAAAATTGTCTAATTGTACCAATAAAAACTTTTATAGAAATTTCTCTTCCAAGCTAGGATCCATTTCAGAATCACATATGAATCTAGTTGTCTTGACTCTTTAGTGCCCTTTAATTTGGAACAGTTTCTTAATCTTCTTGTCTTTCACAACACCGACATGTTTTTGAAGAGTTTTTCCAGTGGTTTTGTGCAACGTTTCTTAATCTGTATTAGCCATGATAAGATTACATCGGGTTATGGAATTTGGGAGAAATGTCACAGAAATCACGTTATTACCCTCTCTCACACCAAGAGGCATGAGCTGACTGAAGTTAGCTTGATCACTTGATTTTAAGTTTGTAATTACTGTTTCTTCCCTGAAAAATTATCATTTTCCTCATTGTAATTAATAAATAATCTACAGGGAAATACTCTGAGACTACGTAAATATCCTGATCCTCATCAAATTTTTACCTATACTTTAACATTAACTTACAAATTTTGCCTGCATCTATCATCATTCTGATGGTATTGTTTAAATGGGGATTTTTAAATTTTATCCTCACTTTGTTTCTTTGTTCATTTTTTTGAGACGGAGTCTCGCTCTGTCGCCCAGGCTGGAGTGCAGTGGCGCAATCTTGGCTCACTGCAAGCTCCGCCTCCCGGGTTCACGCCATTCTCCTGCCTCAGCCTCCCGAGTAGCTGGGACTACAGGCACCCGCCACCACGCCCGGCCAAGGTTTTGTATTTTTAGTGGAGAGGGGGCTTCACCGTGTTAGCCAGGATAGTGTCGATCTCCTGACCTCGTGATCCACCCGCCTCGGCCTCCCAAAGTGCTGGGATTAAAGGCGTGAGCCACTGCGCCCCGCACTCACTTTCACATTTATCATTTGGCAAACCACTGTAAGGAAAATCGTCCCGTCCTCCATATTTATTTGTTTAAGTTCCCAAGAATGATAATCAGTTATTGTCATCACTGATGCTAAAAGTGTGTCAGATTTGGCCAGTGAGATTCCCTTCAAGCTGGCTTCTGTGTCCTTTTAAATCACCCCCGTCATTTCTGAGCACTTACATTCTGGCAGGGCAAGATATCTTAGGTTCATTTTGCAGTTTCCCTGGCACAGTCCTGGAGTCTGTGTAGTTGACACTAATAGCTACTTTCTATTAGTATCTCTGGTTCCTTTTAGTAGGGAATGGTATTTGAAAATCAAGATACAGAGTTATCTTTGCTCATTGCTTCTGAGGTATCATTTCTTCTAGGCCCAGTTAGCAGATAGATCTGTGGGGAAATTTTACAATTTCATATGTACAATTTCATACTGATGCCTCTAATTCCCATCAGTATCAACAGGACTATTCTTTACCTTCCTTCTTCTCCCACAGTGAGAGTCTGTTTCCAACAACAGACACTCGATTTCCCAATCCTAAAATTCACACAAAATATCAGAATTGCTACAGCCCTCACTCTACAAAAAATAATCCTGATACATAGAGTTTAAGATTTGTTCGATGTTCTTTTTGATCTCACAATTAGAACAACAATCTGTGTAAACCATTTTCTTATATCAGTTCTTTCCTCTTCAATGTGGTTATGTTATTCTTTTGAAATGCAGTTAATTTGCCTCTATTTGTACTGAATTTTAGGGTATTTTCACACATACCTGAGTTTTATTTTTTGACTATGGGAAACACTAAGATGCTTCCCAGAGTCAAAAGAAAAAAGTTATAATCAGAAAATTTGCAAGAGAATGTTGTATGCCGGAGGTCACTCAAGGGATACAATGGAATTATGCTCCAGAAAGTCTAATATGATGGGGAGACCACTTTGGGGTGAGTTGATCTTGGACTGACCACAAATCAGGAACATCAGGAACAATGCCTTTGTTTTTACCACAAGATATCTTTCTCCTGGTGTAGCCATGCCCGAGAGAGAGAGAGAGAGAGAGAGAGAGAGAGAGAGAGGGCGCTTAGTGTCGGGAATTCATAAACAGTGGAATTGGAAACATACAGTGATTGTCTTGATGACACAGAGCACAGACTCAGGCAACGGAGATCACCAAAACATTTTCCCAAGCTCCTGATCTCCTGCGGGGGTATAGCTCAGGGACAGAGCACGTGGTTAGCATGCGTGAGGTCCTGCGTTCAACTTCCAGTATTTCCACTCTTTTTTTTCCTATGAGCCACCTTAGGAAGTTCTCCATGATATTCCCCACCTATTCAAGGGAATTGTGTTGGCCTCTGCATTTCTCTCTCATACAGGGAGATAATTCGTGTTCATTCACTTACAGTTCTTTGTTGCTTAGAATTATCCCCCTGTCCTAATTAGTTCCACAAATCACTAATGTGGATCACACACTATAGAAGCAAGTAGTATTCCTTGCCATCCCGCCGATTTCCAGTTTAAATAAAATAGTCAGAAACCATTGAATTCTGTGACCTAAGTCTGATTTCAGATCAGAAGGTTAAGGCTCAAGTTCTTTTGCGTTTCTTACTTTCTTCTAACTGCTTCCTCACCCAGGTTGCAAAAGTCCTGCAAGCTTTCACTAAAAGATTCCACTACAAGTGGCTGATGATTGCTGGTGATGTGCTGGTGGTCACTTTTTCCATTAGAGACCGACAAATTCTGAAACTTAATCCAAGCTATTTAACTACAAACATAAGGACAAATGACAAATATAATGACAAATGAGGAAAAGATCTCAATCACCTCAGCTGAAATTTAGCAGGGAGAAAATTACTTCTCTTGGTTCTTTAAGGAAGTTTCTGGTCTGAAATGGCAAGCTCTCTGAACTCCAGAGTCCAAGATCCATCTAGGGTAGAAGCTCGTTTCTTCTTTTTTTTTTCTTTTTTCTTTCTTTCTTTTTTTTTTTTTTTTTTTTTTTTTGAGATGAAGTCTCACTCTGTTGCCCAGGCTGGACTGCAGTGGAGCGATCTTGGCTCACTGCAAGCTCCGCCTTCTGGGTTCAAGCAATTCTCCTGCCTCAGCCTCCTGAATAGCTGGAAATACAGGCACTTGCCACCTCGCCTGGCTAATTTTTTGTATTTTTAGTAGAGATGGGGTTTCACCATGTTGGCCAAGCTGGTCTCAATCTCCTGACCTCGTGATCTGCCCACCTTGGCCTCCCAAAGTGCCGGGATTACAGGCGTGAGCCACTGCACCCAGCCAAAACCTCATTTCTTTGTTTTGTTTTGTTTTTTTTAATAAATAAAAATAATGAACTTTTATTCTCCCAATCCCAATGGATCCTTTTCTACCTCACTGTACTTACTTTCAAGGAATAACTTCCTTCTTAGCTACTGAACATCCCATATCTCCAGATTAGAACCCTGCACAATTTCTAATTCTGATATCACAGTGCTAAGCAGAAATTCACAGGGGGATACTTGGCAAGCATCTTAACACTATTTTGTTAAAAGAAAATCTCCTTTTATTTTCCACTCTATTTCATCAAAGGATTAAAAATTAAGTTACTAAACACCTAGAAGGCAGAAAAGCAGCCTCTTTCTCCATGTGCAGAAGCTAAGCAACCCAGTGGGGCTTCTGTATGCATCATCTCTTTTACTCACTTTCTAAAAGCTGTAACCGTCCACCATCTACCAGGCGATCACAAACCACCCCTTAAGTCAATTTTGAGGTTAACCCACTTGACTTGAGAGGGATTCACCTGTACCACCTCTGCAGCTGTTATGTGAGAAATAAACTCATCCATCTAAACCCAAAGAATGGACTCAGAGACCCGGAGAACAGCGAAAGTGAGACTTTTAATGACGGTCTTGAGAGATCAAGATCGGGTGTCTGGCGTGCAGGCACACCCAGAACAGTTTCAACAAGCAATTTGTCCCCTAGTGCGCAAGTCCCTCCCCAGGTTCCTCATAGGCTGAGTGCTATGGGGTTACAATTTTCTCGGCGTTTGCCTACTGATTGTTAGGCAAAGGCTTTAGGTGTCTCTTTTTTAGGGTTGTCTTGCTGCATTTTGTTGCAGCCCACAATGCATTGCAATCCTGGTTAGCTCAAGGGCTCTTTAAGTGTTTGACTTATGACCTAAGTAGCTGGGCAGGCTGATAAGAACAGACAAAGTGAGCTATTTTGCAGACTAGTAAACTTATATCTTAGACTAAACTGTTTTTGTTTGGGTGAAGGCCACCAAGGATGGGGGATGGGAAGGGGGAGGAAAGAGGGGGGCGACAAGCAGGCATCCGCTATCCAAGCAGGGACCTAGTATACCCTGTTTCTTCTGTACTTTGCTGACCTAAGCCAATTTAAGGCACTTTGTCTTGGAAATAGATCACTGTATACATTATTTCCTTCAGGAATAGCACTAAGGAAAAGGTGGCTGCACACGTAGTTAACACCGATTTTACCGCGACTTTGTAGTACCTAACTTTGTTTTTAGACTCTCCCTTAATCGCCTAGCCTTGTTTCCACATGAATAGGCTCTTCCTTAGCTGAGAAAGCCGGAAGTACTCCTTTTGGCTCCTTCATTTACAAGACGTCAAAGACTCCTTACCCACCCCCTTCCTCAAGCAGTTAACTTGTGTAAGCTGACTCTTACATATCAAAGAGTCCAATTAACTGATAAGGTACTGAAGCAAGCAATTTACGAAGTTACCAGGATTTCGCTCAAGAGATAACACCATAAAGCTTTGAGTTTGTGTCCGGGAGAGCCCCCATACCTAACGCCTTATGATAGATTTAGAGCCCCTGCACCTGGAACTGTTTGTTTCCTTGTAACCATTTGTCTTTTTAATTTTTTTGCATGCTTTTACTTCTGTAGAATTGCTGCAACTAAGCTCCCCCTCCCCTTTCTAAACCAAAGTATAAAGGAAAATCAAGCCCCTTCCTCGGGGCCGAGAGAATTTCGAGCGTTAGTCGTCTGTCGGTCGCCGGCTAATGAAGGACTCTTAAATTCGTCTCGAAGTGTGGCGTTTCTCTAACTCGCTCGGGTACAACATTTGGAAGCCCCAGCGAGATATATTCGCCACTGGGCGAGAGCCGGGCTAGCTCCGGGCTCCCCCGGAGGGACGGCCGGCTTATAGGCGAGGAGCCACCTGAAAAAAAATTTTCCAGGTCCCCGAAAGGCGACCGTCTTCCGGAGGACAGCGGATCGACTACCGTGTGTGTGTGCCCACAAAATTCAACCTCTGAGTCCTCAGCTTCTGACCCCGGGGTCAGGTAAGTTAGATTTGACTTCTGTTTGGTGAGAGGGAGGCAGCCCTGACGAGGGCATCCCTGTCTTTGACACTGCCCGCTTTTCCAGGGCGCTGGAGGACAGAGCCCTGGTTTTTCTGTTAGGCGCCTTTTGGTTCTGGTTTGGTGAGAGGGAGGCAGCCCTGACGACGGTGTCCCTCTCTTTGACTCTATCCATACTCCAGGACGCTGGAGGATAGAGCCCTGGTTTCTGGCAGGCCGGCCTCTCCATTAAGACTAGTCTCTCACTCTCTCCTCCTCTTTTTCTTTCTCTCCCCCTTGCTCTATCTCTTCTCCTCCTCTCGTTCAGGTCTTCTGGGACCTTTGTTTAGAACGGGAAATAACAAAAATTGTTATAAACTCTTTGTGAATGTGTGCACGACTGAGGAGTCCAGGGGCCTGCCTCTGGATCCCCAGTTTGTAGCTCCACGGCGAAAGCTACGGAGTTCGAGTGGGCCCTCACCTGCCGTTCCGTGGCGACCTCATAAGGCTTAAGGCAGCATCGGGCATAGCTCCATCCGAGCCGGGGGTTTATACCTGCCTGCCAATGCTAAGAGAAGCCCAAGTCCCCTCAGGGGGAGCGGCCAGGCAGGCATCTGACTGATCCCATCATGGGACCCCCTCCCCTTGTCTGTCTAATAAAAACCTACCATAATTGTTTATATACCCAAGGGTCTATTGTTTGTTTTGTGTTTGTTGTCCTGCTCGGTGTCTATTGTCCTGTTTAGTGGTTGTCAAAGTTTCGTATGTCAGGTCATCGATACTGCCCAAGACGTCTGGGCAGGAACTTCTTCAAGGTCTTTAGTGTTGATTTTTTATCACAGGAGGTTAAATTTCTCATCAATCGCTTAGGCTGGCCATCCCAGTCCTGCCTTTTCTGTCAGAAACAAATCAGGTGTTGTTACGGGAACGGGAACGAGTGTGAGGAACATTCGCCTGTTTGGGATTTCTGGCACCATGAAGATTGCTGGCATTTAGATTGTCATACCCCATGTCCAAGTGACTGGGCCACCTCCAGACTAAACCGGTGGTAGGTTCAAAATAGCCACCCTGCAGACCTCCTTGCTCACCTCTTTTGTCATCCCGTAACTTTTTCTGTGCCCTTAAATACGGCACTGTGCAGAGAAACCTACGCCCGTACCACTTTACTTCGTTTAAACTCTTATTCTATTCCTCTGTGGCTACTCTCCTACCCTAGGAAAGATCCGAGTGGCCCTTTTTCCTCCTCATCCCTACCACTTACCCCGTACATCTCGTTTTCCCGTGTCACAGCAAGTTCAGCGTCTCCAGGACTTGGCTCTGCTCTCACTCCTCAAACTCTTAAAAGAAAAGGCCGAATTTGAGCTATTTGCCTTTGAGTCGTGGAGACACCAAAAGTATTTAGGCTACAGGTCCAGGGAAAGAGGGAGGACGCCTAGGTCCATCCAGCCAAGGAGACCTAAGGTTGGCCTCTAGTCCTCCTCCCTCAATCTTGGATAATTATTCTTTTTTTTTTTTTTTTTTTTTTTGAGACAGTCTTCTCTGTCGCCCAGGCTGGAGTGCAGTGGCGCGATCTCAGTTCACTGCAAGCTCCGCCTCCCAGGTTCAGGCCACTCTTCTGCCTCAGCCTCCCAAGTAGCTGGGACTACAGACACCCGTCACCACACCCAGCTAATTTTTTGTATTTTTAGTAGAGACGGGGTTTCACCGTGTTAGCCAGGATGGTCTCGATCTCCTGACCTCGTGATTCGCCCGCCTCAGCCTCCCAAAGTGCTGGGATTACAGGCGTGAGCCACTGCGCCCGACCTCCCTCAATCTTAAAGCTAGTTAACCGTCCTGTGGCAAGTAGTGTGAGCTATTGTTGTCTTTCGGCTCCTTCTGGTTATGTTAATTCTGTTCTTCCGATACTCCAGCCCCCTAGGGAATGAGTTTTTCTGTCCGTGCTGGGTTTGATATCCCTGCTCAAACCTTGTCAAACTGCCTCCAAAAATGGGAAACTCCTCTTCCCGGCCCTGTAAGGATTGGAGCCCCCTCCAATGTATGCTGCAGAATTTTTCTCTAGGCTTCTCAGAGGATTATGGGGTCCGCCTTTAAAAAGGCAAACTCCGGACACTCTGCGAAGTAGAATGGCCAAAGTTTGGAGTCGGATGGCCCCCAGTAGGGTCACTGAACCTAGCAATTGTTCAGGCTGTGTGGCGGGTTGTTGCTGGAACTCCCGGCCACCCCGATCAGTTTCCCCACATTGATCAATGGCTGAGTTTGGTCAGAAGCTCCCCACCATGGCTCCGCTCATGCGCCATTCATAATTCTGCCTCCAAGGTCGTTTTGAGCCAGACCGCACTTCCGCCTGGACCCTCAGTCTGTTCGGCTCCCCCTGTACTGCCTCCCTCTGAAGAAGAGGAGAGTCTCCCCCACTCAGTTCCGCCGCCTTATAACCGTCCTGCTCCCTTAGAATCTTCCCTTGTCTCCTCGACTACATCCCCTGTAGGCTCGCCGCCTATTGCCTCTCGATTGCGGCCGCGGCAGGAGGAAGTAGCCCCCCCTCTACCGCGGAAAGAAGCACAAGTCCCTCCGGGTGATGAGCGCTCAGCCCCATTCTTGGTTTATGTCCCTTTTTCTCCTTCTGACCTCTGTAACTGGAAGGCTCATAATCCTCCCTTCTCTGAAAAGCCCCAGGTCTTGATCTCACTGATGGAGTCTGTGCTCCGGACCCATCGGCCCACCTGGGATGACTGTCAGCAGCTCCTTTTGACCCTTTTTACCTCTGAAGAGAGGGAACATATCCGAAGAGAGGCCAGAAAGTATTTCCTCACATCAGCCAATAGGCCAGAGGAGGAAGCTAGAGACTTTCTTGAGGAGGTCTTTCCCTCTACCCGGCCTAACTGGCACACGAATTCCTCGGGTAGGAAGAAAGCTTTGGACGATTTTCACCGGTATCTCCTTGCAGGTATCAAAGGAGCTGCTCAGAAACCCATAAACTTGTCTAAGATGACTGAAGTCGCACAGGGCCTGATGAGTCACCGGGAGCGTTTTTAGAACGCCTCCAGGAGGCCTATCGGACTTACACCTCTTTTGACCCGGCGGCTCCCGAAAATAGCCGTGCTCTTAATTTGGCATTTGTGGCTCAGGCAGCCCCTGATATTAAAAGAAAACTCCAAAAACTGGAGGGATTTCCTGGGATGAATATCACTCAGCTTTTAGAGATAGCCCAAAAAGTTTTTGACAATCGAGAGTTTGAAAAAAGAAAACAAACAGCACAGGCAGCAGCTGATAAAGCATACAAAAGACAAGCAAAAATCTTAGCTGCGGCCATCGGAGAGGTCAAGAAGGGAAGGCCCCCATCACAGAGGAATAGCCAGGGAACCTCAGGTCCCTACCAGAAGGGCAAAAGAGGAGAACAGGCTCCCCTAGAAAAGGACAAATGTGCTTATTGCAAGCAGACTGGGCACTGGAAAAAGGAATGCCCACTACGGCCAGAGGAAAAATCAGAAAAGAAAAAGGCCCTCACCCTCCCCGCAACGGAAGAGTCTGATGACTGATGGAGCCAGGACTCCCTCTCTCTTGGCCCCCAGGAGCCCACGGTGACCGCTACAGTGAGGGGCCAGCCTGTACGCTTCCTAGTAGCTACCGGGGCGGAGCACTCGGTACTGCAGACCCCCTTGGGCAGTGTCTCTAATAAAAGAGTGGCTGTACAAAGGTCTACTGGAGCTATTCAGGAATATCCTGTCACACACTCACGAGAAGTGAGCTTGGGACAGAAAAGAGTGAGACAGTCATTTCTTGTGGTTCCAGAGTGTCCTTTTCCTCTCCTCGGAGGAGATCTGCTCCATAAGTTACAGGCCTCTATCTCCTTCTCAGCCCAGCAGGCTAACGTCATGCTAGGAAATACAGCGCCCCCCACT
The DNA here is from genome assembly GCF_000001405.40 of Homo sapiens. NCBI lineage: Eukaryota > Metazoa > Chordata > Mammalia > Primates > Hominidae > Homo > Homo sapiens. The sequence goes on along the minus strand of NT_167249.2, from coordinate 81,218 downwards.
GCCCAACTCCTGCTAACTACCCCTCTGTCAGAGGAAAATCTTTTAGTTTCACCATCACAACCACTGGAAAATAATACTAATCCTCTCCTGTTGGACTTACAGACACTCTTTCCCAGAGTTTGGGCCAGTCAAACCCCCCAGGACTGGCTAAACACCATCCACCAGTGGTTGTAGAACTCCTGGCCACTGCCTTGCCTGTCCAGGTAAAGCAATATCCTATGAGTCAGCAGGCTAGACAGGAGATTAATCCCCATATTCAATGACTGTTACAAGCTGGCATACTCACACCGTGTCAGTCCGCCTGGAATATTCCATTTTTGCCGGTCCAGAAACCCGGAACGAATGATTACCAGCCGGTACAGGACTTAAGGGAAGTTAACAAACAGACTGTTACTGTCCATCCAACTGTCCCCAATCCTTATACTCTACTCAACCTGCTCCCGCCAGAACTTACAGTATATACACTGTCCTTGACCTAAAGGATGCCTTCCTTGCTATTTCTCTGGCCCCCAAGAGCCAACTGATCTTTGCTTTTGAATGGACAGATCCTAGCTCAGGAGACACTACCCAATTGACTTGGACTCAGTTACCTCAAGGTTTTAAAAATTCCCCCACCCTTTTTGGAGAGGCCCTCCAGCAGGATCCTATACCATTCCAAGCTAGTCACCTTAACTGTACTCTTCTTCAGTAGGTGGACAACCTTTTATTAGCTACTGAAACTAAAGACAGTTGCCTGCAACATACTAGGGACCTACTTTACCTCCTTCAGGAGCTCGGGTATCGAGTCTCAGCCAAGAAGGTCCAGCTTTGTCTTCCCACAGTGTCCTACCTAGGATACGACATAAGCCAAGGAAAAAGGGCACTCACCAGTGCCCGGAAAGAAGCCATCCTACGAATCCCCACTCCCACCACCAAGAGACAGGTACGTGAATTCCTGGGGGCCGTAGGATACTGTCGCCTATGGATGTCGGGGTTCGCGGAGATTGCGAAGCCCCTGTACACTGCTACAGGAGGGAATAGCCCGCTAGTTTAGATGGACACAGAAGAACAGGCTTTTCAAAATCTGAAAAAGGCATTAACTGAAGCCCCTGCTCCAGCCCTCCCAAATATCCCAGAGCCGTTTCACCTGTTTGTCCACGAAAGCCAGGGAGTTGCTAAGGGGGTGCTTACTCAGACTTTAGGACCCTGGAGATGCCCAGTGGCCTATTTGTCTAAGAGGCTGGATCCTGTGGCCTCTGGATGGCCAACTTGTCTGCGAGTCATAGTGGCAACAGCAAGCCTAGTCTAAGAGGCTGATAAGTTAACTCTAGGTCAAAATTTAACCTTTACCGCTCCTCATGCCGTAGAGACTTTATTACGAAGTGCTTCTGGCAAATGGATGTCAAATGCTCGCATCCTGCAGTATCAGAGTTTACTGTTAGATCAGCCTCGTTTGACTTTCTCTCCCAGAAGGTGTTTAAATCCAGCTACTTTACTCCCTGATCCAGACTTCACTACACCTGTCCATGACTGCCAGGAACTGTTAGAAACTACAGAAACTGGCCCACCTGATCTCCAAGATGTGCCCCTAAAGAAGGTGGACGCCGCCATGTTTACAGGCGGTAGCAGCTTTCTCAAAACAGGGAGTACGAAAGGCTGGTGCAGCCATTACTACAAAGACAGATGTGCTATGGGCCCAGGCTTTACCGGCAAATACCTCGGCACAAAAAGCTGAATTGATCGCCCTCACTCAGGCTCTCCGATGGGGTAAGGATAAACTTATTAACATTTACACTGACAGCAGGTATGCTTTAACTACTGTACATGTACATGGAGCCATCTATCAGGAGCGTGGGCACCTCAGCAGGAAAGACTATCAAAAACAAAGAAGAAATTCTAGCCCTGCTTGAAGCCGTATGGCTCCCTCAGCAGGTGGCTGTAATCCACTGCAAAGGACATCCAGGAGAAAACACGGCCATTGCCCGTGGTAACCAGAAAGCTGACTCAGCGGCCCGGGATGCAGCCAGACTTCCAGTCATGCCTCTAAACTTATTACCCACAGTCTCCTTTCCACAGCCAGATCTGCCCTACAATCCCGCGTACTCAACGGAAGAAAAAAAACTAGCTTCAGATCTCAGGGCCAATAAAAATCAGGAAGGTTGGTGGATTCTTCCTGACTCCAGAATCTTCATACCCCGAGCTCTCTCGGGGAAACTTTAATCAGTCGCCTGCATTCTACCACCCATTTAGGAGGAGCAAAACTGGCCCGGCTCCTCTAGAGCCATTTTAAGATTCCCTATCTTCAAAGCTTAGCAGATCAAGCAGCTCTCCGGTGTACAACTTGTGCCCAGGTAAACGCCAAGCAAGGTGCTAAACCCAGCCCAGGCCACCGTCTTTGAGGAAACTTGCCAGGAGAAAGGTGGGAAGTTGACTTTACAGAAATAAAACCACACCGGGCTAGGTACAAATACCTTCTAGTACTAGTAGACACCTTCTCCGTATGGACTGAGGCATTTGCCACCAAGAATGAGACTGCCACCATGGTAGTTAGGTTTTTACTCAATGAAATCATCCCTCGACATGGGCTGCCTGCTGCCATAGGGTCTGATAACGGACTGGCCTTCACCTCGTCCATAGCTCAGTCAGTCAGTAAGGCATTACACATTCAATGGAAGCTCCCTTGTGCCTATCGACCCCAGAGCTCTGGGCAGGTAGAACGCATGAACCGCACCCTAAAAAGCACTCTTACAAAGTTAATCTTAGAGACCGGTGAGAACTGAGTAAGGCTCCTTCCTTTAGCCTTTCTTAGAGTAAGGTGCACTCCTTACTGGGCTAGGTTTTCACATTTTGAAATCATGTATAGGAAGGCTCCACCTATCTTGCCTAAGCTAAGGGATACCAATTTGGCAGAAATATCACAAGCTAATTTATTACAGTAGCTAAAGTCTCTCCAACAGGTACAAGATATCATCCAGCCACTTTTCCGAGGAGCCCATCCCAATCCGGTTCCTGACCAGATGGGGCCCTGCCACTCATTCCAGCCAGGTGACCTGGTGTTTGTTAAAAAGTTCCAGAGAGAAGGACTCACTCCTGCTTACATAGGACCTCATACTGTCATCCTCACCATGCCAACAGCTCTGAAGGTGGATGGCATTCCTGCTTGGATTCATCACTCCCGCATCAAAAAGGCCAACAAAGCCCAGCAAGAAACATAGGTCCCCAAGCCTGGGTCAGGCCCCTTAAAACTGTGCCTAAGTCGGGTGAAGCCATTAGATTAATTCTTTTTATTTACTTCTCTTTTTGGTTTTTGCCTGTCATGTCCTCTGCACCTTCCTATTCCCTTCTTCTCACCTATTTCATGACAAGACGTATATTCGCAAACAGTACTTGGAGGGCAGGAACCTCCAAGGAAGTCTCCTTTGCAGTTGATTTATGTGCACTGTTCCCAGAACCAGCCCGTACCTACAAAGAGTAACACAATCTGACAGTCAAGGGGGCAGGAAGCGTTGACCTTTTGGCAGGATTTGGACACTCCGGGAGCCAGACTGGATGTGGGAGCTCCAAAGGTGCGGAAAAAGGACTTCAGAATGTTGACTTTTACCTCTGTCCTGGAAATCACCCTGACTCTAGCTGTTGAGATATTTACCAGTTTTTCTGCCCTGATTGGACACGTGTAACTTTAGACACTTAACTCTGGGAGATCAACCGGATCTTCAACTCTTTCCATAAGTCGTGCTTCCCATCCTAGATTGTGTACTAGAAAAAATTGTAATCCTCTTACTATAACTGTCCATGACCCTAATTCAGCTCAATGGTATTATGGCATGTCATAAGGATTAAGGCTTTATATCCCAGGATTTGATGTTAAGACTATGTTCGCCATCCAGAAGAAAATCCTGGTCTCATGGAGCCCACCCAAGCCAATCAGGCCTTTAACTGATCTAGGCGACCCTATGTTCCAAAAACACCCTGACAAGGTCGATTTAACTGTTCCGCCACCATTCCTAGTTCCTAAACCCCAGCTGCAGCAACAATATCTTCAACACAGCCTGATGTCCATACTAGGCAGGGTACATCACCTTCTTAACCTCACCCAGCCTAAACTAGCCCAAGATTGTTGGCTATGTCTAAAAGCAAAACCCCCTTATTATGTAGGCTTAGGAGTAGAGGCCACACTTAAAAGTGGCCCTTTATCTTGTCGTGCACGACCCTGTGCCCTCACACTAAGGGATGTGTCTGGAAACGCTTCTTGTCTAATTAGTACCGGGTATAACTTATCTGCTTCTCCCTTTCAGACTACTTGTAATCAGTCCCTGCTTACTTCCATAAGCACCTCAGTCTCTTACCAAGTGCCTAACAATACCTGGTTGGCCTGCACTTCAAGTCTCACTCACTGCATTAATGGAACTGAACCAGGACCTCTCCTGTGCATGTAAGTTCATGTACTTCCCTGGGTATACGTGTACAGTGGACCAGAAGGACAACTTCTCATTTCTCCCCCTGAGTTAGATCCCAGGTTTCGCTAGCTGCCCTGCTCCTAGTTCCCTTCTTGGCCAGCCTTAGCATAGCCAGATCAGCAGCCCTAGTTCAAGGAGAAACTGGAATAATGGCCCTATCTCAACAGGTAGATGCTAATTTAAGTAACCTCCAGTCTGTCGTAGATTTGTTACATTCCCAGGTAGAGTCTCTAGCTGAAGTAGTTCTTCAAAACCGCTGAGGCTTAGATCTACTATTCCTCTCTCAAGGAGGTTTATGAGCAGCTCTAGGAGAAAGTTGTTGCTTCTATGCCAATCAGTCTGGAGTCATAAAAGATACTCTCCAAAAGGTTCGAGAAAATCTAGATAGACGCCAACAAGAAAGAGAAAATAACATCCCCTGGTATCAAAGCATGTTTAACTGGAATCCATGGCTAACTACTCTAGTCACTAGGTTAGTTGGACCCCTCCTCATCCTACTATTAAGCTTAATTTTCAGGCCGTGTATATTAAATTAGTTTCTTAACTTTGTAAAACAACGCATAGCTTCTGTCAAATTTATGTATCTTAGAACTCAATATGACCCCCTTATTATAACTGAGGAATCAACGATTTGATTCCCCAAAAACACAAGTGGGGAATGTAATACCTAACGTTGTTTTTAGACTCTCCGTTAATCACCTAGCCTTATTTCCACATGAATAGGCTGTCCCTTAGCTGAGAAAGCTGGACGAACTCCATTTGGCTCCTTCATTTACAAAACATCAAGGACTCCTTACCCACCCCCTTCCTCAAGCAGTTAACTTGTGTAAGCTGACTCTCAACATATCAGAGTCCAATTAACTGATAAGGTACTGAAGCAAACAATGCACGAAGTTCCCAGGATTTCACTCAAGAGATAACACCATAAAGCCTTGAGTTTGTGTCTGGCAGAACCCCCATACCTAATGCCTTATGATAGATTTAGAGCCCCTGCACCTGGAACTGTTTGTTTACCTGTAACCATTTGTCTTTTTAATTTTTTTGCATGCTTTTACTTCTGTAGAATTGCTGCAACTAAGCTCCCCCTCCCCTTTCTAAACCAAAGTATAAAGGAAAATCAAGCCCCTTCCTCGGGGCCGAGAGAATATCGAGCGTTAGTCCTCTCTTGGTCGCCGGCTAATAAAGGACTCTTAAATTCGTCTCAAAGTGTGGCATTTCTCTAACTCGCTCGGGTACAACAACTTCGCCTTTCCGCAGCCGCTGTCCAGCTCTGCAGAGTCCTTTTGAGAGAAGAGCTGGACAAGAGGAGTAAAGGAGCTCTTTGCAAATGCCAGGAGGAGTTTCTTCAGGGGGAAAGTTGGCTTTCCATAGGCTTCTAAGAGAAGTATGTGGAGCAAACAAACGGGAATTTTCTTTCTCATCTTTTGCATTTCAGACAAAAGCTAATAAAATTAGCTGTTTCCACCGTCATGCTTAGTCTCAAAGCTGCCGGTAGATTCCGCTTCTAACTTTCCACACAGGCGCGCAGGAAATCGGGAAATCACTGCAGCTCCCTCAGAAGCTCCAATATCAGCATTTCCTGAACTGAAAATAAAAATGCGACATTACGTGCATACCCAAAGAGCTCAACTGGTCTGTCCAGCAACGTAAAGAGAGGTGAGGCGCTCTTGAAGCCGTGCCAGCCTGGGCGAAACGAACCAGGTCCCCTTCCTGGTCGAGCCTACCCCCCTAGGGACAAAAAGGAACCTCTCTTCCCTCCTATCCAGAGGAAGGGACGGAGAGATGTGGCGATTAGACTCACTCTACCATCCAGTCTATCCAAGTACTAATAATCTTGAGGATGCTTTTCCTTGCCCTCTACCTCTCTCCCTTTTGTCCTTTGCTTCCTCCACTTCACGGCACCCCGCCTCTTCCGTCTCCCCGCAAGCTGGCGCTCGGCTCCTCCCGTTTACTTTTTGTTTGTTTGTTTTTGTTTTTTGTTTGTTTTTGTTTTTGTTTTTTGTTTTTGTTTTTTTGAGACGGAGTCTCGCTCTGTCGCCCAGGCTGCAGTGCAGTGGCGCGATCTCGGTTCACTGCAACCTCCACCTCCTGGGATCAAGCGATTCTCCTGCCTCAGTCTCCCGATTAGCTGAGATTACAGGAGCCCCCCACCACGCCCGGCTAATTTTTGTATTTTTAGTAGGGACGGGGTTTCACCATTTTCACCAGGATAGTCTCCAACTTCTGATCTCAAGTGATCCGTCCGCCTCGGCCTCCCGAAGTTCTGAGATTATAGGCATGAGCCACTGCGCCCAGCTTTCAGAATGAACTTTTCACAATAGTGCAGCGCACTCCTAGACCCGTTTACGCACATTTTAAACACTGTGTTGTGATTCATATGTAGATCTTTCCACATCACTTTCTATTTTTTTTTTCTTCTTTTCCTTCTCTGTATGCTCAGCTTTAAACATTTTTGCACCATAGGCTGAGGCTGCACTCAGCTGGGGAGAGACGCGTGGCGGGGATAAAACTAGAGTAGAGGAATGTTGTTTCCTGTCTGAGAAGGCTCAGACCTTACAAGGGGAGAAAAAAGTCTGTAAGAGAATCTAAAACTTTTTTTGAGGAAATAATTGAAAAATATATCCTAATTGACCCTCCCACCGTATTTTGGCTAAAAATAGAAAGCCTCGACTCTCAGGAGATTGAGTTTGAAAACTGTTAAGACATAGAAAAGGTTTTATTAAAATTCAGTTTGCAAATCATCGTCGGCCTCAGCAATTTTCTCATTCCAGAGAGGGTTGTTTCCGAAATTCTGTAAACATCTGAATTTGTTCCTATGTCTAACCAGAGAAGTTCAATGTTTTTACACTTTTGACTTAACGTAAGAATTTATATTGAGATATATACACTTCTGGGATTGGCGTGCAAGTGTTGTATAAGGGAGTGATAATTAGGCAGAACTAAAAAAACCAAACAAACCTGGTGAAACCCGGGATCGAACCAGGGACCTTTAGATCTTCAGTCTAACGCTCTCCCAACTGAGCAATTTTGGCTACTCTAAGCACGTGCCGTTAGCAATTTCTTCAAAATATAAAAATCTTCATTTGTAAAGTGGGCGTATTTCCTAATGCCTAATTCTTTTTTGTTCAATATCAACACAAAAATTAGCCAGGGGTGGTGGCGCGCGCCTGTAATCCCAGCTACTCCGCGCCGCTGTACTCCAGCCTGGGCGACAGAGCGAGACTCCCTCTCCCTCGGTTGAAGTGGGAGGATCCACTGAGCCGGGGAGGCGGAAGTTGCCGCGAGCCGAGATTGCACCACTGCACTCCAGCCCACGCAACAGAGCGGGACCCTGTCTCGAAAACAACAACAAAAAAGAGTTGTTATGCACCAGTGTGGAGACCACAGTTTTAAAAACTCTAAGGAAGAGATAGAATGTACTGGAGGACATAAGAGATCCTTCTTTTCTTTCTTTTCCTGTCACTTATTTTATTTATTTAATTTATTTTTTTTAGACAATCTCCCTCTATCGCCCAGTCTGGAGTGCAGTGGCGTGATCTCGGCTTACTGCAACCGCCACCTCCCGGGTTCAAGCAATTCTCCTGCCTCAGCCTCCCTAGTAGCTGGGATTACAGGCGCGCACCACCACCCCTGGCTAATTTTTGTATTGATATTGAACAAAACAGAATTAGGCATTAGAAAATACACTCACTCTACAAATGACGTTTTTATATTTTGAAGAAATGACTAAGGGTGTGTGCTTAGAGTAGCTGAAATAGCTCAGTTGGGAGAGCGTTAGACTGAAGATCTTAAAGTTCCCTGGTTCAACCCTGGGTTTCAGCCAGCATCTTTTGAGTTCTGCCTAATTATCACTCCCTTATACAGCACTTATACGCCAATCCCAGAAGCTTACATATCTCCAATTTTTGGGAGTTTTTGAAAGTCTGATAAAGGTAATGTACATGTTTGTATCACTCTCTCCTTTGTATATTCCACTGAAGTCTTCCATGAAGTGCTCTCATTACATAAATTATTTAAAGTTTTTGGACGGAGTCTCACTCCGTCGCCCAGGCTGGAGTGCAACGGCGCGATCTCGGCTCACTGCAACCTCCGCCTCCTGAGTTCAAGCTGTTCTCATATCTCAGCCTCCCAAGTAAGCTGAGATTACAGGCCCCCGCAACCATGCCCGCTAATTTTTGTATTTTTAGTAGAGACAGGGTTTCGCCATGTTGATCAGGTTGGTCTCGACCTCCTGACCTCAGGTGATCCACCTGCCTCGGCCTCTCAAAGTGCTGGGATTTCAGGCGTGAGCCACTAAGCCCGTCCTTATTTAAAGTCTTAAACTTAGGAAGTTATTAGTTTTAAAACCTAAGAAATTCCAACGTGCTATATGCTGTGGCATTTACAAGTCATTTTTGATTTGATATTATTTATATGTATTGGGCGAGGGTTATTTTTAAATCACAAGAAATATGAAAAAAAGAAACATACAGTGAAGTAACTATTATACTGTATGAGCATATATATGGGGGTGTGGTGTATGCAAGAAACATTTTGAAATTAGAAAAACCCGGGTTTGTATCTTGAGTCAACTCCATTATTAAAGTGCTGTAAGAACTTTTTTTTCTTTCTTTCTCTTTCTTTCTTTCTTTCTCTTTCTTTCTTTCTTTCTTTCTTTCTTTCTTTCTTTCTTTCTTTCTTCTTTCTTTCTTTCTTTCTTTCTTCTTTCTTTTCTTTCTTTTAAGCAGGGTCTCACTCTGTCATCCAGGCTGGAGTACAGTTATACAATCAGAGCTCACTACAGCCTCAACCTCTCTAGGCTGAAGTGACTCCACATGTCAGCACCCTGAGTAGATGGGACTACAGGCGAGCACCACCATGCCTGGCTAAATTTTTTTTTTTTTTTTTTTTTTGTATTTTTTTGTAGACTGTGGGTTTCACCGTGTTGCCCAGGCTGGTCTTTAAATCCTAGGTTTAAGCAATCCACCTGCCTAGGTAGGCCTCCCAGAGTGCTTGGATTACAGGCAGGAGCCATCGCACCAGGCCCAATTACAAGAACATTCTAAATTTTCTTGCTGAGAAGACATTTCTTTAGCCTGGCAACCTTGTCTAGAATTTCCAAATCTTAAGCTGTTTCCATGTTTGTATCCAGGAAAAAAGAAATATATGTATTTCTATATGAATTATTTTATCAAACATTCATGAGGGGCTCTAGAATACTGAAAATGAAAGCGAATGGGCAGCAAAGTCAAGACTCAGGTGCATGTGCCCCATTTTCCCTTTTTCACTTCAACTCCTCTCTTGAAATTCTCTGTTGGGATAATAGGTCTTTTTTTGGTCATTTTGATTTTTTTTCTTTCAAATTACTGCTTCAGTTTCAGTGTTGTTTTTCTCTAACTTCTGCATACCCTGTGAGGAGACAATAATCTACAATACTCCACTATCAGAACTGCAGCAAGTTGCAAAAGGAAAATTAGTACCAAATGAGAAGTAACCTTGGGTTAGGGACATTGACTGTACAGAAACTGGGAATCAGGTACTTTATCCTTTCACTGAGGCTTTCTCAACTCAGAAGCTTGTGTTTTACTCCATTAAGAAATATTTGACTAGACAAACAGTAACATTGAATGTTTTGTGCCTAACGCAGTAAAGATTCCTTTACATTCTGTTGAAATGGAAGGCCTAGGGCAATTCCAAGCATGATTTGTCTGCCATTCAATGGCTTAAAAATGATGTTAATAATGATTTTGTAAAATGGGATGTTGTAAAGATCAAAGGAGATCATGCATAGAAATGCATTCTGTCAAGTCCACTCACAGCATGAAACTTAATTACTGGCAGATCATGCTCCGTGTTCTCTGCTTCTGGGATTCTCCCAGAACAGCACCTAAATGGATAACATTGTCTTTAGACAATTCTGTCCAATCAAGAGATAATACAAGTTTTAAATGACAGCCATTTTGTAGTGTTACCTTTTGCAGTAGTTGCATTAAAAAAAGTCAATATTTATATTTTTATGTAATTTCAATTTTTATTTTAGATTTGGGGGTACACGTGCAGGTTTGTTACATGGGTATACTACATGATGCTGGGTAAATTGCATGAGGTTTTGAGTGCAATTGATCCCATCACCCAGGTAGTAGGCATAGTACCCAAGAGGTAGCTTTTCAAATCTTTCTGCCCTCCCTCCCACCCCTCCCCATAGTCCCCAGTGTTTGTTGTTGCTATCTTTTATGTCCAGTTTCAATAATATATTTAAATCACTTTGTATATCCAAAAACTTATTTTAAGAAGCTATCAATTATAAAATTATTAGTGAGATATTTTATATTTAAAAAATAGTATTACACATCTTTGAAATCTGGTGTGTGTATGTATATATATATTTACATATATATATATATATATATTTACATATATATATATATATATATATTTTTTTTTTTTTTTGCGAAGGATTCTCGCTCTGTCACCCAGGCTGGAGTGCAGTGGCCCGATGTCGGCTCACTGCAACCTCTGCCTCCCAGGTTCAAGCAATTCTCCTGCCTCAGCCTCCCAAGTAGCTGGGATTTCAGGTGTGTGTCACCAAGCCAGGCTAATTTTTGTATTTTTAGTAGAGATGGGGTTTCACCATGTTGGTCAGGCTGGTCTCGAACTCCTGACCTTGTGATCCACCCACCTCAGCCACCCAAAGTACTGGGATTACAGACGCAAGCTACTGTGCCTGGCCAAATCTGATATGTATTTTACACTTACAACACTCTTAACTTGGACTGGGCAATTTCAAGCATTCAATAGCCAGTGTGGCTAATGGTAACCATATTGGACAGTGCAGGTTTAAACAGATACTTTATATATTTTTAGGTTTTCTGAATTGAGTATGTATCACATGAGGGTGTTCTGTCTTCAGGATTAAATGTTTAATTCCTCAGAGGAATTCTGTGTTAAATAAGCTCATCCCACAGTTTTTACAAAAAAAACTGTGTTTCAGTCGTGTTGTTGTTAGTCAGAAGAGAGCTACAGATATTTAATTATTTAAAATTCTCTCCTTTTCAAGAGGCAAACAAAAAAGCAGACCTTCATATTATGATGAATTCCCAAGAATCCAGTAGACATCCAGGTTTCTCTGGGTGCAACATGACATAATGATGAAGGAGTGTTTCTGCAAATTGTCCTAATATTACTTCTGCAGCATCAAAGAGCTAAGATTATCTCCCTAGCATTTACATGCACACACAGACAGTCAAACACACACACAAACACTAGTTTTGTGTGTAACACTTCTCTTGTTTCTTATTCAGTGAAACCTAGCATTCAGTGCTTCCTATTTTTGTTCTAGAAATTCCATCAGCCAACCGAAAAGACAAGTCTGCCATATAACCTGCTGTTTTCTGCCAGTTCTACAAGGGATCAATGTTATTTCATGAGTGTTGGCAAAGGCTCATATATGAGTAAATCAGAATGAGAAAGAGTTAACAGTCACTAGAAATTTGGTGTCAGGAAATGGATTTTCTTCTCATCTTCTTATGTAGTTCAAAGAACACAGCCCTAATCATGATAAATAATGATAAATACCAGGGTTCAAGAACATAGAGGAGCAAACTTTAAAAAAAATTTTTTTTTACTTTATTATTATTATTATTATTATTTGAGAGAGAGTTTCACTCTTGTTGCCCAGGCTGGAGAGCAATGGCATGATCTCACTCACTGCAACCTCCACCTCCTAGGTTCAAGCAATTCTCCTGCCTCAGCCTCCCGAGAAGCTGGGATTACAGGAATGCACCACCACACCCAGCTAATTTTTGTATTTTTAGTAGAGACAGGGTTTCACCATGTTGGCCAGCCTGGTCTCGAACTTGCAACCTCAGGTGATCCACCCGCCTTGGCCTCCCAAAGTGCTGGGATTACAGGCGTGAGCCACCACACCCGGCTTTTTTTTCTTTTAAACAAATATCGTGAATAGGTTTGTAATTCCCAAATCTAAAAGGACCCTTTTTAGTCTTTATCCACCCTCTATGCAATATGTCTACTACTACTAATGCTCACAAACCCCAGGCTGGAGAGTCAATTGCCTGAGTTCTCCATGTAACATCCTCACAGTGTGCCCCACAGATACACCGAATTTAGCATGAGCCAAGCTAACTTATCTTCTCCATCTTCCAATCTTTCTCCCATTCCTTAAAGAGTTGTTAAAAACTCCCCTTTTCTACACCTCCTTCTGTTTGGCAATAGCCTGTTTGTTTTTCTAAACCACTTTCCCCCGTACCTCTTAAATCCTGTTTCTACTTATTTTTTATCTCACCCTCATAATTCAACTCTTCTCGTCATCCCTAGAGGTGTTGTTTCACTCACACCTTATAAATTTTTCTTTTCTTTTCTTTTTGATTTTGATACAGGGTCTCACTCCATCACCCAAGCTGGAGTGCAGTGGCGTGATCATAGCTCCCTGCAGCCTCCAGCTCCCAAGGTCAAGTGATCCTCCTGCTTCAGCCTCTGGAATAGCTGTGAGTACAGGCGCAGGACAACACACCAGCTAAAGACCCTTAAGATGAAATGCTGAGTGCATCGCTCTCAGGTTTTCTTCTGACTGTGATTTTCCTCAATCAAATCTAACCTTTAATATTCCGGCTGAGTAAACAACAAATATGAAGCATTTTAGGTAAGAAAAAGCTGAATTTCAATAACTTTGCGTCATCTCTGAAAGAAATCGAAAGAATGAAAAACCAGAATTTGATTCCTTGCCAAGCATAACAGAAGAAGGAGATCCTGACAACTCAACGTTTTAAAGCCACATTGGAAACTTCTTTTGGCGGTTATCTGACACTTTTCTAATACTTTGCTTTCCATTTCAAGTCCTGTACAGTATACTAAAGAATCTGTATCCCCTCATTAGTACCGAGTATCTTCTACTCAGAGCAGCTGAAGGCGCTCCATGATACTAACCACTACTACCAGCATGCTCACGGAGCCAGTCTCAGAAAATGAAAGTTACCTCCTGAAAATTATTACAAAACAGTCTTTCAGGAGGGGGGTGTAGCTCAGTGGTAGAGCACATGCTTTGCATGTGTGAGGCCCCGGGTTCGATCCCCGGCACCTCCAAATGGTGGTTTTGCTCTGGCAGTGCTTAAATGTAATTCTCAAGCAACATAGCCTTCTGCCTCCTCACCTTTTTCTATCCTATTTCTGCACGTATAGAGAGTAAAAACGTAACCCAATGGATTGCCTTCACTTATCTCCCATCTCTATAATGTAAGCCTCAACATCACCTAAGGCGATTGCGACGGCAGAAGGAAGAGGAGAAAGAAGAATGAGGTCGCAACAGGGTCTCTTGAAAGCAAACAAAAGCGTGCACATCAACAGGCGGCTCACTTTGGCTTCGGTTTTGTACTATGATTAAAGAGAAGGAAAGGCTGAGAAGAAGAAAGGCAGAAAAGCGCCCCCCCGCCCCCCGGGCATTTCGTTTTGGTCGTTGTTTTTGTTTTCTGAGCCAAATCCAGAGTCAAAGCATCTGTCCACTGATTTCTCTCCCTGTCGAACTGCGCAGAGAGCACAGCCACAAGTGCGATCCAAAGCTGAGAAAATGTGGCTCTCCAGCCGCTTGAGATGAGAGTGGCAGGACGCTGGACAACCGAACGAAGACTGTCGGGGAATTAGAGGTCTTCAACACGGAAGGAGCGAAATCAATAAGGATCAACACATTCCCTACTGATAGTCCATACGATTGATTCATTTTCCTGTATTGCATCAGTCACTCCATTCTCCTCGTTAAAATAAAACACTGAGGTCCGGGCGCGGTGGCTCACGTCTGTAATCCCAGCACTTTGGAAGGCCGAGGCGGGGCGATCACCTGAGGTCGGGAGTTCGAGACCAGCCTGACTAACATGGAGAAACTCCGTCTCTATTAAAAATACAAAATTAGCCGGGCGTGGTGACGCACGCCTGTAATCCCAGCTACTCAAAAGGCTGAGTCAGGAGAATCGTTTGAACCCGGGAGGCGGAGGTTGCAGTTTGCTGAGATCCCACCATTGCACTCCAACCTGGGCAGCAAGAGAGAACCTCCGTCTCAAAATAAAATAAAATATAACATAACATAAAACATTGCCTGGAAACCTCTGTTAACAGCAAACAGAGGCCCCATATGAAAAAGTAGAGAAAGCTTTTCTGCCACAATGGAAAATAGATGCAAAGTAAAGGTGAGTAAATTGCAGGTGTGTTGGCACTTCTAATTAAAAAAAAAAAATTCTTTTTTCTTTGTCAATCCTATCACATCTGCTTTGTATGACGAGGGAACTCCAGGAAATCCTATCTACTGATGACACCTTTTAGGGGTTTCCAATGCTGCATGTTTCAAAACTGCTGTCCTCTGTGTATATGTTTGCCGTTGAATCAAAAGTGTCTTTGAGAGGCAACAGAGTACGATGTTTGTCATCAGTCCACCAGTCTAACACTCTGTCAGGGTAGGCTGTCCTTACTTCTCGATTCTTTTGTTCAGTGAAAATATCCATAACCAGCCTACAGGAGAGATATTGTCTAGTGAAACCTGCTTAGCTGAAGACTGGTTGTGTGCCCCAGGGACAAACCATATGTTCGTTATAAGATACATTTTTTTTTTTTGTTTGAAGGAAGGTAATGCAGACATTTTCTTTTCGTTTCATACTTGTTTTCCCTTCTATCCACTGGTTCTCTCCAGGCACTTTAAGCAAATAGTGGCATGTTAGTCACAGTGGACACTGCACAGGAGAATAAGGGGTGAGGGATCAGGGTGCTACAAGAGGAATGCCAAATTCCAGGCCCAACCTCAGATCTATTGAGTCAGAATTGCTGAGGGTGGCGTCCAGCCGCCTGTGTTTGAATAAGCCCTCAAGTGACTCTGATGTTAAAGTTGTTTTGTTTTGTTTTTTGAGACGGAGTCTCGCCCTCTCGCCCAGGCTGGAATGCAGTGGTGCAACCTCGGCTCACTGCAATCTCTGCCTCCCGGGTTCAAGCGATTCTTCTGCCCCAACCTCCCAAGTAGCTGGGATTACAGGCGCGCGCCGCTATGCCCAGCTAATTTTTGTATTTTTAGTCGAGACGGGGTTTCACTATGTTGGTCAGGCTTGTCTCGAACTCTTGACCCCGTGATCCGCCCGCCTCGGCCTCCCAAAGTGCTGGGATTACTGGCGTGAGCCACCCGCCCAGCCGCTGATGCTAAAGTTTGAGAAGCACTGTTCTAGAGGTTTAAGAAGGTGGTCCAGGGCCAGGCGCCTGCTGAGGAGGAAGAGTTGTTCCCGGGGTTCCCTGCCTATTCTCAATCAAAAACTCAAACCACCTAGGAAAGCCAGTGAGGTTTGTATTTGCCTTACATCAGGGGTGGGGATGCATTTATTATCTCTTTGACACCGTCAACATTTTAGATGATTTTGGTGGTCACACACAAGAGACTGATTTTCCTGTAGAAGAACTCACCAGAGTTCTTGTCAGCCAGGAGACTCTTTTGAGCCAATTTTCTTTATTTCTTTCCTTTCTTATCATTCTACCCTCCCTTCTCTTTCTTTCTCTTTTTCCTTTCTTTCTTTTCTTTCTTTCTTTCTTTCTTTCTTTCTTTCTTTCTTTCTTTCTTTCTTTCTTTCTTTTTCTTTCTTTCTTTCTCTCTTTCTCCTTTTCTTTCCTTTTCTCTCATTTCTTTCTTTTCTTTTCTTTTCTTTTTTTTTTGAGACAGGGTCTCACTCTATCACCCAGGCTGGAGCGCAGTGGCGTGATCTTGGCTCACTGCAGCCTCTGCCTCCTGGGTTCAGGTGATTCTCCTGACTCAGCCTCCCAAGTAGCTGGGATTTCAGGCGCGCGTCACCATGCCCAGCTAATTTTTAGTAGAGGTGGGGTTTCACCATGTTGACCAGGCTGGTCTTGAATTCCTGACCTCAGGTGATCTGCCCTCCTTGGCCTCCCAAAGTGCTGGGATTACAGGCATGAGCCACTGCACCTGGCCACCAATTCTGTCATTTCTTTGTCACATAAAAAGTAAAAACATGACCCAATTCATTGCCTTTACTGCTCTCTTATTTCTATTTCTATTTGGTCAGCCTCTGTACCAGCCAAAGCAACTGACATAGCAGGAGAGGAAAGGAGGAAAAAAGAACCAGCTTTTACAAGATCTCTGGATCATGTTTCACTGTCAACTGTAAAATTATTTGTCTAGCCCTAGATTGGAAATATTATCTTCCATATATTTTCCTCAAAGTTTTATAGTTTTACATTTTATATTCATATCTGCGATCCATTTTAAGTTCACTTTTGTGAAGGCATGAGACTTATTTTTCTTCCATGGAATTACTACTTAGGCAACTTTGTCAAAAACCAGTTGAGAATATTTGTGTAGGTTTATTTTTCCATTCTCTCTATTAACCGCGTGCCTATCTCCTTGCCAATACTATACAGTCTTAATTACTGTAGTAATAATACAATAATACAAGAATACAACAATGTAATGAAATAGTCTTGAAATCAGGTAGACTGTTTTTCCCTCCTAGATTTTAAATAATTATTCTAATTCCTTTGACTTTGTGGGAGAAACCTGGTGGGAGGTAGTTGGATCATGGGGGTGGCTTCCCCCATGCTGTTCTGGTGATAGTGAGTGAGTTCTCATGAGATCTGATGGTTTCATAAGTGTTTGGCAAGTTCCTCTTTTGCTCATACTTCTTTCTTCTGCTGTCATGTAAAGAAGGTCCTTGCTTCCCATTTCCCTTCCGCCATGATTGTAAGTTTCCCGAAGCCTCCTCAGCTATGTGACTCAATTAAACCTATTTCCTTTATCAATTACCCAGACACAGTGGCTCACGCCGGGAATCCCAGCACTTTGGGAGGCAGAGGCGGGCGGATCATGAGTTCAGGAGTTCCAGACCAGCCTGACCAATACGGTGAAACCCTGTCTCTACTAAAAATACAAAAATTAGCCGGGCATGGTGGCCTGCGCCTGTAGTCCCAGCCACTCGGGAGACTGAGGCAGAAGAATTGCTTGAACCCAGGAGGCGGAGGTTGAAATGAGCCGAGAGGAGGCCACTGCCCTCCAGCCTGGGCGACAGAGCAAGACTCCATCTTAAAAAAAAAAAAAAATTACCCAGTCTCAGGTAGTGTCTTCATAGCAGTGTGAAAACGGACTAATACACATTCTGTCTTTTACCGTGATGTACAGTGTTAGCTGTTCTCTATTCCTATTTTTCTGAGACTTTTTGTCATGAGTAGCTATTGAAGTTTGACAAATTCTTTTTCTACTGTGATATGATCACGTGATTTTATTTTTTAGCCTGTTAATATGGTGGATTGCAGTGATTGTTTCTAAATTTACCTAGTCTTACGTCTCTGGAATAAACCCCACTTGATCATGGTGTATAATGCTTCTTATATATTCCTGAATTCTATTTGATAATATTTTGGTAAGTATTTATGCACCAATACTCATTATTTTGTACTGTATTTACCTGGTTTTAGCATCAGGATACTATTAACTTCATAAATAAATGGAAAGTTTTTTGTCCTCTTCTGTTTTTTTCAGAATAGATTGTGTAGACCTTGTTTTAATTCTTTAACCATTTTTTTTTTTTTTTGAGACGGAGTCGCGCTCTGTCGCCCAGGTTGGAGTGTCACTGCAAGCTCCGCCTCCCGGGTTCACGCCATTCTCCAGCGAGTAGTTGGGACTACAGGCTCCCTGCCACCACGCCCAGCTAATTTTTTGTTTTTTCAGTAGAGACGGGGTTTCACCGTGTTAGCCAGGAGGGTCTCGGTCTTCTGACCTCATGATTCGCCCACCTCGGCCTCCCAAAGTGCTGGGATTACAGGCATGAGCCACCGCCCCTGGCCTCCTTAAGAACTTCTTAGAATTCTTCAGTGAAATTTTCTTGGATTCGAAGATTCCTGATTTTTTTTTTTTAAACGAAGTCTTGCTCTTGGCCTCCAGGCTGGAGTGCAATGGTGCGATCTTGGCTCACTGCAACCTCTGCCTCCCAGGTTCAAACGATTCTCCTGCCTCAGCCTCCCAAGTAGCTGGGATTACAGGTGCCTGCCACCACATCCGGCTAATTTTTGTATCTTTAGTAGAGACGGGGTTTCAGCATGTTAGCCAGGCTGGTCTCGAACTTCTGACCTCAGGTGATCAGCCCGCCTTGGCCTCCCAAAGTGCTGGGATTACAGCCATGAGCCACCACGCCCGGCCAGATTCTTGATTTTTTTTTTAAATTATGTTACAAATTTAATTCCCTTAATAGTTACAGGGTTATAAAAAATGTATTGCATATTGAGTTAGTTGTGTTAATTTGTGTTTTTCAAGGAATTAGTCTATCTCATCTAAATTGTCAAGTTTGTGTGTAAAGAGTTATTCATAGTAAGGCAGAAATTTAAAAATAAATATGCATTCATTCACTCCAAGAAAAGTAACAGGAAAGGGTTAAAAAGAAAAGAAACAAGTTTTCGTTTGCCTAGCAGCTCACTTCAAGGACAGTTACAAGATAACACTTTCCGAAAAGCCAAGGCCAAAGGAACGGCTTCCAGACACGCCCTTCCCCCACCCCACCCAAGAACAAGGTTGAAGGGAAAAAAAGGAAAGGCAAATTCCTATACTGTTACTCCTTTCCCTGGCTTCTTAAGCATAACTGTTTTTACAAATGTCTGTATTTAGTCAGTTCTTGTTTTTCTTTTGACGCAGCTGCAAGGCCACAAATTAAGCACTGTATGATTAACTGCCTTTGTTTTGCTTATAAAAACTCCTGCTCTGTCTTTGTTCAACGCTCAGCATTTTTTGTTTGTTTGTTTTGTTTTGAGACAGAGTCTTGCTCTGTCGGCCAGGCTGGAGTGCAGTGGCACGATATTGGCTCAATGTCACCTCCGCCTCCTGGGCTCAAGCAATTCTGCCTCAGCCTCCCGAGTAGCTGGGATTACAAGCATGTGCAACCACGCCTGGCTAATTTTTGTATTTTTAGTAGAGACGGGGTTTCACCACGTTGGCCAGGCTGGTCTCGAACTCCTGACCTCAGGTAATCTGCCAGCCTTGGCCTCTCAAAGTGCTGGGATTATGGGCGTGAGCCACCAGGCCCGGCCAGTGCTCAACTTTTTGGATGTGAATCCACTCAGTGGCTGCTTACCTTAAAATAAATATCCTCCTGTTCTCCTGTATCAGTCTTTCCGTTCCTCAGTTTACCACCACAATAGTATTCCCTTATCCTAATATTATTTTTATATATTAGGATATATCATACTACATATGTTATATAAAATATTATATTGATAATATGTTATGTTAATATTATATAATAAATAACATAATTATAAAATATATTTATTTATATGATTATTTAACAAGTTATATATTATTATTTACTTATATTATTAGGATATAATATATCCTTATATATTATTAGTATATACTATGTATATTATATATATATATATTCTGAATAATCTTGAGGATGCTTTTCCTCCTTCATTTTTTAACTCTAGCCTGCCTCTTCCCTTTCCCCACCTGCTGGTTCTCGGCTCCTCTCCACCTTCTTTCTCATTTATTTCTAAATGAAGTTTTCACAAAAGCGCAGGGCACTCCTAGTCTCGTTTATGCACATTTTAAGCACTATGTTGAGATTCCTATGCAGCTGCTATTTTAATTTCCACATCACTTTCCTTTTTTTTTTTCCTTCTCTACATGCTTGACTTTAAACATTTCTGCAGCATAGGCTGAGGCTGGGCCCAGCTGGGGAGAGATGCGAGGCCAGATAAACCTAGAGTAGAGAAATGTTGTTTCCTGAGTGGGAACGCTCCGACCTTACAAGGGGGAGAAAAAGTCTGCGACGGAGTTTCGCTCTTGTTGCCCAGGCTGGAGTGAAATGGTGCTATCTCGGCCCATTGCACCCTCCACCTCCCGGTTCAAGCGATTCTCCTACCTCAGTCTCCCGAGTAGCTGGGATTACAGGCACCCGCCACCATGCATGGCTAGTTATTTTTTAAATGCTGGGATTACAGGTGTGAGCCACCGAGCCCGGCTAAATTTTTTAAAGGAAATCATCCAAAAACATATCCTTTTGATGTCAGCAGAGTCTACAGTGATATCCTCTTTTTATTCCTGATATTGGTAATTTGTGTCATCTCTCTTCCTAAAATTTCTGTCTTACTAGAGGTCTTCTTTTATTGATCTAAAGGAACTAGCTTTTTGTTTGTTTTCCTTTTTTTGTTTGTGTTCCGTTTCACTGAATTTTGTTCTTATTTTTATTGTTATCTTTTGTCTATTTGCTTTGGGTTTATTTTGCTTTTTTCCCCACCTGGGTTCTTCAAATAAAAGTTTAGATGACTGACTTGAGACTTTTTTCTTTTTCTAATGTATGCAGTTAGTGGTATACATTTCTCTCTCAGTGTTTTTTTAGGTTGTCTTGAAAATTTTGGTATATTGTGCTTTCATTTTTATTCAGGTTAATTTATTTTTTGATATCTACTAAGTCTTTCTCTTTGTCCTGTGTACTATTTAGTAGTGTGTTGTTCATTTTCCAAGTGTTTGGATGTTCTTCTGTTGTCTTTCTGTGATTGACTTTTAGTTTGATTTCATTGTGGTCAGGGATCATACTGTGTGAGTTAATTCTTTTAAATTTGAGGTTTGTTTTATGGCCCAGAATATGTTCCATCTTGACCTGTGTTCTGTGTGTTCTGCTTTTCTTGTGTGGAGTCTTCTTTAAATGTTGACTGAATTCTGTTAGCTGAAGATGATTTTGAGTTCTTCAACATCCTTGCTGATTTTCTGTTTAGTTGTTCTATCGATTATTATGAGAGAAGTGTTGAAGTCTCTAATGTAATTGTGGATTTGTCTATTTTTTAAAAATTCTTTTTTTCTTTACATATTTTCAACTCTGTTTGGTTTATACATATTTAGGATTGTTATGCCTTCTTGGTGGATTTTTAAAATTTTTCTTTGTTCTAAAGCTTATATTAGGCCAGATGTGGTAGCTCACGCCTGTAATCCCAGCACCGTGGGATGCTGAGGTGGGTAGATCACCTGAGGTCAGGAGTTTGAGACCAGCCTGGCCAACATAGTGAAACCCCATCTCTACTAAAAATACAAAAATTAGCCAGTCATGGTGGTACGTGCCTGTAATTCCAGCTGCTTGGGAGGCTGAGGCAAGAGAATCACTGGAACCCTGGAGGCAGAGGTTGCAGTGAGCAGAGATCGCGCCATTGCACTCCAGTCTGAGTGACAAGAGTGAAACTCCATCTCAAAGAAAAAAGATAAATAAATAAAGTTCATATTATATTAATATACTCACTTTTGCTTTCTTTTAATTAACATTTGAATGTTATATATTTTTATATGCTTAATTTCAACCTGTATGTATAATTATATTTGAAATAAGTTTCTTGTAGACAGCATGTAGTTGGATTATATTTTCTAATCTACTCTGTTAATCTCTGTCTTTTAATTGGTACCTTTCGACCATTTACATTTAATGTAATTATTGATATGTTAGGGCTGAAATCTAGCAGTTTGTTTTCTATTTGTACCCTGTTACTGCCATTTTCTGGGGATATGTATGTATGTATGTATTTATTTATTAAAGCCTTCTTTGTGGACTACTAGTATACTTTTTTAGAATTTCATTGTCATTTATCTGTAGCGTTTTTGTGTGTGTGTGGTTTTGTTTTTTTGATTTTTTTTTTCTCCTGCCTCAGCCTCCCAAGTAGCTGGGATTACAGGCATGCGCCACCATGCCCAGCTAATTTTTGTAGTTTTAGTAGAGACAGGGTTTCACCATGTTGGCCAGGCTGGTCTCGAATTCCTGACCACAGGTGATCCCCCTCAGCCTCCCAAAGTGCTGGCATTACAGGTGTGAGCCACTGTGCCCAGCCTATCTGTAGTGTTTTTAAATGATCTCTTTATATAACTCTTTTAGTGATTTGTCTGAGTATTACATATTTATTTAATTTATCACTGTGTACTGGTATCATTATTTTATCAGTTAAAGTGATGTGTGTCATCTTTACCTTTTTGTCACTTTGCCTCTCCTACTTGTAATATAATTGTCTTAAATTATTTCTTCTACATACATTTCGAACCACATCGAACCATGTTATACTTTTTTCTTTCTTTCTTTTTTTTTTTTTTTTTTTTTGAGACATTGTCTCACTCTGTTGCCCAGGCCTGAGTGTAGTGGCGTGATCTTGGCTCGCTGCAACCTCCGTTTCCCTGGTTCAAGTGATTCTCCCTCCTCAGCCTCTCGAGTAGCTGGGACTACAGGTGTGTGCCACCATGCCCAGCTAATTTTTTGTATTTTTAGTAGAGACGGGGTTTCACCATGTTAGTCAGGCTGGTCTTGATCTCCTCATCTCATGATCTGCCCACCTTGGCCTCCCAAAGTGGTAGGATTACATGCCTGAGCCACCGTGCCCGGTCATGTTACACTTTTTGCTTCAACTGTTAAACATAATTTAGAAAGCTCAAGAGGAAAAGGAAAATGTATTGTTTTTACCTTTTTTTTTTTTTTTTTTGCTTACCATGTTCTTTCTTCTTTCCTGGTGTCAATTATTTCTTCTTTTATCATTTCTTTCCATCTGGAGAAATTTAACTATTTTTTAAAGGATAATTCTGCTAGAAGCTAATTATCTTAGTTTTCTTTGCTCTGAAAATGTCTTGATTTCTTCTTCAGTTCTAAAGGATATTTTCTGTGGATATAGAATTCAGAATTAACAATTCTTTTCTTTCGGTCCTTGAAAACTGTTGTGCCACTCTTTCTGACTTCTGTGATTTCTGATAAGATACCCACTGTTATGCAAATTGGTTTTCTCTGTAGGTAAGGTGTTTTGTCTCTTTTCTTGCTTTCAATATCTCTTTCTCTGTTTTTAGAGTTTAGAAATTTTGATTGATTTTGTTTTCAGTTAACCGTTGAAGGAGATTCTCTAAAAAATATGTAAAAATGCAAATCTCCAGGTCAACAGTCTCTAAAATAGTTTAGATTTCTGTATTCTGGTGTTTGGAAAACAACTTCACTAAGGCAATCCCTTAGGGCTGGTAATTTCATGATGTAAATCATTCCACATTTGTAAAGCATAAAGTAGCAAAGTTTTAGTCACTGTACAAACAAGTATCTGAACTTCTTCCTGTGCTTAATTGGTATAAACTATCTTGGGCGGCAGTTCCCCACCTTTTTGGCACCAGAGACCGTTTCATGAAAGACAGTTTTTTCCATGGATGAGGGAGCAGGGGTTGGGGGGGATGATTTTGGGATGATTCAAGCACATTAGATTTATTGTGCACTTTTTTAATATTGTTATTATATTGTAATATATAATGAAATAAGTATCCAACTCACCATAATGTAGAATCACTGGAAGCCTTGAGTTTGTTTTCCTGCAACTAGACAGTCCCATCTGGCACTGATGGAAAACAGTGACGGATTATCAAGCATTAGATTCTCATAAGGAGCCCACAATCTAGATCCCTTTCATACGCAGTTCACAATAGGGTTTGGACTTCTGTGAGAATCTGACGCCCCCGCTTATCTGGGAGGAAGAGTAGCTCAGGCGGTCGCAGGAGCGTTGGGGAGTTGCTGTATAAGGACAGATGAAACTTCTCTGGCTCGCCTGCCGCGCTGCCTGATACGCGGTTACGTTTACTGGAGGTTGGGGACTCCGGAGCTAGAGTAAAACAGACAAATATTTCGCCTGAACAGGGACTTGAACCCTGCACCGTCAGATTAAAAGTCTGATGTTCTACCAACTGAGCTATCCAGGCCCTGGGTAGACGCAACCCACGGAGTATGTAATCTAGATTTCTCCATTTGTTCAGTTCATTTTGTTTCATGTTGCAATTTGTAAATCATATTACTTGAATTATCCTCTTTTCGAAGACCCTGCTTAAGAGAGACATTATAATCCCTAGGAATATTTTCCTTTTCTCTTTTTAAACATTTCCTTTCTGTAGATTTTCGTAACCTGAGATGGAGCGTCTTCTACACAAAGCACTGCGGAGTTGCTAGATACAGAGGGTTTCATTCTCGCCAATTACCTGCAACCTAAACTTCTCGAGGCAACTGTGGAGCTACTTTTGTTCGTATCCCTCAGTATTGTCTTGCATCTCTTTCTTGAAGCCTTTGTAGGCAGAGGGTAAGAGAGACGAAGGAGGAAGAATTTGAAGATGCAAGAGAACATTCCATAATGGACCCCTTTCTGTTGGTGGATGAAACTGCCAGCCAGGCATCACTTTGGCAAGTGGACCTCAGACCGGCGGTCTGGCTGGCCAGAGAGGAAAACCGCGTGTAACAGTGTCTTTTGGTTTAGTATTTAGTGCCGCTTTTGCTGGTCACAGTCTAAAGGTTTTAGAAATAGTGATGTTAAACACAGCAAGCATTTTTCTGCCAGATATTCGTTCTCCAAACACAGACAGACAAAGGCAGTAATTAATAATGGATCTTTTCTTTGTTTTTTTCTTGTTTTATTTTTGAAGATATTTTTTCTTCGTCTATGGATCTTTTTTTAATTTTTAATTTTTACTGCTGCATAGTATATATATGTATATATATGATACATGGAATATTTTGATGCAGGCATACAATGTGTAATAATCATATTGGGATAAACGAAGCATCCATCACCTCATCCATCGCCTCAACACCTTATCATTTCTTTGTTACAGACATTCCAGTTATAATCTTTAAGTTATTTTTAAATGTACAATACATTTTTGTTGACTATAATCACCCTGTTGTGCTATCAAATGATAGATCTTATTCATGCTAACTATATTTTTGTATCCATTAACCATCTCACTGCCCCCTCCAATACCCTTCCCAGCATCTGGTAACCATCATTCTACTCTCTGTCTCCATGAGTTCAATTGTTTTATTTTTGGCTTCCACAAATGAGAGAGAATATGTGAAGTTTTACTTTCTGTGTATAGCTTAACTTAATGTCCTCTAGTTTGTGGAGGAAAAGTTACGTATTAAATTTGAACTCAATTGAACGTGGACACAAACAATGGTCACCAAATCCTGAACAGGTTGTATGAACCCCTTGAGGTGTTCATCCAGTGCTGTTTTGGAGAAATCTCTATTTCAATCTATTCCTATACGTTAGTTATTGAAAAACAACAGACAATCGCAAAAACAAGTTGACCTTTTCTTGTTCCTTGAGCTCAGTCGCGAAGGGCTCTCGTGAGCTTCATGAGACCTCTCCTTCTCTGTGCATGGACGAGTGGCCGACTCTGGAGCCGGGGCTGTTGCTTCCCGGTGTGGTGATGAATCCTTCATAGTCTTGTGAGTGTACATATATATAAATATATATATTTATATATATATATATATATTTGGTGAGTGTGTGTGTATATATATATATATATATCTTTTCCCTTCTCCCCTTCCCATTGCAATTTGCTTATTGTATCATTTGTTTATTATATCTGCATTGCCGTTTACGTGGGATAAAGGTTATTTACCCTTAAAGGTATTGTGTGTGTGTCTTTTCTTCTCCCCTCTCGCATTTCCCGCACAGAACATAGTTCCATCCGCTTTGCAAATGACAAGACCTCATTCTTTTCATGGCCGAATAGTACCCCGTTGTGTATACGTACCACATTTACTTTATTCATTTATCTGTTGATGGGTACTTAGGATGCTTCCCAATCTTGGCTATTGTGAATAGTGCTGCAATAAAGATGACAGTGTAGATATCTTTTCGATATACTAATTTCCTTTCTTTTGGGTATAGGCCTAATAGGGGGATTGCTGGAATATATGGTAATATTTTTAGTTTTCTGAGGAACCTCCATACTATTCTCCAAAGCGGTTGTACTAATTTAAATTCCCACCAAGAGTGTACTAGGGTTCTCCTTTCTCCACGTCCTTGCCTGTCTTTTGGATGAAAGTCATTTTAACTTGGGTGAGATAACATTTCATTTTAGTTTTGATTTGCATTTATTTGATGATCAATGGTGTTGAGCACCTTTTCATATATTTGCCATTTGTATGTCTTCTTTTAAAAGACATATAGACAAAAGAATGGTAAATAGATATGTGAGTAGAAAATCTTTACTTGGCTGAGTTTTCTTTATCCTTTCCTTTCACAGTAGCCCCCATCCCCAACACACACACACACACACACACACACACACACACACACACACACGTCAGGTCAATAACCAGACCATAAGTGCTGCAAATCTTAGTTCTTTCTGTGTGTGTGAGTGAACGTTTGTTGTACACTGGATCACTCCTCACAGGAAATGCTGAGTTTTCCAAATTCTAAAGTTAAGAACATTATTAGGGTCATGCATTATGGGTTTTTGTAAAATGGCTAAAGTAGCTACATTGGGAGATTCTTTGTCTAAAGGTGCAATACATCCCCCAATTTGATTCAGGGCTTGGAAAGTTGTCTGGTTTCATCTAAACAAATAAATAAATTCTATTTTTTTCAAATCTCAATTATAGAAACCTTTATCTACAGACACCCTCCTCCATTCATTTCTTCAGTGAAATTATCTAGACAGATTGTTATAGAGAGATTAAGAATGTCATACTTTCAAATCTCTCTTGGATTCCTCCCAAAATACTTTTGTTAGAAATATTTAAACATTTTAAAGGAATCTTGCCTGGAACCCATCAGATAAAAATCAAAAGGCATCAGAGAAAACACTGAAAGGCTTTGGAAAGGAAATGGTATCACTGGTATAAACAAACATTTCATACAATTTAATAGTTTCTTAGCATTATTCTTTCAAATCTCAGTGCCAATCCTTTTTAGCATCTTCCTGAAGAAAGAAATTTCAGGCTACTTTGGACACACTTTCTATAGGGTACCCCTGCTCTGCAAACAGCAGGAATAAATAAATAAATAAATAAATATAACAATAAATAAATAGATTTCGATGGTTTGGCTCAGTCTACCAACCTTACTAACTGTGCCAACTTTACTATCTGCTGCCTACGTCTGCCAGTTAACTTTTCCTCCTCCAGACTGAACAAAAAATGCCCTTTTATTTAAATTTGTTAGATTTTGAGATTTTGGATTGCTATTCTTTGGGCACAAAATCCACTAGTGAGAAGGTGAGGAAGCAAAACTGAGAACAATTTCAAAACATGTGAATAAGTTTGAGTCTGTTGAAACATAAGTCATGGTAGTGCATCTTGCCCAAAATGGAGATGGATTCTTCAGCACTGACTAGAGCAAGTAGCCTCCCCAAACTGGATCACACCAGAAACCCTTATTCAATCTAATGCTCCTCATAGGACGCTTTCTGAGAAAGAAAGGGACTTAACTAAATCAGTTTCATAGGGAACAGCAGAAGACCTTTCTTTTGTCTACCCAGACTCATCTAGTCCGGCCCCAGAACTAGCGTTCCGTGGTCTCAAACATGGGTCATTACTTAATAAATTAGTGTACATAGGATACACCATCCAAAATATGGCCTAAAACAATTCTTGAGTTTTGACTGGAGAAACCTGGAGAAAATGGTGTACAAGGGATCCAGGAAAAGTTTAGGGCTGAGAGATGCATCTCTCTGGGGAAAGGAGATAGGACTGGGCACTGGAAAAATGAAATAGTTTCTTCCCAGTAACTCGTCATTTCCATGAAGCCAAGACGATGCGAAAACTGAGGGAATCTGTGATTGGTTTACTTTACAAACTTGGTTGTTGTTTTTTTTTTTAATCTTTCCTACCCTATCAACATAGGGGACATAGCTGGGGAAAGGGTAACAAAAAATCGCCCCAGACTGTTTTCTGGATCAATCCAAAGGTGAGCTTAGAGCAATCAACCTTTAGGCAAAATACTTGGGGCTTTTCTGACAAGGGGGAGCTTTTTTTTTTTTTTTAATTTCAACTTTTATTTTAGATTCAGGGAGTACAGTGCAGGTTTGGGACAAGGGTGTATTGCGTGTTGCTGATGTCTGGAGTACGATTGAACCCGTCACCCATGTGGTGAGCATAATACCCAACAGGCAGTTTTTCTATCCTTTTCCCCCTTCCAACCTCCCACCTCTTACGGTCTCCAGTGTCTTCTGTTCCAGGGGAGCTCTTGTTTGAGCTTACAGGCTTTTCTTCCTGGAGGAAGCACCATCGTATCTTTGAGACGGAAAAGGTTAAAATAGATCAAACAATGATGCTCCCTCTTACGCTGTCATGTCCACTCCTTCATTGCAGACTTGAGTTCTTGGCTCATATTTCTGTACCCGAACGTGCATTATCATTATTAGTAACTTAGAGAAGAGAGCCTTCAAAGAAGGCAAAGATGTCACTTCTGATCATCTCGCAGTTTATAATTCTAAGGAATTGCTATTAGGAATTTTAGATGGAGTTTTATTCCTTCTGCCCACCTCCTCCCCCGCCTCTCCCCGCCCCCCTTCAAGTTGTTAAATCTCTAATTACGAAGTTAAAGGTTTGAAAACAGAAACTCAACGTTTCCTCACTACACTTCAGTCTTGATGTGTGCAAATTAGCACCCGCGTGCGGCCGCGTGGCCTAATGGATAAGGCGTCTGATTCCGGATCAGAAGATTGAGGGTTAGAGTCCCTTCGTGGTCGTGTTCTTACTATTGTCAGGAAATATCTTTACTTTCTGCACATCTCCTTGAGCTTTCTGCAAGCCAGTTAAAAAAAAAAAAAAACCGGCTTGTTCCCAAGACTTTGGGAACTTGAAATGAAAGAAGACTATTGACAAAAAAAACAAGAACCCGGTAAGCAACCTGTGTATTGACTATTAAAGTGCACTTTGTCCCTGGCATAGGTACTACCGGAGGCATTCGTAATTTGGAATGGGCTTGGTTTTTCAATTTATGGTCTTGTCCTACTTGTTTCATGAATTTAACAAACACAACACAAAATCACCCTTTTCTTTTTTTTTTTTTTTTTTTTTTTTTTTTTTGAGACGGAGTCTCGCTCTGTCACCCAGGCAGGAGTGCAGTGGCACGATCTCGGCTCACTGAAAACTCCGCCTCTCCGGGTCAAGCGATTCTCCTGCCTCAGCCTCCCGAGTAGCTGGGATTACAGGCGCCCGCCATCACACCCGGCTAATTTTTGTGTTTTTTTAGTAGAGACGAGGTTTCATCATGTTGGCCAGGTTGGTCTCAAACTCCTGACCTCAGGTGATCCGCCCGCCTCGGCCTCCCAAAGTGCTGGGATTACAGGCGTGAACCACCGTGCCCGGCATTTTATTTATTTATTTATTTATTTTTGAGTCTCACTTTGTCGCCCTGGCTGGAGTGCAGTGGCACAATCTCTGCTCATTGCAATCTCCACCTCCAGGGTTCAAGCTATTCTCCTGCCTCAGCCTCCCGAGTAGCTAGGATTACAGGTGCCCGCCACCATGCCTGGCTGATTTTTGTATTGTTGGTAGAGAAGGGGTTTCACCATGTTGGCCAGGCTGGTCTCGAACTCCTGACCTCAGGTGATCTGCCCGCCTTGACGTCCCAAAGTGCTGGGATTACAGGCGTGAGTCATCGCGCGCGGCAGAAAAGTACCATCTTAATAGTAAGGACTATCATAATAGTAGGGGTATTGGGTGCAGGGTATATGGGAACTCTAATATCTTCTAAATTTTTCTGTAAAGCTAAGACTGTTCGACAATTATACTCTATAAAATAAAAATGATTTGTTTTTTTAAAGATAGACAGCCATGTGTTTAAAAAAACTTAGAGCAAAGATCTTGCCCTAGAAAGCAAATGCAACTCTAACGGGGTTCTTGTACTGGTTAACATCCGCATTAAAGATGATGGTGACTTACAGGGCCTATGCCATTCTCTCTGATTTCTACGATTTCCTTATTACTCTCAACACAAGCTTAAATAAAACAGTAAACAGAAAAGTAAAATCTTTCCAGACCTTGGTTAACAAAAGCAGAAACAAGGAGGAGAACGAGGAGGAGAAGGTGAAGGAGAAAGAAAAGAACAAAAAGAGGAAGAAGAGGAAGAAGTCACAATCAAGGAGAGTATATCACCAAGAAAAGAAAGTTTCTATCAAAAACTTTCTTTGGGCTCTCAAAACTCGAGAGTCAAACATTGTTAATAAATTTCCACAAAAATCTGAAGGTCACAAATCCAAATCCTAATAGGAAAAGCTTTCATCAAAATGTACTGATAAAGGCTCAATTACAACAACCTGGAACTCATGTGGTTGGGACACTCGCTCGAGCTCATAGTTTTGAAGGATGGCCAGAATTTAGAAACAAAGTGGTCAAAGAATGCACTATTATCACACTAAGAGTTTGGCAACCCTATCAGCAAAATGAGCCAGGGCCCTCTAAGAAACTCACAGGACCCACATATTGCTGAGGAAAAGAGGTATTTACTCACAACTGAAAAAACAAAACTGAATGTATGTCTTGCTTGAGCAGGGGTGAACTACAAGCAGATTGCAGTCTCTTAGTAAACAAACAAAACAAGAAACAAAACAAAAGGCAGGATATGCAGAGGAGTTTAATTAATTGTCAAGTGAAATTAAATTCACATAAATCAGCCTTTTGGGTGGTTCAAAGTAGAGACGGCTGTGAATTGTTCCTAGATTGACATACAAACAAATACTTATTTATTTATTTATTTATTTAATTTTTTGAGACGGAGTGTCGCTCTATCGCTCAGGCTGGAGTGCGGTGGTGTGAACTGCGATCTCGGCTCACTGCAAACTCCGCCTCCCGGATTCAAGCGATTCTCCTGCCTCAGCCTCCTGAGTAGCTGGGACTACAGGCGCATGCCACCAAGCCCGGCTAATTTTTTTGTAATTTTAGTAGAGACGGGGTTTCACCATGTTAGCTAGGATGTTCTTGATCTCCTGCGTGATCCGCCCGCCTCGGCTTCCCAAAGTGCTGGGATTACAGGCGTGAGCCACCGCGCCTGGCCTTACAAATCTCTTTTACTTAGGAACTACTGAGTTAAGATAAATGTGGGTGCTAAATTCCAATTTGGCCCGGGCATGGTGGCTCATGCCTGTAATCCCAGCATTTTGGGAGGCCGAGATGGGCGGATCATCTCAGGTCAGGAGGTCAAGACCAGCCTGGCCAACATGGCGAAATCCATCTCTACTAAAAACACAAGAATTAGCTGGGTTTGGTGGCGTGCGCCTGTAATCCCAGCTGCTAGGGAGGCTGAGACACGAGAATCACTTGAACCCGGGAGGTGGAGGTTGCAGTGAACTGAGATCACGCCACTGGCACCCCAGCCTGGGTGGCAGAGTGAGACACCATCTCAAAAAATAATAATAATAAAAATGAAATAAATAAATTCTGATTTGTTGTGTGAATTCATGGTTAATTATGCAAAAGTGGAATATTCTATTCTTAATTGACTCAAATTAAAATTTCATTTAAATGTCAAGTTTTAAGATACCAAGATTGAGTGCTGATAGTATTGTTATTACTTGAGCACAAACTCCTGGACTCAGTTCTCTTGTCTTGGTCTCCGAAAATGCTAGGATTACAGGCGTGAGCCACTCTGGCTGTCCCCTCAGTAATTTTTTTTAAGTAAAGTTTATTTTATTTATTTTTTGAGTTGAGGTCTCGCCCTGTCACCCAGGCTGGAGTGCAGTGGCACTGCAAGCATGGCTCACTGCTACCTCAAACTCCTAGGCCCAGGCAATCCTCCTGCCTTGGCCTCTGGTGTAGCTGGGACCACAGGTGTGCACCACCATACCTGGCTAATTTTTCTATTTTTTTGTAGAGACAGGCTCTCACTATGTTAGCCAGGCTGGTCTCCAACTCCTGAACTCAATTGATCCTCCTGCTTTGGTCTCCCAAAGTGCTGGGATTTGAGGTGTAAGCCACTGCTCCTGACCAATAATTTTTTATATTAATAAATTTATGGCTGGGTGCTGTGGCTCACGCCTGTAATCCCAGCACTTTGGGAGACCGAGGCGGGCGGATCACCTGGGGTCAGGAGTTCGAGACCAGCCCGAATAATATGGTGAAACCCTGTCTCTACTAAAAATACAAAAATTAAACGGGTGTGGTGGCGGGCGCCTGTACTCCCAGCTACTCGGGAGGCTGAGGCAGGACAATCGCTTGATCCCGGTAGGCGGAAGTTGCAGAGAGCCGCGATCGCGCCACTGCAGTCCAGCCTGGGCGACAGAGCGAGAGTCCGTCTCAAAAAATAAATAAATATAATAATAATAATAAAATTTATGTCTACCAAAATAATTTATCTACATTATGAGCAAAATATGTCCATGTTTTGACTTGACACTTTTTGCACTCTCAACACTGCAATCCTCCTCATATCTTAAGTCAGCGTTTTGTTCATCCACTTGACAGTAGGGCAGAAAAGAGCCTTGAATGAATACCTCTCTGCAAATCCGACTTTCCCCGTTCAAATCTTGTCTCTTCCGCTGAGACTAGAGAGAATATAAGTAGCAAAACGCACCGCAAATACCCTCCCGGTTGCTCCAGGAGAAAGCTGGGTTCAGTAGCCTGTTGAGTATGAATCAAAAAGAAGTATGGGAAAATGAAAAGTATCTACATCAGAACAGGATCGTGATTCCTAAATTTCCGGACTAGTGGCCTGATGCATTTCCAGCTGAGCTAGCCAGAAGTACGATGGTTTTAGTGGGTATCTACTCTAACCCAAAACGTTCAGTCACTACTTAACCTTTCTTCCTCATTCTTTCTCTTG
The DNA here is from genome assembly GCF_000001405.40 of Homo sapiens. Classification (NCBI taxonomy): domain Eukaryota; kingdom Metazoa; phylum Chordata; class Mammalia; order Primates; family Hominidae; genus Homo; species Homo sapiens. The sequence goes on along the minus strand of NT_167249.2, from coordinate 48,219 downwards.
TATTTTAAACCCAAACACGCGAAAATAAACAAACAAACAAAAAGAAACACAAACTAAACAGTTGCTGCCTGCATCAAAGCTGCAGGCTGCTTCCACATGAGAACTGACACAACGTTACTTTCCTCAAACCTCCAATACCAGGGGCTACTGCTCCACGAATACTCAACCACACGCCCTCGAAAATGCTCAGCCTGTTTCCTGCGATGGAGAGTGCAGTGCAGTGAGGCACTCTCAGAGTCACAAAATCTTGGGCAACACGAGCCGTACCCTTCTGTGGGATATACACTTTGAAACCACTCACCTAGAGCCTTCTCTCTTCCCCAGGGCCTAGAGAAAGCTTGGCAGAGACGCGGCGCTTGGCTGCTTTCTTCCTCCACGCTTGTCTCAATACTATCCGTCTTTAAAGACGCGTCCCCGATTTTTCTTCTGCCTTCTTCTCCGCTGCTTCTTCTCTCCTCCACTCAGTGTTATCCCTCCCGGCTCCAAGAGCCCTTCCTTCCTTTTCAAAGCCTTCCCTTGCGTCCACTCCTCAGCTCATTTCAGTTCCCAGCCACTTGCCTTTCTAGTATAGTAAGAACATAACCTGTACATTAGGGACAAACTTCTCCCTACTCTCCCTTACGCCCCTGCTGGGTTTACAATGTTCTCCAAAATTCGTATCTGGATTAAACAGTCGCACCACATTTTGGCTACAGATGGGAAGGGTCTACTTTCTGCACTTCAGGGACTGATGAAATTTTCTCACTTGTGGGGGTGTAGGGAGGGTTTTACAAAGGGTGAATTGGTTTTCTCAGGTTGAGACCAGCTTCCTTTGTGCTTTCCTCCTTGCTCAAAAAAATTTGCTCTGAAAGAGTCCTCTGTCTTCGGCTTCGTTTGTGTTGTCTTTAAAACCAGAGCTAGTCAGGCTTGGCGGCAAACACCAGTAATCCGAGCACTTTTGGAGGCGGAGGCGGGAGTATTGCTTAAGCCCAGGAATTCAAGACCAGCCTGGGCAACACAGGGAGAAGACCGACCCTCCCCCTTCCCCCATCCCGTCTCTATAAAAAATCAAAAACAAAAAAACCTATAGCTGTAGAGTCGCCGATGAAGCCGCTGCCACATTTCCAAATCCAGATGTTGGACGCAACCTTGTGCAAAACTGCTACCTTTGTCACTCTTTGTTTTTGTCAATGTTGTGAATTAACCTCTTGTCTTTGCTTGTTTGGTTGTTTTTCAGGAGTTATTAACAACTTTATTGAAGTACAGTTGATATATGCAAAACCCCTACACGTTGAAGGTAAGCATATGAGTGAGGACATATGCATACATTTATAATGCTATTTCCACAATCGGTAATAAACACACTTATCAACTCCAAAAGTTTCTTTGTGTTCTTTCATGTTCATGGGTGGTAAGAAGACTTAAACATCAGAGTTATCTTTTTTTTTTTTTTTTTTATTTTGAGACTGAGTCTCGCCTGTCGCCCAGGCTAGAGTGCAGTGGTGCGATCTCGGCTCACTGCAACCTCCGACTTCCGGGTTCACGCCATTCTCCTGCCTCAGCCTCTCGAGTAGCTGGGACTACAGGCGCCCGCCACCGCGCCCGGCTAATTTTTTAAAACATTTTTAGTAGAGACGGGGTTTCACCGCGTTAGCCAGGATGGTCTCGATCTCCTGACCTCGTGATCCGCCCGCCTCGGCCTCCCAAAGTGCTGAGATTACAGGCGTGAGCCACCGCTCCCGGCCGAGTTATCTTTTTAACAAAATTTTAAGTGTACATTATGGTATTGTTAACTGAAGGCACTAGGTTGTGCAATAGATCTCTAGAACTTATTCATGTTTCATAACTAAAATTTTAACTCACCGAGCAACAACTCCCCATTTCCCTCTGCCTCTGTTCCCTGACAATCACCATTCTGTTCTCTGCATTTATGAGTTTGACTATTTTAGATACCTCATATAAGTGGAATTATGAAATATTTGTCCTTCTGTGACTGGCTTATTTCACTTAGCATAATGTCCTCCAGGTTAATCATTGATGCTGGTGCAAATGGCAGAATTTCTTTTTTATAAAAGGCTGAATAATATTCCATTGTATGTATATACCACATTTTCTTTGTCCACTCATCTCTCAATGGACACTTGGATTGTTCCCTTATCTTGGTTATTGTAAATAATGCTGCAGTGAACATGGGAGTGCATATGTTTCTTTGAAATTCTAATTTCGATTTTTTGGGGACATATACCCAGAAGTGGGATTGCTGGATCATATGGTAGTTCTATTTTTATCTTTTGAGGCGACCCCTTACTATTTTCCATAGTGGTGTCATCATTTTACACACCAACAGTGTAGAAGGGTTCCAATTTCTCTACATCTTTGCTAACACTTACCTTTTGAGTTTTTTCTTTTTAATAACAGACATCCTAATAGGTGTGAGGTGGTATCTATTGTGATTTTGATTTGCATTTCCTTGATGATTAGTGATGTTAAGAGCACCTCTTCACATACCTAGTGGCTATTTGTATGTCTTCTTTGGAGACATGTCTATTCAAGTCCTATGCTCGTTTTAAAAATCAGGTTATTTGGGATTCTAAGGGGTGTGTGTGTGTATGTGTGTGTGTGTGTGTGTGTGGCTATTGACTTGTAGCGGTTTAAAAAATTTATTTTGTATATTAACCCCTTATCAGATAAATGATTTGCAAATATTTTCTCCCATTCCATAGCTTGCCTTTTTCCTTTGTTGATTGTTTTCTTTCCTGTGAAGAAGCTTTTTAGTTTGCTATAGTCTCGCTTATCCATTTTTGCTTTTGTTGCCTGTGCTTTTGGTGTCATACTCAAGAAACCATTGCCTAAACCAATGTCAAGAATATTCCCCCCTGTTTTCTTCAAGGAATTTTACAGTTTAGGGGCTTAAGTTTAAGATTTAAATTCGTTTTTAGTTGACTTTTGTGCATTAACATCTTGTCTTGTCTCCTCACCTGGATCTACGTTTCCTCTGCAGCACTCACAGAACTCGTCTTTATATTCTCTGGCACTATCGCGCGCGCGTGTGTGTGTGTGTGTGTGTGTTGGCAGCTCCATAGAGGAGGTTTTTTTAAAAAGGAGAGAATCTGAAGACATACCAGAAGATTCAATCTTGGAACTTCGCTCCAGGTGGACGGAAACTGACAAAGAAAGTTGGCTAACAGCAGTCCTTGAAATAGATGACGGCTGTGAGAGGATCCAAGGGTCTTTCGGTCCAGAATGCCTTTCTCCTCTTGACACAGCGTCAAGACAAGATTCCATTCAGAAGTTTCAGAAACAGGAGTTAAAACATAGCGGACTTTAACCTATCATGCCTTAAGCCCTCACCTTTAGATAATAGCATATAATAAATCAGTAAGAAAACGGCATTGTGAGTGGGGGTGTAGCTCAGTGGTAGAGCGTATGCTTAGCATTCATGAGGCTCTGGGTTCGATCCCCAGCACTTCCACAAGTACATTTCCTTATATCTATCGTTGAACATTTCGTTTCAGTCTTTGAATACTTAGTTCCAGTCTTTTCTTTTTTCTTTGTGCATACACTAGCTTGTGTTTTTCCTACTCACAGCGAAGGTAAGCCATTTGGTACTCATTCATTTGTACTATGGGTCCTAACACTCCTTCAGCCTCCCAACCTGACTGCTTCAGCACAGCTTTATAGTTATTTACTGAAATAGAGAAGCTGCTTATTCAAGATCCCCTGAGAGTGAAGCAACAGGCATGCCGGTCATAGAAGACTCGTTCTCCTAGACCATCCTGGCTAACATGGTGAAACCCCATCTCTACTAAAAATACAAAAAAAAAAAAAAAAAATTAGCCGGGCGTGGTGGCGGGCACCTGTAGTCCCAGCTACTCCAGAGGCTGAGACAGGAGAATTGCATAAACCCGGGAGGCTGAGCTTGCAGTGAGCCGAGATCGCGCCACTGCACTCCAGCCTGGGCGACTGAGCAAGACTCCATCACAAAAAAAAAAAAAAAAAAAAAAAAGACTCGTTCTCCTTTGCTGCCGTTTCTCATTACTATTAAGAAATCGGGGGGGAATAAAAAACAGAAAGAGAAGAAAAAAAAATCGCCCTTGGAAAACATCCATTAGATTTCTCTCCTCCCCCCCCCACCCCCACTCCACCCATATCTGACAGACTACAGACCTTTCCTCATTCTCCCCTACATTTCCACCACTCATAGAATCTTGGTTGGGCGGCAAAAGTGGGTCCAATCATTAGTCATGGGAGCGCTGTGATCTCAGCTTTCTCTAAAGAAGGAATGTTTAGAATTTTTTCCGAACGAAAGACGCTTCTGGCGAAACTCCGAGACTTTCAAAATACACAGTTGAGAAAATTATTTTCAGAGATGGAAAAAGCCGCTGGTCGCTCTCAAAGCGGTGTCAGTTTTGGACAAAAAGGGTTATGTTTTCCTGTGGAACAGAAGCTTGTAGTTCACCTCCCTTGGGAGGGAAAGACCTGGTTTCCTACAGCCAAAGAGGAGCCGAGGGGCCGGGCTCGGTGGCTCATGCCTGTAATCCCAGCACATTGGGAGGCCGAGGTAGGCAGATCAGCTGAGTTCAGGAGCTCGAGATCATGGCGGAAACCCTGTCTCTACTACAAACAGGAAAATTAGCTGGGCGCGGTGGCGCTCGCCTGTAATCCCAGCTACTTGGGAGGCTGAGGCAAGAGAATCGCTTGAACCCGGGAGGCAGAGGTTGCAGTGATTCGAGATTGCGCCACTGCACTGCAGCCTGGGCGATAGAGCGATATTCCGTCTCAAAACAAAACATTATAGAGGAGCCTAGGAGACATTGGCAATGCGGACAATTTCAGGGCCATCCAAATCTTAGGCCTCCGTAAAGATCTGGCTTGAAGCTCTCTCCTTCGTCCCTTCCTCTTCTGCAACCACCTGCCTCCACCTATCTCCCGACTCGTTTTCTTCACCACCTCTTGTCACCTTCACTTCCACTTTCTCCCATTCCCGTTGATTCAGTTCCACGGCTTCCTCCTACCTAAATGTCCTCCAGCAGCTCAGCTCACTACAGTTTCTGCAGCTCCACTTTCTAGGTTGGCGTTCTCAAGCCTGAATGATAATCGTCTGAGGGAGACCTTTCAATTGTGAAGATTCCCATCTTTCTCCCTATCCGGTGATTATCGGTCCACTATGGAGCTGTAAGTTACAAACGGGTATACCATTGAAGTTCTCAGGGCGGTTCCTCAGGCTCAGGAAACACTGCATTCCAGTCTAAAACCTTTTGACTCTTTATTGGAGGTTGTTTCTGGTTGGCTATGTTATAAATGGCGCCTTGCCTCTAAACGCCCATCTCAGTGACTTTCCAGCCACAACTGAGCCTCACTCCGTTAATTCTAGCGGGGGTGGGGACAGGAGACAAAAGTTGGGAAGGAACCAAGAAGTTGATACATAATTTATTCACATATTCAGGAAGATACAGATTTTGCACAAATAGGAAAAATATTAGAGAGAAAGGTAAAAGTAAGAGAAGACACAATGGTTTAGGATTACCTCCTAAAATTTATGTGGACATAGTTGGACACCCCAAAATTTAACAACAGGAGGAAAGTGTCTGTTATTTGTGCCATTGTGATGGTTGAGGTTTCAGAATCTCTCCAGGAGCACGGGGTAAGAGTAAAGAGGTTGTAACAGAAGTTTAAGTCCCTTAAACTTAAATGCCTCCTATGTGTTTCTTTGTAGGTCTCAGGAACGGAACTGCAGCGTCCCTGAGACGAAGCCACTGCTGAGTTTCCTGATCATGATGATCCACTGAAGAGTTTGCTAGAGCAGTGACTGTGACAGCATACACTTAGGTTTTTTTTTCTTTTTTCTTTCTTTTCTTTTCTTTCTTACTCTTTCTTTGTTTCTTTCTTTCGTTCGTTCTTTCTTTCTCTCTCTCTCTCCTTTTTTTTTTTTTTTGAAACTGATGTTTATTTCCCGTCAATGTTATTTCCATGTTGTCTAAGAGCCTGTGCAAGAATAGCTTAAGACCATTCAGTGGTTGCTTCTACCCATTCAGTGGCCTGAGCAGTTTGAGCTGCAGATCAGTCTTCTGTGTCAGGCTGAGCGCTCCAGTCTTCAGTAGGTAACTGCTGGATAGGCACAGACGGCACCTGCAGGCCTTCAGACCTGTCTGCAACCTCAGGCTGGGTAGCAGTGAACTGAAGAGCTGGTGCAGTCCATTCACCCTGAAATTCCTCGTTGGTCACAGCCTTTTCAGCAGCAGCTTGCTTTTCTTTTTCAATCTCTTCGGGATCTCTGTAGAAGCAGGGATCAGTCATGACCTCCCACGGGTGTTCACGGGAAATGGTGCCACTTATGCGCCGAACTTCTGGGACCAACATCCACCACATCACACCCACTGAGTGAGCTCCTTTGTTGTTGCATGGAATGGCAATATCCACATAGCACAGAGGAGAATCTGTGTTACACAGAGCAATGGTAGGTAGGTTAACATAAGATGCCTCCATTAAAGGCTGGTGGTCAACCCTGGGGTCAGTAACCACAGGAAGCCGTGGCTCTCGGAAGGCTGCCTGGATCTGGCTAGTGAAGGTTCCAGGAGTGAAGCAGCCAGCAGTTGGAGTGGCTCCAGTGGCAGCAGCAAATTTCAGCACTGCCCTCTGGCCAGTATTCCTGGAGGATATAACACTGACATCAGCAAGGTTTTCAATGGCAGCAATGGCACGAGCTGCCAGCAGAAGCTTCTCTCAGGTCCTTTTCAGATTTATGATGTAGATGCCATCGCTTTTACTTTTATAAATGTACTGTTCCATTTGGAAGTAAAGATTGGTGCCACCTGAGTGGGTTCTTGCGGCAAGGAACTTAAGGACATCCTCCTCATTCATCTGCAGTACATCAAGGGCTCCGAACATTGTGAAAGTTTCCCTTCAAGTCACAACGGGAATCCAAAACAACGCCCTATGGACCCCTCTGTGGGTAGCGCGGAAAAGCACACATAGGTTTTCATTTGGGACCTGTTTTCTTCTTCCATCTGAATCTAGATTTCCCCAGACAACTTTCTGAGTTCTGCTCTTTTGTACCCTCCTCCTAGTATTTCTAATTGTGCAGACAGCCAGAAGCAGTGAAAATTCAGGGGCTCTGGTGCAACGGTGTAGGAAATCTGTGATAGGGTGGAGACTACCTGGAGAAAGAGAAACACACTGGAGTTCCAACCTGAAGCCAAGTGTGTTAACGTTGGCCAGGCTTGTTTGTGTGTGAAGCTTTGAGGTCGTGGGTCTTAGCTATTCCCTTTTCCTGGAAAGGGGTCTCCAAAATATGGATTCCCTCATGGATTACAATGGCCAGAGTTCTACTGCTTCATGGGGATGTTTTGTCTTTCATCGTTCTTGATAGCTGCCTGAGAGATGTGTTGAGGGCTCCACACCAAATACTGTAGGGTTATAAACAGCAAGAGGTAAAAGATGCCCTGAGAATCCATGCTTGGCAAAATGGAAGGTGGTCCAAGCTGTTTTTCACTGATTTGGCAACTCTGCGGGCCAATCAGGAGTCAATGAAATGAGGGTCAAAGAGAAAGAAGGTCTATCATTTTTTCTTTGCCCAGAAATAATTCAGACAGCAGCATGACCATAATATACCTGATGGGGATAGCCCTGCCAGGGGACTCTGTGACTTAGCTGGTTAAAACCTCTGTCCTGGGTTTGGGTCTCAGAGATAACTGAGCTAGTGATTCATCCTTGCTCCCTCTCCTGCTCCTTAAGGAACTAGGAGGAGCACGCTCTTAGTTTTTTCAAACAAAGGAAATTTGACGCTATATTTGGAATTTCAACTTCACATTTAAAACATCCTTTTTTAATACAAAAGGTAGCATGCAAAAGCTTTGACAAAGAAAACTGGTATCGATTTTGATACATTCACCAATACACGATTTGTATGGAAAAGAAAGTGCAGAACAATGATATACCATAGTTTTTACTTACTCTTTAACAAGTGTTTCTTTCTAGAAATTCAAGCAACTTTATCTAGTCCTATTCCTCATCCACACACCTTTGGCCACACCTGCCTTTGGGGCCTTTGGTACAGTGATATGTGAAGTATTATTAATTCATTTAAAGATTCAAGAACAAACAACCCTGAAATTCATCGAGGAAATGTAGAAGGCAAATAATTTAAATACGCTATTTGGCAATGCTTCTGAGATTTTTACTGCAGCTAGATGTTTTGGTTTGAGGAATGGGGGGAGTTATTCGGTGTCTTCTATTACATATTTTGTGTACATTTCCTGTGAAAGTCGATTTAATATGCAATAAAAATAACTGCTGCCAAAACCCAAGACCTAACTTTTTTTTCTTTTCTTTTTTTTTTTTTTGAGACGGAGTCTCTCTCTGTCGCCGAGGCTGGAGAGGTGCGATCTCGGCTCACCGCAACCTCCGCCTCCCGGGTTCAAGCGATTCTCCCGCCTCAGCCTCCCGAGTAGCTGGGATTACAGGCGCCGGCCACCACGCCCGGCTAATAGTAGAGAAGAGGTTTACACCATGTTGGCCAGGCTGGTCTTGAACTCCTGACCTGAGGTGATCCACCCACCTAGGCCTCCCAAAGTGCTGGGATTACAGGCGTGAACCAGCGTGCCCAGCCAAGACCTAACTTTTAAAACCTGTTGGTAGATCGCTTGCTGTAGGCTGTAAGCTATTGCAGCGAACGAGAGCTGGCTGTTTTCAGTCACCCAAATGATGTTTTAAGCGTTCGCGAGGCAAAGCGCTGAGTGCCACCTTACATTTAGACAACCTTTACACACTAACTCACCCAGAAAAACTTGGGACCTAATGCCCAGCCCCTCTGCTGCTCACAATTCAATTATCAGCGGCAGAGGCGGCTGGTGGAGAAGCCCCGAGGAGAGAGGCGGAAGGCAACCAGTGGGAAGATTTTCTGCTCCTCATCCTTGGACGACCTAATGCCCCTAAAGCAGAGATGCACGGAAAATTTTCTCTGAGCTGCCTATTTTTTCTTATTTCCATTCTTTTTTAGTCTATCTCTTTAGCGATACCGCCAAACGGAACTCAAAGTGCATGGGTCCGTAATGAGATTGCAGGGTTCGTGCTTCCTGCCAAGGAGATCTTGATGGAAAATTTATCTATTTAGGTTTTTTTTTTTTTTTTTTTTTTTACGCTGGGCTACAAGTCGATATCTACATACAGTTAGAAATGATGCCATGACCCACACACAGCTTTGATGTAAGCCTAGAAAGTTTTAACCTTAATCAACATAATTTAAAAGATATTTGCGTCTGGAAAAAATATAAAGAAGAACTCCTTGTGGGGTAATTTGTGTCCCCCTTTCAATGTCTGCTTGTTTCACTCACGTTAGCAAGACATTCTTCTCAAGCTAAGTTTTATAAAAAGCCACAGATGAGTGCCAGAATAAATAGCATAGTATTAAAAGCAACACATTTGACACTGTCCTCTTTTTATAGGAGTAGGAGAAAAAGTGACAAACGCATGCAAAGAACCAGAAAGGAGAATGAAGAAAATGGACAACTGGAGGAGCCGGGGGTCGAACCCGGGGCCTCGTACATGCGAAGCACGCGCTCTACCACTGAGCTACACCCCCTGACCGCATGAGAGTTCTGTTGGCTTATATATAAAATATCACTTGTTTTCAGTTTGTTGGTTTCATTTTCTGTTGGTTGGAGAAAGATCGCTGGATTAAATTCCACTACTTTCGTGAAATCACTGAACTGGATACTGTTTGGCAGCTAACAGTATCCTAATATACTTATAACAGTATACTAAGACACTAAGATTATAGTCCAAATGACGCAGTTTCTTATCCTCGGACTTTCCAGTTCCTGTTAGCCTGCTTCAAGCTCCATTCACAAGCAAACTGCATGAAAGCTACTTTCCTCCACCAGCAAAAAGCACAAACTTCCAACATTGAGGACTGTTCAGTCATGGAGAAGGATCCCTGATTTTAGTCTAGACCTTTAGTCCAGAGCTCTTCCAATTGAGCTATGTTTGCCACACTTCTATTTTCTCCCGCAATACTAACTCAAATGAAGTGCTCCTCAGTCCAGAGGCAGCCGTCGGCGAGCTGAATTCACACTGTATTTGTCGGACAGTGTGACAACATCCATTTTCCAGCTGACTCTCAATCCTCGTTAATGCATCCTAATAGCTGCAGTCCCAGCTGCTCGGGAGGCTGAGGCAGGAGAATGGCATGAACCCGGGAGGCGGAGCTTGCAGTGAGCCGAGATCAAGCCACTGCACTCCAGCCTGGGCGACAGAGCGAGACTCCGTCTCACACACACACACACACACACAAACAAAACAAAACAAAACAAAACAAAACAAAACAAAACAAAGAAACCTAATAAATTTTTTCCCTTCTCACCATTCCTGATCAACTAATAATTTTTACAGCAAAAAAAAAACTTTTTTTACATTACACATCTAGTATCCTGATGTAATACAATTGTATTTGGCAGTTCTTTTTGATATTGTCTTTCCTAAATTTAAGTTCTACATTTTTAATAATAAAAAATGTATGATGTTTCTTACATTAAAACTAGCTCCTAGTTTCCCAATCAGCTTCCGATCCACAATAAAGACTTGTTCTAGCTCTTAATAAAAAGGGGAATATTGAAAATAATTAGCAGTAATGTGCTCCACACTTTAATTAGGTCAAAACAATTGTGACAATTGTCTGTGACAAATCTCACAATGTGAAAAACAAAAGAAAACAAAGCTCTATCAGTTCAAAAGAAAGAAACTTATTCACCCTAGGTTAATTATGTGCAAGTAAAACAATATTCATATAAACATGTTTCAGCAATTGTCTACCCTTTTCAGGTTGGACTGGGAATGTCCTAGAAGCAGATGCATTGTCATTTAGTCTGCAATTCAGTAACCTTTCTCGTGGTATAGCGATTAAACGAGATCCAGTTTAGTGATTTCAGAAATAGTGGGATTTATCTCAGTGGATTTTCTCCCGCCAACCATTATGTTTTGAAAATTAGAAATACTGACACAGATATATCAAGATGTATCTCCAAGAGAGCTTGGCTATCACAAGAATGTTGCTCGGTGGTAGAATGCATACTTAAAATGTGTGCTGTCTTGGTTTCATTTCCTGAAAATGTTGCTGTTCTTTAGCTACTCACCAACAGCCACCCCTTCTTTTCTCATACGCTTTACTCGCATACATGATCCAAAGTACTCCCTTTAGTGCTACTCCATTTGTACGCCATAAACTTCTGCACCACCCAGTGCAAAAGACTATGACAAAGACTAGATGAAAGAGGATAAAACAAAGGATTAATAGCTCATTCAAAATCATCGCTAGGAGACAGAAACCTGACCCCACATTAACAGAAATTAACCTTGGGTTCCAATTCTCCACATCTTCGAAGATTATTAAAGACAAAAAGAAAAGAAAAACAAAGAACGCCACCACATTTTATTTTTTATTTTTATTTTTAAATTTTCTTTGCTGTGTCTGGCTCAACCAACAGGATGTGGAAGAGCAGAAAGTTTTTTGTTTGTTTTTTAATTCCTGTTACTTTTCTTCTATCTCCCTCCTCCACCTATCCATTCCACACTGCCAGGGAATTGGATTCAGCCATCATATGTAGGAGTCAATAAGTTCCAAGTCTTTCTTAGTGGGTAAATACATTGTATAATAAAAGTACTTAAGAAACCTGAAAGCTAAAAAGTTGGAAACAATCGAAGTATTGAAAGAGAAATTGAATAAAATTTTCAGTCTACAGTAAGCTGAGATAGCTCGGTTGGGAGGGCATCAGCCTGAAGATCTAAAGGAGACTGGTTCAATTCTGGGTTTTGGCAACTTTTCCTTTTCAGAGACTCTACCAGCGATCTGCCTTTGCAGTCTTAAAATTTCATATGAACTGCATCTCTTAATTTATATTTCGTAATTGATATTCGGGGGAGCAAAAGAGCATGGCACATAAGCAAAGGAATTTCGTGTCTGACTTCCTTTGCTTCTCCATATATAATAAAGCAATCGCGATGCCCCGTGAATTTTGATGTGTGAAATAAAGATGAACTGTAAAATTCATTTTGATACTCACAATTTTATTTTATTTTTTCTTAATTAGAGTGACATTAGACAGAAAATGAAAAATACCATGACAGGCCGAAAAAAGAGCGACTGAAAGGGAAAAGCTTTGTATTTTAGCACTTTTGATGGCAGTTGCCCCTGCTTTTTGAATAAGGGACCCTGTATTTTCATTTTACACTGGGCCTGTAAATTATGTAGCTGGCCTTCTTCAATATTAAATCGACATTCACAGTACATGTAATTGTAGTATCTATAATCGGCATTCATAATTACAGATTATTAATTCATAGTTGACATTTTACAAATTTGGAGAATTGAAGACATTCTAACTCTTCGCATGCCTATAGTTGAATTATAATCCCAAGAGCACTGGCCAGTACTGTATTAAAATCCACGCCTACAGTATACGTTCCCTCTCTAAACTTCAATTTGTTGTTCTTAACTCTTTATATAAATTGGAATACTTGAAACGACATTGCACAGAAAATCCCAATGGAAGATATGGCTTGAATTTTTTTTTAAAGCAAACAAAAAAATGGGCAGTATATTATAATTATTGTCCTGATCTTTGCTATTTTTATGTAGTCTTATGTTGGGAGGATGTACAGTTTCAGTTTGTTTCCAAAGCCTTTGGATGCCACCTGTTATGTCCAAAATCAGGGGTGGAGGATCTTCGAAGGTAGACAGGAACGATAGAAAAATCTCAAGTTTTAAGAGAGTTGGCAGAAAGGCACACCGACCTTGCCAACCAAGGCCCCGCTGGGAGTCGAACCCAGGATCTCCTGTTTACTAGACAGGCGCTTTAACCAACTAAGCTACGGAGCCCACGGAGACTGTTTTTGGTTTCCTTCTATCAGAGTATACCTTGGTATTTGTGGTAGAATTTAGATTTTCCTTTTTATTAAAAAAAAGTTGTTCATTTCTTGGATTTTTATTTGGCCTTTGATTCCACTCACAGCCACTCAAGACAGTGAATAACAGCTTTAATGGAAGCACTGATTTGCCAGTCTTTTTCTTTTGCTCTTCATAACCTCACTGTAGTTGTCTTGGAGCCTTGTTGCCTCATGGGAACACAAGCCGAGGGAAAAATTCAAGCAAGATCAAAGAAGGAACTATGAGTAAATATTTTTATTTCAGGATCATTTTAGGCTTTCTAAGGCATTTGACTTAATGTTCAGATTGTGCATCTGTGACAGAAGGGAAATGCCACAAGTTCTTTCACTTTAAAAGTCAACCCCTGGAAATGAGCTCAAGCAATTCCTATGGTTTACTAAGTTTGAAAAGGAAGGAAAATGAGTGAAGGAGTTAATAACCTCAGTGACTTTTTCTAGGGAACATTACAACTCTTTATCTAGACTCATAAAGAGATGGAAGACAAGGAAGACAGGAGGGAGGAAAACAGAGTGTTCTGGAGCTTTAGCGACTATACTGTCCCTTTAAAATGGAACTTTCTCTGCCAAGAGGAAAATTCAAAGGAGATTCACAGATTAGGACAACAGCTACCAAATGAGTTAGTGGAATATATATGTGTGTCCCAGCTAGATTGATAGATTCATGCAGTTCAGTTGATAAGCATTCAAACTATTAATGTAAGGAATGAAGACTCGAGTCTCTGTCACCAGTATTTTTTTTTTTTTTTTTTTTTTTTTTTGAGACGGAGTCTCACTCTGCTGCCCAGGCTGGAGAACAGTCGCACAATCCCGGCTCATTGCAACCTCCGCCTCCCGGGTTCAAGCAATTCTCCTGCCTCAGCCTACCGAGTAACTGGGATTACAGGCATGCACCATGACACCCTGCTAATTTTTGTGTTTTTAGTAGAGACGGGGGTTTCACTATGTTGGCCAGGCTGGTCTCGAACTCCTGACCTCAGGTGATCCACCTGCTTCGGTCTCCCAAAGTACTGGGATTACAGGCATGAGCGACAACGCACGGCCTAGAAGTACAGTATTTTCTAAGAAGTTGAAAAACAATAATTCACTGCAACCTGCAGCTAAATCTGCTAAGATATGTTACAGCTAGTGATGGCAAAATTATGAGAAGGAGAGGAAGAGGCTTAGATGAAAAAGTTTAAATAACTTGTGATAAATGTAAACCTATTGTTATCTATTATATTATTCATTAACAGATAATTTGTGGAAAAAATTTGATGGTATCAGGTGTTATTGAACAGTAGACTTAATTTGCTCTGGTGGACCAGGCATCACTTTTACAAATTTTTGACAGAAATTAGAAGCTGAAGGTCCTGACAAGATGGATCACACAGCAGTTTAATGACTTAACGCTGACAAGTTGTATGTGTGTGTGTGTGTGTGTGTGTGTGTGTGTGTGTGTGTGTGTGTGTGTTTAACTCAGGGATGAGATGGAAATTTTTTTTTGAAGGGGAAGAACTGCCCTCAATTACTATGATCAAACACTGACTGGCTTTGGAAGTTAGCTTTTGTTTCAGATTGGATAATGCTTTTTAATAAATTCAGCCCAAAATTACAAGGTAAAACAATGTTTATGTATAAAACTTGTACTGCAGTAAAGTCATTTTGATGACAGCTAACACTGCTAGAATCATAGTAATATCAAGCTGCCCTGTGCACTGCTTGTGCTGTCAAAAGTTAAAAGAAGCAATTCTCCAATCCCACAGAAATTTTCAGCAGATATATTCTCCTAACTCGAACTACAGTACCAACAGTATGTTAAAAACTTAATGCAAGTGCAAAAGCAATTTTCATATTTCAAAATCTACTTAATTGTGCAATTGAGGAGCTTCACACTAAGCCTCACTTTGAAGTGACTAATTTGCAATGTAATGACATGCTAAAAGCAAACATAAAGAGATGAACCTACTAGAATCCATAAATGTCTTCCATGCAATGAATATGCCCCAAATTATATACTCACAGATTAATATTAGCCATTTGGCATCTCCTATCTTTATGAAAAGATATTTTCAAAGATGAAATAAATAAAATTGCACTACAGGTCATTAACAGATGAGCATTAGCAAATGACTTTGATGATAGGAAAGGCTAACTTTGAGCCCCCATCTGTAATAATAATAATTATTATTATTATTTAATTTTTCTCGTTATCAATAATTATACTCAATTAGTATTGTGTTTTGAATTGCATCAATAAATATGAGTAGACTTTTTTTCTCCCTTGTTATATAAGTACCTACATAATATCCTTGATTTGGCCATTTGACTTGCAAATCCTAAAATATTTACTACTTGGCCATTTACAGAAAAAGGTCTCTCTCAGGCATATTTTATAAGAGCACTAATCCCATTCATGAAGATTCCACCTTTATCACCTAATCACCTTCCAAAGGCCCTAAAGCCTAACCTAATAATATTGGTGATTAGGTTTCAACATATGAATTTTCAGTGATGGGGCAGTCACAAATATTCAGATTACAGTAGGAGTATATTTAAAAGCCTGGAAAACACAATTAATTTTGCACAAGCTTACTTTGACAAAGATTCCCTAGGTTGATCTCCAATAATTTCTATCTCCTAGTGTTCAAGTATTTGTGTAATACTCTTCCCTTGAGTGTGAATGGGACTTGTGATTTACTTCTAACCAATAGAATATGGCAAAGGTAAAGGGATGCCACTCCCATAATTACATAAATATGTATATAAAAACATACAATATATTGTTTATATTATTTATATACATACATTATTATAATCTATAATAATAGGTGTATATAAGCCATTTTTTATATAGATATGTAAGCAATTTTAAATATATGTACACACACAAATATATATTCAAAATAGAGCACAAAAACCCTGCCTAAGTCATTTGATGATAATGACAGCACTTGGGGTGGAGAAGATCCAGAGATTGAATCTGCAGTGAAAAAAAAGAAAATGACAATGGGAGATGATAGGAACAGAAGAGAGAGAGTCTGGTTTATTTGGCAGGCTTGAGTCTCAGGGGAATGACAACAGCATTCACTCCAAAAGGACCTGTAAGCAGCAACTGACATCTCTACTAGAGAGGGGAGAAGTCTTTAATACAATTCATTTATGCTGTAGATTTCAGGAACATGCTCCTATAATATGTGCTTGGCTGAATTACCAGACATTAGGGTGGATGGTCTTTCTGGGAAAGTGGAAGGAGTGTTTTCTGTGGAAAATGTAATTTTGATGCTACATAAAGCTGGTGGCATGGAATGGCTTGGTGTGGCACTTTTTGCATGGAAAAGACAATTCCCACTTACTTTGGATGGAGCATGTGTTCTAGAGCTTGTGTAATTTAGTTCACAGAACAGCTGGTGACTTTTTGTGACTCAAAGTTGTCCAAATTTGTGAGGTAGGAGAGATGCAGGTTTCTTTCTTTTTTTTTTTTTTAGATGGAGTTTCGCTCTTGTTGCCCTGGCTGGAGTGCAGTGGCACGATCTCAGCTCACCACAACCTCTGCCTCCCAGGCAATTCTTCTGTCTCAGCCTCCCGAGTAGCTAGGATTACAGGCATGCACCACCACACCTGGCTAATTTTGTATTTTTAGTAGAGACGGGGTTTCTCCATATTGGTCAGGCTGGTCTCGAACTCCTGACCTCAGGTGATCCGCCTGTTTCAGCCTCCCAAAGTGCTGGGATTATGGGTGGGAGCCACTGCGCCTGGCCTGAGATGTAGGTTTCCTAAACTCCTTTATTGAAACATTTGCAGTGGCCTCTGACTTTATGTGACCACTTGGTTTCTTCTAAAAAGTGGCGAATTATTTGCAACAAGCACTAAATTAACACAAACCAGACCAATCATCTTTTCTGTGACCAATGTCCTTTTCTCATGTTTCATGGAAATATCCTTAGACAAGTTTAAATTTTAACTGGGCTTATTTGAGCAAAGAACAACAAAATGAAACATAGCAAAACACAACAAAAACGATTGAAGAATCAGGCAACCCTACAAACCAGAGCAGGTTCAGAGAATGCCAACCAATAACATGGCCTAACAGCATATGTGGGAAACATAAGTACAGTGGAGACAACCTCATTGGTTACAGCTTACTTTGTTAATTGGTTACAGAGCCTCCAGCAAGTAATTAAAGCTCAGCTACTGTAATTCAACTCCATATTAGTTTGATCTGTTAGGCTTAGTGGAGGAGGCCAGTCCAAATCAATGGCCTCCTAGATATTTTATTCAACAGATACAATAGCCTTTATCTTTCCTTCAAACCTCTTGCCTTATGCATTTAGGTCTCCCTCTATAATATTTTCTCCTGGTTTAAGTGAAACACAAAAACTATTTTCTGTCATAAACTGGATTGTGTGATCAAATTTATGTTGATTCATCAAAGTTATTATTAGGACTACAAATTTAGACTACTGGGAGGGAAAATGTAGAAATATCCCACAAACATAAGGCGATTGTCCTAACTCAGTGCAGAGGGTGTGTCTGCGCCCCCTGTTCATGTGATGGTGTGTCTGTGACACCTGTTCATGTGGTGATGTGTCTGTGCCCTCCTCTGATGTCTCCATAAATGCTTAGGACTTCCACTCCATTTCTTTTTTTGCAGCCTTTTCAAAAGGGGATGCTCTCTCAACAATACCCAGAGTCTGAGCTCAGCACTGGTAGAAGACAAAGGAGTTTTTCTGCACTCTCACTTCTTTCACTTCAGGATTCAAACCGGGCAGGACAGGGTAGCAAGTCTTTGTGGTGAATAAGCATCTCCTGCTTCCTCAGTTCAAAACTGGCATTGTTGAACACCTACTTTTCTATCTCTTAGGAGAAGGTAAAGAAACAAGAAAACGGCTTGTTTCTTTGTTGGGGATGATCTCTTCTACACCTCTCATCAGGGCCAGCTTCATGGGTCTGTGACCAGTGCGGTTCACAGGACTTTGGGCTCCACACATTGTGTAACGAAGTCTTGCTTTTCATTACTGGGTTCTTCATCCCACAGGATGCTGCTTTTTCCAAAGTACGCGAGCAGGCTGACTTTTTAAAAATGCTCCAGCCTTGCCGGACGGGGCGGCTCACGCCTGCAATCCCAGCACTCTGGGAGGCCGAGGAGGGCGGATCATGAGGTCAGGAGATCGAGACCATCCTGGCTAACACAGTGAAACCCTGTCTCTACTAAAAATACAAAAATTCAGCTGGCCGTGGTGGCACGCGCCTGTGGTCCCAGCTACTCGGTAGGCTAAGGCAGGAGAATCGCATGAACCCGGGAGGCGGAGGTTGCCGGGAGCCGAGATCGCTCCATTGCACTCCAGCCTGGGTAACAAGAGCGAAACTCCGTAAAACAAACAAACAAAACAAAACAAAACAAAACAAAACTACAACATCCTAATATTAATATTAAACTTTCCCCCAAATCCAAGAACAAACCCTCTTGAATTAATTCCTGATGCTAGTCTGAGGTGCATGAAAGATGAGGTGGAAGTGTGGTTAAGTGTCTAAGGAGATCCTTTTCAAGTTAAGGTGATTTTTCTGCCCTCAGAACTTTAATTTTTCCCACTAAATTTTTGTGAAGTATAAGACTGTAGCCAACATAGCAGTGATTGCTCAGAGTGGCTAGAGAGAGTAAGTGAGTAACAAAAATGTCAACAAGTAACTTTGGTAGGGTCGGGGAAGCCTTGGGAAGATGTTGGTAAAAGAATACAAAATTACAGTTAGAAGAAGTGCAAGAAATCTATTGTACAACATGATGACTATAGGTAAAAACAATACAATGTATTGAAACATGAAGAGATTTTAAAGTGTTGTCACTACAAAAATGATAACTATGTGAGGTAATGCATATGGTAATTAGCTCGATTTAGCTACTCCACAATACATGCGTGTAACATTTTATTTTTTATTTGTATTTTAAATTTTAAATTGACAAGTAAAATTGTTTTTATCATATGAGATATGTATCTCAAAATAGTATGTTGTAGATAATAAAAACGTAATTTTACTTGTCAATTTAAAATTTTAAATACAAATAAAAAATGTTACATAGCACATTTTTTTAGGATAGGATAGTAGCACAGATTATCTTCTGGTAAATCAAGATGGTTTTGAAAACCCCAGGAAAATCCGAGACTCGTGGCAATGAAACCCGCCGTCTTCATTGGTGGTGATACACAACGTGGTATCAACTACTGGAGGTGCCGGGGATTGAACCCGGGGCCTCGTGCATGCTAAGCACGCGCTCTACCACTGAGCTACACCCCCGTTGCAATAGCTTTTTTTTTGTTCTAAACATTATAATTTAATCTTTCTCTTTGCTTGTTTTGAGAATCTGAAATTTAATACAAAGATCCCTTATGTATGACTCTATTTCTGAAACCTCTAGGTTTTTCTTTCTATCTTACAGGTACATCAGGAGAAGAGTAATTTGATGCTACACAAAAATATTACCATTCCAGTCTTGTCAGCCCACCCCAAATTTGGTTCCCAAGAAGAGGCCTGAAGGGCACTTCCATTCCTCCACCTGAGAGGGTCCCATGATGTAACAATCTCCAGCAGCTTGAAAATTTCTCTTGAGTGATACTTCTCTGTATAGTTTTGTTTCTTAGAATCATGTTAATGGTTTACACAGTCAAATTTAAAAACAAAACTAGCAACTATAGAGAAAAAGTACTTTAAATTTGAAAACAAATTGAAAAAAATAAAATCATTTCAAATGAATAATATCGGAATTTAAAAAGAGAACCAATCCAGGTAAATGTTTTACACGGTAGTTTGACCTTATAACTACATTCTAGATACAAAAGAACTGCAAATAGATGATCTCCCCTACAGTAGAACAGAATAGACAGCCTCAAGTCATACAGTTACACTGGCTTTTCTTACTTCTGCTGAGCCAAAATAACACACGCAAGGAGAATGCAACATAGACAAGTTTATCCAGGAGAAAGCTGGGTTTTACTAGGATTCTATTAGAACTGAGTAAGGGAAACAAAAAACATTATCAGGATCTGAAAAGGAGCTCAAACACTGGACCATCAAATTGAAAGTTTAATTTTCTAACAAATTATTCAGGGTTAAAGACATTTTGATTTTCAAAATCTCTTCAATTAAAAAATATTTGGTTACCATCCTAACATATATTTTTTAAAATATGTGTATATATAACATACATACACATATATATATATTTAAAAATTATTCTATTTATTTATTTTTGAGACAGAGCCTCGCTCTGTCACCCAGGCTGGAGTGCAGTGGCATGACCTCGGCTCACTGCAACCTCCCCCTCCCAGATTCAAGCAATTCTCCCTGCTTCAGCCTCCTGAGTAGCTTGGATTACAGGTGCCCACCACCACTCCTGGGTAATTTTTGTATTTTTAGTAGAGATGGGGTTTCACCATGTTGGCCATGATGGTCTCAAACTCCTGACAGGTGAGCCACCTGCCTCGGCCTCCCAAAGTGCTGGGATTATGGGTGTGAGCCCTAACCTATATTTTTTAATGCTTTCCCTTGCCTTATGAGCCAGTGTGCTAGTAGTCACTCCTAGCCAAAACTTAGGTACCCAAGCTCAAAACTGCCAACAGATCCTCCTTCTCATTCAAATAGGTTCCACCACAGCCACAATGGAGTCAGGGAGTGGCTTTCCTTCTGTTTTCTTTGAAGCCACCAATATCAGTGGCTACTTTGTCAAAAACAAAAATTAAACTCTATGCATGCTTTCCAATGTGCAGTTTGTCTATCTCATTTATTGATCTAAAAGAAGTTTTAGCAACTTGATCCTCGACCAAAAAATTAACTGAATTACTAAAGAGGTGAGTGAGTGAAGAGGTGGCCAAGGTGAGAGTACCCCTAACTTTTTCTCTGAGGGTGAAAAGAATGTGTTATCTGTTGTGGAACTTGGGGCTTCCAAACTTAAGTTTAAACTGAGAGCCCAGTGGCCAAAACAGGTCAATCAGACACTTGGATTAAATATCTAAAACTCCATGTATTTTGGCTAGAGTGGGACCCCAATAAGTTTATTGTGAGTTCATTTACACAAAAGTCTAGGGTCATTTTGTGTGACTTTCAATGTTGCCTAAAAGATTGGTGGGCTATAAGATGCAAGAAACCAGCCGGGCGCGGTGGCTCACGCTTGTAATCCCAGCACTTTGGGAGGCTGAGGCGAGCGGATCACCTGAGCTCGGGAGTTCAAGACCAGCCTGACCAACATGGGGAAACCCCATCTCTACTAAAAACACAAAATTAGCCGGGGTGGTGGCACATGCCTGTAATCCCAGCTACTTGGGAGGCTGAGGCAGGAGAATCGCTTGAACCCCGGGAGACGGAGGTTGCGGTGAGCCAAGATCATGCCATTGCACTCCAGTCTGGGCAACAAAAGCGAAACTCCGTTTCAAAAAAAAAAAAAAAAGAAAAAAAGATGTAAGAAACTACAAACTCTTGAAATAGGGCAAATGTAGTACGCTCTCTCTCTTTCCCCTTTCTTTCTTGCTTTCTTCCCTGGCTTCGTTACTTGGATTAGCAGGGAGACTTGGGGACAGCTCCTTCTTCTGTAGCACACATCAAGCACTGATCATCCACTTCTAAGGCTTCCAGAGTATGGCAGACAAAAGCTGAGGAAACAAAAATGTGTCTCATGTTTTTAGTACAGATGAGCTTTCATTTAATTGACATTACCTGAACATCTTCTTTTCTTCATTATAGGGGCTGTATATTGCTTTCCTCCCTAAACTAGAGAAATTGGAAATGGGCATTTCCATTTTTTTGTTTTATTTTGTTTTATAGGCTTTTATTGGTTTTATAGTTTTTCCCAAATCCAAGATTTAGTGCTCTTAAACTGAATCATAATGTCTTCTCCAGGTGAGTGATAGTTGAGGTACATTTACTACCAGGTGCAGGGAAGTTTGAATTTTGAAGGCACTGAATTTTGAAGGCACTGAATTTTGAAGGTAGTAAATGAGGTACATTTACTACCAGGTGTAGGGAAGCTTGAATTTTGAAGGCTTCTCAAGGGCAACTTTGAATCCTACTTATAGAATCCAAGGTCGAGTTCTGACTGTGGTCAATATGACCCTGAATGCTTGAGGTAGCTGGAGATAACACGTGGATAATGTCATAACAACGGGTTGCATTAAATGAGCACATCACTCCTTTGATAAACCAACTTTTTCAGAGGTGAAATAATTGGCCACATAGCTCACAGCCAACATGTAGCAGGACAGGTTTCAAAGCCAGACAGATTTCCTCCAAAGCACTTGCTCCAGATATTTTCTTTAGAGACAAAAATCCTGAATTCAAAAGACAGTTTGAAAAAGAGTGACTTTTGGATTCATTTTCTCTTTGACAATGTCAGTATCACTCATAGGAAGACATGTTGTCTTCAATGTTGAACAGTTCTCAGTTCTCATCCAATCCTTCAGTCAATAATTCTAGATGTCCACTAGGAAACTTGAAATTTCATCATCTGATCCATTCAGTAAGTTTTTATTTGTTTGTTTGGAGACAAAGTCTTGCTCTGTTACCCAGGCTGGAGTGCAATGGGGTGGTCTCGGCTCACTGCAACTTCCGCCTCCTGGGTTCAAGCTGTTCTCCTGCCTCAGCCTTCTGAGTGGCTGGGATTACAGGCACCCACTACCATGCCCAGCCAATTTTTGCATTTTTTAGTAGAAATGCGGTTTCGCCATGTTGGCCAGGCTGGTCTCCAACTCCTGACCTCAAGTGATCCACCCGTCCCGGCCTCCCAAAGTTCTGGGATCACAGGCGTGAGCCACTGTGCCCTAGTGAAGTCTTTTTTTCTTTTCTTTTCTTTTTTTTTTTTTTTTTTTTTTTTTTTGAGACGGAGTCTTGCTCTGTCGCCTAGGCTGGAGTGCAGTGACACCATCTCGGCTCACTGCAAGCTCCGCCTCTCGGGTTCACGCCATTCTCCTGCCTCAGCCTCCCCAGTAGCTGGGACAACAGGCGCCCGCCACCACGCCCGGCTAATTTTTTGTATTTTTAGTAGAGACAGGGTTTCACCGTGTTAGCCAGGATGGTCTCGATCTCCTGACCTCGTGATCCGCCCTCCTCGGCCTCCCAAAGTGCTGGGATTATAGGCGTGAGCCACCGCGCCCGGCAGTGCGGTCTTATATAATGTTTGCTGAAGATTTGCCAAGAGGTTGGTGAGGAAAGGGCAGATCTTGCCCTCCACAAATCCTGTTTTCAGGATTTGTAGTATGAATGTGTCTCAGGTTGATTTTATTTTATTAAAGCTCTTAAAAATCAGAGACAAAGAAACAAACTTCCGAACTCATATAAGTTAGTGGAGGTTTTGCACCAGTTTTCTCATACTCCTTGCTTTAGAACTCATTAACCAAAGATATTTAAAACAAGATCTAAGAATGCAGCCATTGAGTAAAGAAATGGAATTTCCTTCTTGGGGCTAGAATGTGAAGAGAGGCTGCCAGGTGAAAAGAAAAAAGTAAAGTTGGCAGATAGAAATTGCTTTCCTCTGGCTAATTCAATATAAAAAAAGTGTATTCATATTCATACCTTTGAAAACCTTTAAAAATATCAGTCAGTTGACTAGAAATACTGAGTAGCAGGGTAATGAAAAGCATGGTGATCATATTGAAGAAGTGGGAAAAAAAAAGCAAAGGTAGCAACTGCTCTTGTTTACACTGTAAATGTTCTGGCTCACTTGTGAAATATTCACCTTTTTCTTTGCAGTTGATAATATCCATTTTAACACAAAAATAATTTGCTTCTTCCACATGGGGTGTCTTCTGATGATAATGGATGTTTGCAGAAAATATTTCATTTATCTATTCAAAAAGAAGAAAAAATGAGATGAGTGAAGAAATACAGAGAACTGGATAGGATAAAATATTTTGGCATGGTAGGTTATCTAATTCATTTAATGCAGACTTGTTTATTTTTTCACCTATTATTCTTGGCAGTATTGTAGTTCATTGAAAGCCATTGTTCTGTTGTCCAATGTCCATCCACCCGCTCACCTAGAAATTGCTGTTATCTACGGCCATCTGTTTGCATTGTTAGACCAAACTTTTGATGGCAGGTACTGTGAAGATTGAGGTGAAGGGAGGAGACTAGTAGGATGATCAATGAGAAAATGCTCTGTTCTTCCACCTTCTCATATATTCATTGATGCTTTCCTGGTTTTGATCATCACACTGTGTTCACATAGATATTAAGATTAGAGGAAGACAGCAGACAGTTTGGGTATGCCAAAGAGAAGCCATAAAGTGCTGCCTGTAAGTGAAAAGGGGAAAGTTCTCTACTTAATACGGAAAGAGAAAAAATTCGTATCCGACGTTGCTAAGAGCTATGGTAAGAATAAATCTATCCTTGAAATTGTAAAGAAGGGGAAAGTTCTCTACTTAATAAGAAAAGAGAAAAATAATTCGTATCCGAGGTTGCTAAGAGCTATGGTAAGAATAAATCCTCTTTCCGTGAAATTGTAAAGAAGGGAAAATAAATTCTTGTTAGTTTTGCGAAAGCTACTGCTACAGTGTGTGATAAGTGCATGGAAAAGGCACTAAATTTGTGGGTGAAATACGTGAACAGAACACGTGTTCCACTTGACGGGGTTTCTACGGTGGTGGCAGCTTACGTGTTTTTCAGCTTCTCTCATTCTTACGAGGAGATGAAACATGAATAGCTATGAAAATATCACTGGGGAGGAAAAAAAAAGCCTGTGTAGAGGGAGTACCCTGCATTCCTGACTATGGCCTTCTTTGTCCTGGCGCCTCTCCTTGAGGAACCTGGCACCTCTCCTTGAGGAACATGATTTTTGCTTAATCCTTTCATATTCTAATTGATAATTAATGCCCGATAAAAGATAACCACTATGTATACAAAAAGTATAAAAAGATTAGAAGAATCTAGGTGGGAAATATAAAAACTCTGTATTTGTTTTGTAACCTTTCTGTAAATCCAAAGTTAGTTGTAAATGTAAAAGTCTAAAATTTGCACTAGAAATAATGAGAAGTAAGCCGGGCGTGGTGGCTCATGACTGTAAGCTCAGCACTTTGGGAGGCCAAGGAGGGCGGATCACAAGGTCAGGAGTTCGAGACCAGCCTGGCCAAAATGGTGAAACCCCGTCTTTACTAAAAATACAAAATTAGATGGGTGTGGTAGCACACACGTGTAGTCCCAGCTACTTGGGAGGCTGAGGCAGGAGAATCGCTTGTACCCGGGAGGCGGAGATTGCAGTGAGATGAGAGTACGCCATCGCACTCCAGCCTGGGTGACGCTTTGTCTAAAAAAAAAAAAAGAGGGGGGCCGGGTGCGGTGGCTCACACCTGTAATCCCAGAACTTTGGGAGGCCGAGGCAGGCGGATCACCTGAGGTCAGGAGTTCGAGACTAGCCTGACCAACATAGGGAAACCCTGTCTCAACCAAAAATACAAAATTAGCCCGGCGTGGTGGCACATGCCTGTAATCTCAGCTACTCGGGAGGCTGAGGCAGGAGAATCACTTGAACCCGAGAGGTAGAGGTTGCAGTGAGCTGAGATCGTGCCATTGCACTCCAGCCTGGGCAACAAGAACGAAATTCCATCTCAAAAAAAAAAAGAAAAAAGAAATAATGAGAAGTAAAGGAAAATTTTCATGAGCCTCTTCTATTTCTCCTTTTCTTCAATAATAGGGAAAAATAGAAGACAAACTGAATATCCTCATTATTGTGATAGTACATCTTGATGTCAAAAGAACCTGTGTAAATCAGATCTGTTACTAATTTCTATCCTCCTTCTTTCGTGATGACAGTTGTTTGGATGGTGCCAAGACTCACAGAATAAAAATGGGGCAGAGCCACCCCTAGGATGTTGAGTAACCCAGACAAACATATTTGTTTTTTGTGAGGCCCCTGTCCATGTGAATAATATATATATATTTATATATATATAATGTGAATAATATATATATTTATATATATATAAAGTGAATAATTAATATATATATTTTTATTTATATAATGTGAATAACATACATTTATATATAATATATTAATATCATATATATAAATATATATGATATATTAATATATTATATATAAATATATTAATATATATATTTATAAATATAAATATATATAATATATAAATATATAAATATATATATAAATATATAAATATATATAAATAAATATAAATACATAAATATATAAATATATATAAATAAATATAAATACATAAATATATAAATATATATAAATAAATATAAATATAAATCCTTATATATAAATAAATATAAATATAAATCTTTATATATAAATATATATAAATATATTTATATATGAATCTTTATATGTAAATATATTTATATATGAATCTTTATATATAAATATATTTATATATGAATCTTTATATATAAATATATTTATATATGAATCTTTATATATAAATATATTTATATATGAATCTTTATATATAAATATATTTATATATGAATCTTTATATATAAATATATTTATATATGAATCTTTATATATAAATATATTTATATATGAATCTTTATATATAAATATATTTATATATGAATCTTTATATATAAATATATTTATATATGAATCTTTATATATAAATATATTTATATATGAATCTTTATATATAAATATATTTATATATGAATCTTTATATATAAATATATAAAAATATAAAGATTTATATATGAATCTTTATATATAAATATATAAAAATATGAAGATTTATATATGACTCTTTATATATAAATATATATAGATATAAATATTTTTATATGAATCTTTATATATAAATATATATAAATATATGAATATATACATAAATATATATAAATATATAAATATATATAAATATATAAATATATATATAAATGTATATTAAATATATAAATATATAGATTATATATATAAATGTATATTAAATATATAATATATATTTATATATAAATTAATATAAAGTTATATAAATATTATATAAAAATTATATATATCTATAAAAATATTATATATATATAAATATATTTATAAATATATACGTATATATTTGACACAGCGTATCACTCTGTCGCTCAGGCTGGAGTGCAGTGGCTGGATCTTGGCTCACTGCAACCTCTGCCTCTTGGGTTCAAGTGATTCTCCCACCTTGGACTCCTGACTAGCTGGGACTACAGGCAAAAGCCACCACATCTGGCTAACGAGTATATAATTTGATTAAAAAATGTTTTACAAAATTTAGGGGATCCTGTGAGGATCTTGTTGTGTATTAATAGAGATTTAGAATAATGGGTACTTACATATTTGTTTACAGCCTAATCAATACTCAGAAACATTTTTCGTAGTTTTCTGGCACCAACTCATCCTTTTCAGTCCAGAAACTATCTGTTCATGTTATTTATTGTTAATCACACTGTTTCTGGCTAATTCTATGTTTCCTACCATGAGTAAAAGGTAGCAACATTGTTATTACTCACAATACCGCGGCTCTTTGGAACTCTTTTGTGTTGAAACAATATGGATCTTCCTGCTTGTACAGTTCCCAAATGCCTTTTGTTGGATGCTGACTGCATCCTTACTCATGAAGCTGCATCAGCTTTCTTTCCACCTGTAAAGGCTGGCTTCCAACTTCTCTTTAGAAGGTTATTACTATGACTATGTTAATAATGACCAGAAATGTAAGTCATATCCAGAGTATGTAGGAAAATGTGTACAGGTTAACATTTTTTTTTTTTTTTTTTTTTTTTTGAGACAGAGTCTCTGTCACCCAGGCTGGAGTGCAGTGATGCAATCTCAGTTCACTGCAGCCTCTGCCTCCCGGGTTCAGGTGATTCTCCTGACTCAGCCTCTAGAGTAGCTGGGAGTACAGCTGTGCACCCCATGCCTGCCTATTTTTTTTGTATTTTTAGTAGGGACAGGGTTTCGCCATGTTGGCCAGCCTGGTCTTGAACTCCTGACCTCAGGTGATCCACCTGCGTTGGCCTCCCAAAGTGCTAGGATTACAGGCATGAGTCACAGCGCCTGGCTAGGTTAACTTTTTCAGTCAAGTTAAATTTACTATTTGAAATTTAATAGCATAAATGTAGAATAACACATCTAGCAATATGTTCTTCTGAACTCTTTAGAGTGTAATCATTGGATTCGTAAAATGTGATTTCTTCATTGGCAGACGTAGCCTCTCCAATAATTTTTATATTTTTCAGTCCAAACCTATTCCTGAATCTGTGTAACCATCCCCTACTTGCAATATATGGGTTGGTGTCAATCATTTCAGAGGATCCCTTGATGAAGTCTTCATATGGGCTCAGTGTTTTCTGGTATAACGTGTTGCCCTCAAGTAGATTAAGTGTTCTGTTCACGTGTTTCACCCACATATTTACTGTCTTTTAAATGTTAACTATGCACTTATCACACACTGTAGCAGTAACTTCTGCAAAACTAGCACAAATTTCTTTTCTCTTTACAATTTCATGGATAGAAGATTTATTCTTACCATAGCTCTTAGCAACCTCTGATATGAATTTGTTTCTGTTTCCTTATTAAGTAGAAAACTTTCCCCTTTTCACTTAAAGGTAGCACTTTAGGGCTTCTCTTTGGCATACCCAAACTGCCAGCATCACTACTCTTGCACTTTGGGGCCTTTATTGAGTAAAATAAGGGTTATTTGAACACAAGCAACGTGAGGACAGTAGCTCAGATAACTCAGATGGCTACTGACTGACTAACTAGTGGGTGGCTTACTACACAGCGTGGATATGCTGGACAAATAGATGGTTTACTTCCCAGGCGGGATGGAGCACATGAGGCGACATTTCATCATGCTGCTCACAACAGAGAAATTGAAAACTTATGAATTGTTTATTTCTGGAATTTTTCATGTAGTAATCTCAGATCGCGGTTGACTGTGGGTAAGAAACAAACGATGAAAGTGGATTACTGCTATTCATTTTAATTCCAAGGGCCTTGGTTCTTCCTAATCCCACGCTTCAATGCAGCATTATTTAGACATACCACCCAAAACGTAGACCTTAGGCTACTTTTGAGTCTGTTGCCACTCATGAAGCAAATCGTGCTGTTTTCTGCCAAGGGTCCCTGCTCTGGGCCGCTAGGCAAATGAGCATAATACATGGAGGTGCTGGGGATTGAACCCAGGGCCTCGTGCATGCTAAGCACGCGCTCTACCACTGAGCTACACCCCCTTAAAGCTGGCTTTTTTGCTATATTTTATAACTGGCTGTCACTGTTATCTGCTAGTGTTCTACGATTTAAACCGAGGTCAAAGTCTACTCTATCCAACTCTACTATTTCTGAAACCCTCAAGTTGCATTCTGGACCGAAAGATCCCTTTAGTGCTATTAGGGTCTTTCATAATGGCGGACCCTCCAAAGACTGTTCCTAGGGAACTTCCCGAATGGCAGCTTTTGTCCACCACCAAGGAGAATCCCAGGTAGAAATATTATCTTAAACAGTCAACTTCCTACTTTTCTGTCTGCAGTGCTCCCAGAAAAACATAAACGGTACTACTAGGGAATACTAAGACCAGTACTAGGAGAGCTACTCAGGGAACGGAGGTCCAAGAGAGGAGATAAGACTGGAGGGGAATTAATTCACAATATCAGCGTGAAATGAAGTGTAAAGCATGTGTCAGTCACAACCCTCCCAAGCCGCTGGGCCCAGCGTCTACGGAAGCGTGGAAGCGGCATTCTGTCCAAGACGCTGCTCACTGGCTGAGATCCCTAGAGAGCGAAGACCAGAAAGAAAACAGCTCCAGGCGACTTTCACCTCTTTCAGGCAAAATCCTTTCACCGTGAGGCGAACACAAAGAAAGCAAGAGGAAGGAATTCGCTCTTTTTAAGACCTCCCTGCGCCTGGACAGGTCCTCAGACCCTGTGTTCCTGGAGCACAAAAGGTAAGGGTTTCCTGTCTTTATTCAACATGCGTGTGCCACAGTCAACCCAGGCAAGTGTTTTGGAGACAATGGGGGTTGGGGGCAAGAATGTAAGTAATTTAAGAACTCCCCCAGGTGACTCTGAAAATCAGCACGGTTCGGTTACAAGTGGAATGTCTGAGAACGGAAGAGAACTGAAGAGGAGGACGAGAAGAAGGAAGGAGATAGAGAGTGGAGGGTATTATGGGCGAGAGTGGGGAAAGTGGAAGAGATGAAGCAGCGAAAGACGAAGAAGAACAAGAGGACGAGAAGACAGGAAGCGGGTTCAGGCAGGGGACTCGAAACACCATCAGCATTTAAATAGGGAGGGAGACTGGACGTATCCAAGTTCCCCTATCTGTCGCGTTTTCACCAGGCCCACGGCAAGACAGAAGGTTTCACTCTTCTAAACAAAGTAGGCTGAAAACGTAGGTCCTGCACGAAGATTTGGTTTGTTTTGTTCTAGATTGTCGCGGGTTGAGAGCAATTCGTTGCTCTTTTCCTCTCTGGATAAACAGGTTGAGCGCTTCACCAGGCGTTCGTGTGGCTGAATTTTTGTGCAATAGGTACTGGGAATGGCAGTTTTTTTTTTTGTTTGTTTGTTTTTGTTTTTTGAGACGGAGTCTCGCTCTATCGCCCAGGCTGGAGTGCAGTGGCGCGATCTTGGCTCACTGTAAGCTCCGCCTCCCAGGTTCACGCCATTCTCCTGCCTCAGCCTCCCGAGTAGCTGGGATTACAGGCACACACAACCACGCCGGGCTAATTTTTCACTTTTTTTTTTTTTTTTTTTTTTTTTAGCGGAGACGGGTTTCACTATGTTGGTCAGGCTGGTCTCGAACTCCTGACCTCGTAATCCTCCCGCCTCGGCCTCCCATCGTGCTGGGATTATAGGCGTGGGGAAAGGCAATTTTATAAAGAACATCTTGAAAGCCACGCCCGGACTCTTTCGGTATTCTTTACTTGCATCCTGCACTTGTCTTAGCTGGAGTCAGAAGAGAAACAATTTGAGCAGAGAAAATATGTTTGCCATAGTGTTGTAGGACCACACTATTGTCTGCCTCATCTCATAGGGATTAATTAATGGGCTGAAGATGAGGGACCATTCTGACAGGTGTGTAATGACATCTCATTATGGTTTTATTTTGCATTTTCCTAATGGTTAATGATGCTGAACATCGTTCCATGTGCTTCTTTGCTACCTGTATATTTTCTTTGGTAAAATATTTCTTTATGTCATGTTCTAATTAATTTTTTGTTTTTTACTGTTGAGATTGGAAGTTGTATTCTAGTTCTTTATATATTGATACTAGGCCCTTATCAAATGTGTGGATTTATGTCTGCCACTTTCTTATTTGATTTCCATTTGTTCTCTCTGGTGTTTTTGTTGTAGCATTTGTTGTTCTGTTATCCTTTTTCTACCTTTTTCTGGATGTCTTTGATGTTTTTTGTATTCCATTTTAACTTAGTCATTGGCTTTTTCTCTATATCTTGTTACTTTAGTGATTGCTCTGTGATTTAGTGATTACAATATGCACGCCATCCACTTAGACTTCATGAAAGTCCAGCACCAATATAGGATCCTTTACCCCTTCACCAACTTTGTTATAGTTGTCAAATGTATTACACTGACACATGGACAATTCCACTAGATAACACCCATATATATTTAAAATAACCTAGGAGAAAAAAATTATTTTATATTGTCACAGATATTTATCATTTCAGTGGCTTTTCCTTCACTCCTGAAGATCCAAGTTTCCCTCTGGTATCATTTCCTTTCAGCCTGAATAATTTTCTCAATATTTCTTACACAGAAGATTTGATGGTAATGCATTCTTGTAGCTTCCCTTCTTTGAGAATACCTTTATTTTCTCCTCATTTCTGGATTGTCTCTCTAGATACTGAATTCTGGATTAATATTTCATTTATCATTTTAAAGATGTTGTTCCACTGTCTTTTGACTATCATAGTTTCTGAAAGAAAAATCCACATATTTGGATTGTGGTCTCCGTTTTAAAATTGTGTTATTTTCTGTAGTTGTTTCCAAGATTATTTTTTGTTTGTTTTTAAGATAGGGTCTCACTTTGTCACTCAGGCTGGAGTGCAATGGTGTGGTCACAGCTCGTTCCAGCCTCGATCTTCTGGGCTCAAATCATCCTCCCACCTCAGCATGCCTCTCTGCCTTCTGTAGCTGGGACTACAGATGTGCACTACCGTGCCTGGCTAAAATAGCTTCCTTCCTTCCTTCCTTCCTTCCTTCCTTCCTTCCTTCCTTCCTTCCTTCCTTTCCCTCCCTTCTTTCCTCTTTTTTTTTTTTTTTTTTTGAGATGGAGTCTCACTATGTTGCCCAGGCGGGTCTCAATCTCCTGAGTCCATTGATCCTCTTGCCTCAGCCTCCCAAAGTGCTGAGATTACAGGCGTTAGCCACCATGCCCAGCTCCAAGATTTTTAAAAAAGCTTTTATTTTCAGCAGCTGGATGATAATGTGTCTAATTAGTTTTTTAAATTTTGATTGGAAGTTTCTTGAATCTGTAAATTTACATCTTATTTTTGTCATTATTTATGTAAATATTTCTCTACACCAGTCTTTTTTCTCCTGAGACTCCAATGACATCTATTTTAGACTATTTGATATTATTCTACAGGACCTTGAATTCATTGTTTTCAGTCTTTTTTTTCTCTCTCTTCCCATTAAATTGAATGGTTTCTATTGATCTATCTTTAAGTTAACTGATTTTTTTTCTCTACATCTCCACTGAGTCTATCCATTGAACTTTTAATTTCAGATATTATATTTCAGGTCTAAAATTTCCAGTTGGTTTCTTTTTCAATACTTTCTATTTCTTTTTGTTTTTTTTGAGACAGGGTCTTACTCCAAGGCCCAGGCTGAAGTACAGTGGTATGTTCATAGCTCACTGCAGCCTTGAACTCCTGAGCTCAAGTGGTCCTCCCATCTCAGCCTCCTGAGTAGCTGGGACTATAGGTGCTTACCACCACACCTAGCTTTTTTTTTTTTTTTTAACCTTTGATAGCAGATATCTCTAGCTGTGTTGCCCAGGCTGCTCTCAAATTCTTGATCACAAGCAATCCTTCCCCTGAGCCCCTGTAAAGTGCTGGGATTACAGTTGTGAGCCACCATGCCTGAACAGTTTCTATTTCTTTTAATAAAAATTTTTACATTTTAGTTCGTTAAAGTATGCTTGGCATAGACCACAGTTAAAATAGACACTGAAAGTCCTCATCTGATAATTTCAAGATCTGAGTCACCTTGGATTTGCCATCTATTGATTGTATTTTGTCTTGAAGATTGAATATATCCCCCTGGATCTTTGTATGTTGAGAAATTTTTTATTGTGATGATTTTGTGGAGAATGCTTGATTTATTTACTTGTTTTTAGCAGATAACTTACCTGATTAGTTCATACTGAAAGTTTTATGTCTCAGCCAGGCATGGTGGCTCACGCCTGTAATCCCAGCACTTTGGGAGGCGGAGGCGGAGGCGGGCAGATCACAAGGTCAGAAGATCAAGACCATCCTGGCTAAAACGGTGAAACCCCGTCTCTACTAGAAATACTAAAAATACAAAAATACCAAAATTAATTAGCTGGGCATGGTGGCGGGCACCTGTAGGCCCAACTACTCGGGAGGCTGAGGCAGGAGAATGGCGTGAACCCGGGAGGCAGAGCTTGCAGTAAGCAGAGATTTCACCACTGCACTCCAGCCTGGGCAACAGAGCGAGACTCCATCTCAAAAAAAAAAAAGTTTTATTTTCAAAGCTTTTGTTATGCTGTTTCAGGTCTTCCCTTGAGCATGTCCCACTTGGTGTTAGTCTGAGATGGAGGTCTTCGTATAAATATACTGTTAGTTTGGAAAGAATTTGTTATGCTGTTCTGGTTCTGTCTATAGCATGCACAGCTCAGAGCTAAGCCCAAGACGTATGTGGCTTTATATACAGATTTTAGGGAATCCTTTCTTCAATCTTTCAGGATTCTCCTTAACTCTTCAGACTTTTCTCAACTTTTCCTTGATAATTTGGCTAGAAATATGGAGTTTCTGTCACAGTTTCTGTTGCCTACACAACTGCTTCATGATTGGGGCTCACTCTCAGTAAAGAGCTGTGAGAAAAATACTAAAAATAAAAAAACTCATCTTTAATTCCTTGCGGGTCACCCTTCCAAGTTTTTATTGCCTCCATAATCTAATTGCTTTTGTTGCTTGATAAGTTTGGTGGGGGTGGGTGTGTGTGTGTGTGTGTCCCCTCTCCCCATAATTTTTGCTATAATCAGCAAGATATATTGTGATGGGATTATGCAAACATAGAAAACCTGGAATCTTCTGCTTGTAAAGTTTTACTTTTAGTTCTTAAAATGTTGAGCTTGATTCTTAGAGCTCCCAAGGGAAAAATGCTTTCACCAGAGGCCACCAAAGGAACGGTTCCATTAAACCGGAAGTTGAGAATGACATTTTACCACTTTGGCCTTTTTGTGCCAATAAACCAGCAGGCAAGGAAGGGGCTTACTCTTGGTGATTGCTCATGGTGATTGATCCTGATACCAACTTAAATTGGGACGTTACTACACAAATGGGGTTATGAAGGAATATGTCTGGAATTTAAGGGGGTTTTTAGCAGTGCCTTTCAGTGAGTAATATCATCCACTGTGATTAAAGTCAATCAAAAACTAGAACAATCTTTTGTACAGGGCACTGCTAAATGTCATAAACTCTCTAGGAGTGAAGGTTTGTTTTACCCCATCAGGCAAAGAGCCTTAACTGCTGAGGTACTTGCCGAAAGCAAAGAGAATATGGAGTGAAAGAGATAATTACAAATACCAATCAGCTGCAGATACAAGTACTCTAATAGTTATGAGCATTCTTTCTGTGTGTTTATCGTAACCAGTCTTTTTTCTTTCCTTTTCTGGCTCACCCACTGTATTAGTTTCCTAGGGCTGCTATAACAAATTATCACAAACTCAGTAGCTTAAAACAATGGAAATTTATTCTTTCATAGTTTTGGAGGCAAGAAGTGTGAAATCAAGGTGTGAACAGGGTCATATTTTCTCTGAGACTCTGGGTAGAATCCTTCCTTGCCTTGTCTTAGCTTCTGGTGGTGGCCATCAATATTTTGTATTCTCTGACTTGTAGCAGCATCACTCCAATCTCTGCCTTTCTGGTCACATGGCATTCTCACAGTGTCTCTGTATACAAATTTCTCTCTTCTTGCAAGGACATCAGTCATATTGGATTAGAGTCCACCTTAATAATCTTGTCTTAACTTGATTACATCTGCACAGACTCTATTTCCAAATAAGGTCACATTCTGAGGTTCCAAGAAGTTTATGATTTGGGGGGAAGGACAGTATTAACCCAGTACAACTACCACCTAACATAAGATATATTAATACTAGTTACATTTATATCCCTGAATTTAAGTAACTGTATATCAAAAGAGGAGTGGAATAAACATCACCAAAAGAGGGTTCCATGGATTTTGTTTTTGTTTGGAAGGTAAGTACGGTTTAAAGATGTGTGTGGGGTGCTGAGCAAGTTGCAATACATAAGCCTTTGTCAGCATAGGCAATGGTTGAAAACAGGAACAGAAAATACAGAAATTAGAACCCAGGCTTGTCCAGTCAAAAAAACAAACAAACAAACAAAAACAACAAAAAAAAAAGAAAGGAAAAAAGAAAATACAGGAAAGTTTGGAGACACAGGAAGAAGAGGAGAAAAAGAAGCAGAAAAAGGAATAACAAATAAAAAAGAAAGAACAGGGAGAACTCCACAATATAAATGGGAAAATTATTTACCACTGAAGGAAAATAGATTTAGAAGAAGCCAGGTAACACTGAAGAAGCTCTGGAGGCAGAAGAAAGAAGCTCCGATGGTAAGGAAATTATCCCAGCATTTTTGAGATTTGAAACCCTAATTCCTCAGTCCCTAAAGGAGAGTTATAAATCCAGACCAAAGAAATTAGTTGCAATTACGTTTTTGTTGCATTACTTGAAAGGAATCTCATGCAACTATTGTTTCCCTTCAAGAAGAATAAAAAACAGTAGCTGTGCACATTATCTTCCATTCATTCAATCAAAGATAAGTATCAGCAATGTATAATGGGGCAATTATTGGGTTAATCTCTTGATTCAAAGGTGTGAATGAAATAATCCCTGACCTCAAGGAGATAGAACTGGAGAAGATCAGAAAGTAAATACATCAAAACCCACAAGACTATTTGATAACTTACTATTCTCTGGTCCTACCAGCTGCAGTGTACAGCCATTTCATAAGATACGAAATGGAGACAAACAAGACAATTGGAAATGGGAGTCAAAAAGGAGTCACTAATGTTAACAAAACCCTGACAAATAAAGCAGGGGAAAACCATGAAGAGAGGATTCTCATGCTTGTATGCCTAATAAAAAAAACTATCACAAAAGACTGTGAAAACCACAACCTTGCAATCTTACACACAAAAAATATGTCTACAAGGACATCTGCCTAGCAACTGCCTGTCCAACCTTGGACTAGTGTCACCCTTGTTATTAATATTTGCAGCCAAAGATAATTATTTCAAAAACAATTATGTAGCCCTCCTCAACTTTTCTTTAAAAACTTTTGTCTTTCTTTACCTCCCTGAAGACATACATCGTTTACTATGGCATGCCTATTCCCACTGCAATGCTCTGTTCACAAATAAACATATTTTCTTTTAGAGAACCTCTCTCTGTTAGTTAGGTTGACACATGGAAAGTCTCAGGGTGGAATATTCTGTTGGGTCTTCAGTCTCTTTCTCACTGCAATTTCTTTTTTGTTTCTTTTTTCTCTTTTCTCTTTCTTTCTTTTTCATTTTTTTTTTTTTTTTTTTTTTTTTTTTACGGTATAGACCAAGCTATCCAGTCCTTCTTGGCCATTTTGTCCATACCCATGTGTTCAAAAATATTATCTATCTAGAAATAATTTCCACCTTTGCTTTCTATATCATGCCCTTCTTTCTTCAGCAGCAATCAACAAAGTCCAAAAAAAATTCTTGAAAAATTAAGAAGCTTCTCAACATCAACATGTGCAAAATAAAAATTATTGTCTTCCATTTCCACTTTCACATGTGTAGGTGGCTCAAAATTAAAAATAAAAAGAAGCTTTAGACCAGTGACAGGATCTGGGAGAGGACTTACTTGGCAGGTAAGATTGAGCAGGGGCCAGGCACTGTGGCTTACACCTGGGAGGCCTAGATGGGTGGATCACTTGAGGTCAGGAGTTCGAGACCAGCCTACTCAACATGGTGAAACTTTGTCTCTACTAAAAATACAAAAATTAGCTGGGCGTGGTAGCTCATGTCCGTAGTCCCAGCTACTTGGGAGGCTGAGGCAGGAGAATTGCTTGAGCCAGTAAAGTGGAGGTTGCAGTGAGCTGAGATTGTGCCACTGCACTCCAGACTGGGCAGCAGAGCAAGACTCTGTCAAAAAAACCCCAGCAAAAATGGTGTCATATGCTTTAGAATTTATTATCCTTTCTTTAACATAGGTGTGAGAAAGGTTCTAGGAAAAGATTTTTGAAATGGACTTTAACAGAATAGACATTTACTTTTAAATGTTACACTTTCACAAAACCATGTAAAATGTAAAACTAGGGAATATGCAACAAGAAATTGCAACAGTGATGGGGCTGTGGCTTGATGGTATAGCTTTTCTCTTCCAAGTGTAAGGTCTCAAATTTGATCCCTGGGAGCGCCTGTGCTGCTTTCTTTTTCCATAGTTCTGACAATGTGGAATCAGCACCTTCCTTTACTCCCCCTTTTCCCCTCATTATTTTCTGCTCCCTGGCAAAGTAAAACAAAATGTAATGGGTTGCCACTACACAGAGTTATTGGGAAAACACAAGAAAGGCATGAGTGCAAAGCACCAAGTAGCCAACAGATTAATCAGCTTTTTAAAATTTACCTGGTCTAGGCTGGGTGTGGTGGCTCATGCCCGTAATCCCAGCACTTTAGGAGGCCGAGATGGATGTATCACTTGAAGTCAGGAGTTCAAGACCAGCCTGGCCAACATGGTGAAATCTTGTCTCTACTAAAAATTCAAAAATTAGCTGGGCATGGTGGTGGACTCTTATAATCCCAGCTACTCGGGAGGCTGAGGTGGGAGAATTGCTTGAACCCAGGAGATGGAGGTTGCAGTGAGCCGAGAACCCGCCACTGCACTTCAGCCTGGGTGACCAAGAGAGATTCCATCTCAAAAAAAAAAAAAAAGAAAAGAAAAGAAAAATTTACCTGGTCTACCATTTAGCAATAGTACTGAAGAGAAAGAAAGACTGTGAAATGAGGAAAAAGAAGCTCACAGGCAGAAAATATGCCACTCTCTCCTGATCCTCTGTCCTTTCTGTCTTTGCTGTCATTCTCCATTTTTATCTACACAAACTTCATTGCAGACTTCATCTCGTGGGTCAGACATTTTCACCATCATTATCAGTGAATTACGTGCATATCACATGGCAAAACCATGCCACTTCTTTTCATTTTAAAGTGGATTATGTCTAAGTAACAATATACAGAGTTTTTGGAAGGCACCCTAATCTCTGAGTCAGAAACTCTGCAGACATGACATCTCTTACCGTGAGTTTTGCATTTTCATGAGGCTATGAAGGAGAGGTCCTCTGGAGAGTGGGTAGCATGAGGGCTCAAAATTACCCATTCTTATCAGAAGATAATAAGATTTTTGAGTATTGTTCCAATTTTCATTGTGAGCTGTCAGTTTTCTGATTGGGAATTAAGTGTTTTTCCATTTAACTTCATGGGTTCTTCATGCTCAATTTTCCTTAATGCCAATACAAAACCTAATGCCACATAACAGTGGGAGGGATTTTGTTTCTTACTTTTAATTCAAAAGGTAATCAACCTAACAGCAACAAAAAACCTGGCAGAGATTCTGCTTATCTTTCTGTACTTACTAGCTAGATAGAAGACTAATCAAGCTACTTGGAAGTCTCCTTAAGTAAATCCCTCACTCACTAAATCCATAACTCTAAATCCCCCGTCAGTCTGCATTCTTCCTCATTCTCTTAAATCTGTTTTTCCACTTTCATGCCTATAGTCACTCTTCTGGTAACCCATTTAATTCTCGTAAGTCTTCAATGTTGGCTTCTGCCTACAGTGGTAGAATAGAGCAGAAAATTTCTGGGTTGCATCTGTTTAAACCATGGAATTCTTATTTTACTGCAACCTTGGTTTTGCTCCCTCAAACTCTCGACTTTTAGAATCCAGTTGAGCAAACAGGAGGATGTATGGAAGGATGTGCTCACTATAAACACTTAGTTTCCTAAGAGAAATCCAGGTTTCAATTTACCTCTATCAAAAAGTTAGAAATACATAGGTGAAATAAAAGATTAGCTTTACCAAGGGTTTAAATCCTGAAATCTCACCTTAAAAGACTAAACCTCCACCAAATGGGCTATGCCCCTTCATAGTTAAAGAGCTTCTTGAAATCTTGTCAAGTGAATATTTTAAAAATTATACTCTAACCTGTTTGCCTCATATTTTCTCTTTCATTTCAAGTTTCCACACTTTTTTTTTTTTTTTGAGTCAGAGTTGCCCTTTTGTTGCCCAGGCTGGAATGCAGTGGTGCGATCTCGGCTCACCACCACCTCCACCTCTTGCGTTCAAGTGATTCTCCCGCCTCAGCCTCCTGAGTAGCTGGGATTACAGGCATGTGCCACCACACCCAGCTCATTTTGTATTTTTGGTAGAGACGGGGTTTCTCCATGTTGGTCAGGCTGGTCTTGAACTCCCAACCTCAGGTGATCTGCCCACCTTGGCCTCTCAAAGTGCTGGGATTACAGGAGCGAGCCACCGC
Source organism: Homo sapiens (assembly GCF_000001405.40). Classification (NCBI taxonomy): domain Eukaryota; kingdom Metazoa; phylum Chordata; class Mammalia; order Primates; family Hominidae; genus Homo; species Homo sapiens. The sequence goes on along the minus strand of NT_167249.2, from coordinate 8,561 downwards.
GCCCGGCCCTCCACACTGTATTTTGCTTACACACATACCTGAGATGCTAAAGCCAAAATCAGCCATAAATTCCACTTCTATAATTAACATTGATTGCAGTGTAACCACTCACACTTTGCACACTGTGGTGCTTATGGAAGCCACCAATAACAGTGGCTCCTGCACCATGCACCTTCAAATCAGCTACACGCATGCCCTCCAAAGTGCTCATAGTGTTTGTCCAGTGACAGAAAAGGGCAGCAAGGCATTGTCAAAGCCATAACAATTTTAGACTAAACAAGTCAGATCTTCCTGTGGGACAAATGTCTTTAGTGTTTTTTCTTCCAGAAGAAAGGGGAACTTGTATAGATAAGAACTTGTACTCTAGTGATAACAAGAAAGATATAGACCTTTGGATATATCCTGTCTACTATATGTTCACTTCACCTCCTCTTCTATGAAATTTTCCTAAAAAATTAATTCAATACAGGCTCTGGGTGCTTGACTTCCTAGGCTATTGGTTCTCAAAGCTGACTGATTACTGGAATCATCTGGGAAGCTTTAAAATCATGTACCTTACTGGCTGCTTCTGCTAGAAGGTACCCTAGGGTTTTCTCCAAAGCTCCTGTGAGGGTTGACAGTCACACAAAAATATTGGCAAAACTCACAGGGACTACTCTTCGTGTCTTATGTGGCAAAGTTTGAGGACTTCTCTAGGCCTAAAGAGGCTTCACGAGGATCTGGAATTTTTTTTTTTTTTTTTTGAGATGGAGTTTCACTCTTGTCCCCCAGGCTGGAGTGCAGTGGCAAGATCTTGGCTCACTGCAACCTCTGCCTCCCGGGTTCAAGCAATTCTCCTGCCTCAGCCTCCCTAGTAGCTGGGATTACAGGCATGCACCACCACACCCGGCTAATTTTTGTATTTTTAGTAGAGATCGTGTTTCACCATGTTGGCTAGGCTGGTCTCCAACTCCTGACCTCATAATCCACCTGCCTCAGCCTCCCAAAGTCCTGGGATTACAGGTGTGAACCACTGTGCCCAGCAGATTTATCTATCTATCTATCTATCTATCTATCTATCTATCTATCTATCTGTTTGTTTTTTTACAAAGACGTTATAAAGACTTAATGTTCCAGATCACATATTGTTTCTTTTCCACTTTCTTTATTCTGGACAGAATTTTATCCAAATGAGGCTTTATAATACATTGCAGCTTTTCCCTTCTTTTACTCTTTCCCTTTCCTTCTATGGGGCCTCCTTAACTAGAGCTGAAGCATCCATTAATTGGGTCCAGGCCAGGGTTTGCTAGAACAGTGACTGTGAAACACTGTTGTTGCTCTTCATTTATAGCCAGGCTTTGAGATAAATTTTTTCCTCTTCTGTCTTATCTACCCAACATTAGCCTATATTTTGAGATTGGCACTCATGTCTCTCATTTTGTCATACTTCATTTCTCAGCAAGTATTATTAATTTATTTCACTTCTATCTTTCCCACTTACCTGGATCTAAATCCCCTGAGGTAACACATTGCTAATATTCTTTATGTCCTTCTGCACGGTCTTCTTCTTTTTGTCCTTCTGCATTGTCTTTTTTTTTTTTTTTTTTTTTTGAGATGGAGTCTTGCTCTGTCACTCAGGCTGGGGAGAAGTGGCATGTTTCGGCTCACTGCAACCTCTGCCTCCTGGGTTCAAGTGATTCTCATGCCTCAGCCTCCCAAGTAGCTGAGACTACTGGCATGTGCCAACACCCCTCACTAATTTTTGTATTTTTAGTAGAGGTGGGTTTTCACCACGTTGGCCAAGCCAGTCTCCAACTCCTGACCTCTGGAGATCTGCCTGCCTTGGCATCCCAAAGTGCTGGGATTACAGGTATGAGCCACTGGGCCCGGCCTGCACTCTTTTGTCTTTTTTGATACTTTGTAGACAACATGGAAGTTGAAAGAAAATAATATTGAAAAGAAGTAAATATCTCAACTTGGGATTCTCCTCGATGAGTTGAAGCTGATGCTCTGTAGTATGTTGGTGAGCAGACCTTGGAGTGGCCTGACTGGAGTGAGAAAATTGGAGGAGGAAGATCTTAGTAAACAAAACTGTTTTTTGGTCTAGCATTCCATTACTTTTCATGGCATAGCTGCAAAAAGGGACTGGTCTAGGATTTTCTGAAATAGTGAGGTTGAATACAGTAAACTGTCCTACCAACCACTGGATATCCAGAAATTGGGACAATCATCAGTTTTAGAGGATTTACTGAAATGTAGGGTCAATTGGGGTATATAGCTTGGTGGCAGAGCACCGGCTAAGCATGCAGGTGAGTCCAGGTTTATTCCTTCATACTGCTTTTCTCTTACTTCTTCAAAGCTGTACTTAAATAACACAACCCTGTTGCATAAGCATAAGACAAGAAGAATTGAGAGAGAAATATCCCCCTCACTCAGGATCTCCCAAAAGGAGAGGAACAATCGTGTCACCATCACATTAGTAAGCTCTCATTCTTTTCGTTCCATTACACAGTTTCCTGAGGAACAACGATGAAAAAGAATGATCAAGGAAAAGAAAAAGAGGCCCTTAAGCAATCTTTGTTAACAACTCTTTTTGTGGTTGTTCCTGTGTGAAGCCTGAGGAGCCAAAACTCACCCACTGATTTTTCTCTCCCCTCACTGCTCTTCCATGCACACAGATGGCAGTAGTTTCAATCAATTACCAAATGTGGCAGGTTATTGATCCCAACTTCTGAGTGAGGGATCAAGGGAAAGACATCTCTCAAATAATGCAGTGCTTTCGAAACTCAATAGCTGAGATAATTACTAGTGTCAGTGAAGGTAGAGGTGCAGCTGACATAACTCAGTTGGGAGAGCCCCCGATTAAAGGTCTAAAACTCCCATATCCCTCCTCAGAGTTTGAAATCAATGATGTGTTTCAGCAGCATGTTGCCTGATCACAAACATCCTCCTGCACTCACTTTTCAAGGAAATCTTCTAGAGGGCTAAGGCGAGGAGAATCAAAATTGGGTGGCTTAAATGTTCCTTGCCTTTGCCAGTGAACACTTTTTTTTTCAGTGTTTTGAGGCTTTAAAGGAAAACTTGCTTGATATAACTTTCGTCAGTGTTACACAACAGCTCTTGGATAAAGAAGCAGCCCAAGGCTTTGACGTGAATATGTACATCCTTCGCCTTATATGCTAAGCTGAAAGCTTCCCGTGAACAAAGGGCTCTGCTCGTTCCCAGACAATTCAATTCTATTTGCTTTGCCATATCCAGGACCTGCTCGCATTTTCCAATCCCCCGGTGGCACTGCTTGAAGGTTTCCGGGCCTCTTTGACTTTTTCTTTCAAATATGTACATATATAGCAGAATTCCTCCTTGTGTCCGTGGGTTCTCAAAGGGAAGGCAGTTGGAAATTCTCTCCGCTGCCCTGCGTCTGACCTTGCCCTGTTTATTCCCTAAGTCTGGGTGGGAGGGAATATGTCACTCCATTTAAAGTTGATGGAGTTTTGAAGTCGCTGTTTTAAAACCCGTTTGTGGATATAATAATCGTCAAGCGAGAAATAGAGATGGGGTGTGGAATCAGAGCAGGACAATCTCAGAACCTGGGACTCACGAAAAGAGCTGGAAAATGGATGTTGGCAGAGCCTCCGACCCAGCATGGTGTGAAGATCAAGGAAAGCCCGCGGCTGCCTCTGGACTGAAAAACACTTTTTTCTGAGTCATTATCGCTGCTATATATGTTGGAGACTTGAGACTGTCTCAGGACCTTCCTGGTGGAGGCAAGAAACTCTCACCGAGTCGCCGGCAAGTGGACCTTGGAGCAAGTTAACAGGAATGGGAAGGTCCTAGAATCAAAAACGGTGCTATTCAGACTAAAATCTGTTACTCGTCTAATGAAGCCACTACACAGTATCCAGTCTTGTAATTTCAGAGATAATGAAATTTAATCCAGTGGACTTTCTCTACCTAACTCTTAAGTTAAAAAACTATAACAAAACAAAACCAACAAGAAAAATAGCAACAACATTTTATAAAAGAACCCAGGAAGTTTGAGAGTCAGGGGGTGTAGATCAGTGGTAGAGCGCATGCTTCGCATGTACGAGGTCCCTGGTTCAATCCCTGGTACCTCCATTTTTCCTTCAGCCAATCCATCCTCTCATTATGGACCTCCATTGATTTGGGAGAAGCAGATCTCATGTCTGTTTGGGTGAGTGATTGGAAGAACTTGGATAACCCAAACCGCGTTTCTTAAGGAATGCGGAGCTTGCCAATGTGAACTTTGAAAACTCATTTGCGGCCGGACGCGGTGGCTCACTCCTGTAATCCCAGCACTTTGGGAAGCCGAGGCGGGTGGATCACGAGGTCAGGAGATCGACATCATCCTGGCTAACACGGTGAAACCCCGTCTTTACTAAAAATACAAAAAAATTAGCCGGGTGTGGTGGAGGGCGCCTGTAGTCCCAGCTACTCGGGAGGCTGAGGCAGGAGAATGGCATGAACCCGGGATGCAGAGCTTGCAGTGAGCCGAAATCGTGCCACTGCACTCTAGCCGGGGTGACAGAGCAAGACTCCGTCTCAAAAAAAAAAAAAAAAAAAAAAAAACAGAAAAAGAAAACTCATTTGCAAGTTTGAGGGCCAGATGCTATCAGCATGCAGGGAGAATTAGATATGGTAGGGGGCTTAAAGTCTTAAAAGTTTTCTTCTCGACGCCGGATTTTGGCAGAGTGATTAGTCTGGTAGATAGTAAATAGATTCTCATTGAATATTTTGACACGCTGTGTTATCGCATACTTAGTTGAAATAAAATTGCAAGAGTCTTAGTGGGCGATGGGTTAAAATTTCTTCTCTTACACTTGCCTTCTGAAAAATCAAGTTGCTTGTGTTTACAGTTGTACAACCAGAAAGTAGAATTCATGAGTTAACAGCACACCAAAGATCCCTGCGGTAGATGCAGCCAAAGGGGCAGTGTGTGTGTGTGTGTGTGTGTGTGTGTGTGTGTGTGTATGTGTGTGTGTGTGTGTGTGTGTGTGGTGGCGGGGTGGGGAACAGTTTAAGCATAGACAGATGCCTAAGTTATTGAGTTTCCTGAAATAAACACTGACGGTATAAACAAGGGGCCAGTAAAAATGATAAGACGAAGAACTCCTCTGTTTCTAAGCATAGTCCTACACTGGAGGAATGTACCAAAATCAGTTCCATTTTTGTTTCCTTTTGAATGCTAGTTCATGTATCAAAGCGGGGGACAAAAAGTGAAAAAGCTGGAATTCTGCTGAGAACTTGCTTCTGGAGCTCTGGATTTTCCCGTGTCTAGGGAGAAGGCCTTTGAAGTGAGGGTAGCAGGAAGACTGGAAATGCATTCATATAGATTTCTAGAAAACAAAATAAAACTTGGCCTTAGACCGATTTTGGACCCTGGGATTCATTGTTTCTGCTTCACACATCTTCCTACCTGTCAGCTTGCTCCAAGGTCCGCTCCACAACCGACTCCCTGGCGGGCACTTCCATTCACAAAGCCCCAGGAATGAAGCATTTTCTTGCCTCTTCAAGTTGCCCCTTTCCCTCAACTTCTTCTGCCTAAGGACACCAAAGGTAACACAGAAAGGAAATCAAAGAAGTAAAGTTAAATGCTGCTTGGCGAACTCTAGGTCCTAATGGAGGATGTAAAACAGAAGCTTACAGAATTCACAAAACCTGGCCTGAAATGCAGAGCGACAGCGTGTGTCTGGCAAATCTGGGGTGGTTACACGGCCAGGACCGACAGCTGCTTTTCCATCGCCGAAGCTCTGATCTGAAAGAGAGGAGGCGGGGTAGGGAGGAGGAGGGAGAATGCTGCAGTCGGATACATAGCCTCTTTCAGATGGGATTCTCTCTGGAATCAGGAGAGGGCAAGGGAGAAGGTGTGTGGACTGGGGCACGATCTATGCAAGGAACTAACACTTTGTACGCCTGGTGAGCGTCTCAAACGTGATCTGACACAGCTCAAAGGGTCGACGCTGTCATCCTCTCGCCAGTGTTTTGTGTGACAGTCAACCCAGACATGAGTTTTGGATGACGACCGAAATCACGGTCCAGGCGGGGCCGGGCAGTTAAGTTACATCATTTAGAAAGCTCCCTAAATTCGAAATCCGGCAGATTTGGGAAATCCTGGCCTGGAAAATCAAGAATTCAAGCTGGATGGAGTGGGCTGAGTTATTGGGAAGTCGTGGCCTAGGAGGAGGCAGTGAGGAGACCAGAAGGGAAAGGGTGAAGGGATGGGTGGTTGGAGAGAGGGGGTGAGGCGAGGTTGGGGTTAGCAAAACAGCACGTACAGGATTTGGATGGATGAATAAGTAGGACGTGTCCAAGCTCTGCACGTTTTCTCTGAGTCCTCTAGGTACGAAAAAATATTACAGTCTTGTATGTTTGAAAGGAAGTAGGCCAAAACCTTTCGTCCCCTAGTAAGATACCATTCCTTTTTACGCAAACAACTGTCGGCTTTTGAGAGCGTCGTTGGGCTGTTTCCAGAGCTGAACGCTTCGGGAGCGTACCCGCGTAGCTAGGTTTTGTTTGAGGTGTAGTAGCGGCTGGTATTGGTGGCTTTCGAAAAAAGCCAGATGGTTGTGGTGGGAGTAGGTTGGTGAGTGTAGAAATGGGATTTGCCGGCTGCTTTTGGTTTGAGCACGTGAGGTAGTTCTGCAAGCGATTGTTTTCGTTTGGAATGGAAGACAAAGCTGACGATAACTGTATTTCTCTGTACTTAAGCTATGTACTTAAGCTATGAGGGAAGGTTGCTGTCGTGAGCCTGGGTAGCTCAGTCGGTAGAGCTATCAGACTTTTAGCCTGAGGATTCAGGGTTCAATCCCTTGCTGGGGCGTAAGGCCTTGGCCTTCTGTTGATGAGTGTTTTATATACCAAGCAAGGATTTTAATTCACCTTGCTCTATTCTGGACATTTGAATTTGAGCTGTTAGGCCAGAAAAATAATGGCTGAAGCCATCAATCAGAGGTTTCTGGTGCTTGGGATTTTGTTTAAAGGCAAAAATTAAGGAAAGGCCGGGCGCGGTGGCTCACGCCTCTAATCCCAGTACTTTGGGACGCCGAGGTGGGCAGATCGCTTGAGCCCAGGTGAAGGGGTGGCCTGCCCCTCCACACCTGTGGGCGTTTCTTGTCAGGTGGGATGAGAGACTGAAAAAAGAAATAAGAGACAGAAACAAAGTATAGAGAAAGAAAAGTGGGCCCAGGAGACTGGCGCTCACGTGCTGGCACTGGTCTCTGAGTTCCCTCAGTATTTATTGATCATTATCTCTACCGTCTCGGAGAGGGGGATGTGGCAAGATGATAGGGTAATAGTGGGGAGAGGGTCAGCAGGAAAACATGTGAACAAAGGTCTCTGTGTCATAAATAAGTTTAAGAAAACGTGTTGTGCTTTGATGTGCATGTACAAAAACATCTCGTACACAAACATCTCTGGGTGCATTAAAGAGCAGTATTGCTGCTAGCATGTCTCACCTCCAGCCTTAAGGCTGTTTTCTCCTATTTCAGTAAATAGAACATACAATCGGGTTTTACACCGAGACATTCTATTGCCCAGGGATGAGCAGGAGACAGATGCCTTCCTCTTATCATAACTGCAAAGAGGCCTTCCTCTTTTACTACACAGACCCTTTATGGGTGTCAGGCTGGGGGACAGTCAGGTCTTTCCCTTCCCACGACGCCCTATCTCAGGCTATCACATGGGGAGAAACCTTGGACAATACCTGGCTTTCCTAGGCAGAGGTCCCTGCAGTGTATTGTGTCCCTGGGTACTTGAGGTTAGAGAATGATGATGACTTTTAACAAGCATGCTGCCTTCAAGTACTTTTTTAACAAAGCATATCCTGCACAGCCCTAAATCCACTAAACCTTGAGTCAACACAGCACATGTCTCTGCAAAGCACAGGGTTGGGGATAGGGTTACAGATTAACAGCATCTCAAGGCAGAAGAATTTCTCTTAGTACGGAACAAAATGGAGTCTCTTATGTCTACTTCTTTCTACATGGACACAGTAACAGTCTGATCTCTCTTTTCCCCGCATTTCCCCCTTTTCTTTTCAACAAAACCGCCATCGTCATCATGGCCCGTTCATCATGGCCTGTTCTCGATGGTCGCTGTCTCTTTGGAGCTGTTGGGTACACCTGCAGACTAACAACAGACAGAACAGGCACACAAGGATTAATATGAAATTTATAAGAGTAGTACTTCCGATGGTCTTAACCCAAGTGACAGGGTTAAGATTTGCAAGACCATCAGCAACTCCCGCGATTGCCTCAGTTCCTGGTACCAAATTTAAATGGGCTTTTGATGCTTCAAAAATTTGTTCTTTTAATTTGGAAATGTCTAAAGTGAGGTTATCTTCTCTTCCCTGTAGATGGCATCTAACCATGTCCCAGTGATGCTCAGACTCATTATAAACTCGGGGTGTAATACAAAAATCTGACCTATTTCAGTCACACTGTAACTGGAAACGATGTTCCAAGCTCATGAGTCTATCTCCCATCCAAATGACAGTTTGTCTAAGATCATTAATTTGATTTGCCAGTTTTTGATTAATACCAGATTGTGAATTCCACAATCTTGTA